>NC_000001.11:39856865-40159895 GCF_000001405.40 Homo sapiens
GTAAAATTCACATGGTAAAAAAGGCAGTTCTAGGACTGTAACACAAATTTTCTGATTCTTAAATTGGTGTTCTTATCACTAAAACAGTGCTTCTCAAATTTTAATGTGTATATAAATCACTGGGGACTCCCGTTATAATGCAGATTCTAATTCAGTAGGTCTGGAGTGGGGCCCAAGAATCAGCATTTCTAACAAGTTCCCAGAGAATGATGATGCCACAGTCTAAGGACAAGAATTTGGGTGACAAAGACACTGTATCTTTCAGTCCATAGTCTGATGGGGATGGCATCCATCAGTATTTAGGCCTTGGGTGCCCCTTCTGAGAAGAAATTGCCACTAGAAAGAAAACTTCTCTCTTGGCTTGGGCTGCTTTCACCCACCAAACCCAGCTGCTGCCTTTCCTAAGGATATCAGAGCAGTTGCTCTATTTCTGAAGTCCACCACTGTGTAATTGGTCACAAGAGGATCCACAAAGCTGATCATGTGGTGCCGGCAGATTCTCTGCTCTTGGGCAGAAACCTTGTTGGTGATGATGTCTAGGCCTTCATAGACCTAGGGGAAAGAAAATTAACATGAGAAAGTCAACCACCTCCATAAAAGATGCATACTTAATGAATAGAAATTTTGATCTATTTCTCCCTCCTGCCAAACACTTCACTGACCCAAAGCACCAGGGTAGATGTATTCTAACAAACAGCACAGCCAGATCCACGAAACCCAAAACAAAGAAAGAAGAAAATACAGCATTGGTTTTCTTATCAAATAGTAGCTATTAGCTCAGATTTAAAGGTAAGAAGGATATGTAAATACATGCCCAGAATTAGTAAAAACGAATTCTGCATGGCCAGAACTTTAAAGCACTGAAAATTGGGCAGGTTGTTTTACTTATCACAAGACTCCAGAAAGGTAACATTTGCATTCATTGCTCATAGTTCTACTTCAAAATGCTTAGGTATTTCTTGGATTTAAATAGCTCTAAAAGGTTTTCAGAATTTGTGTAAGATTGGTTCCATTTGTGGAGAAGGAGTCTACAAAAATACATATAAAACATACACATACACACTTTGAAGTCAGAACCCCTAATACTGCTGTACTCTAGTGGAAACATTGTGATCTATCAAAATTACTGCTTCAGGGGTCAGCAAGGACAATCTAAATACTCAAAGGCAATATCCTGTCTGTGAGCTCTTGATCTGCCAATTCGACTAAAAAGTTCAAGTGTACTTTTTCTAAATGCAAGGTCTCCAAGAACAGATCTGAAAATACCAGTTTGAAAATAGGGATGAATACTTTGAGATTAAATGTTCTCTGTAATCACTGATTCTACAGGGAGCACTGAATGAACAAATAATAAGTTCCGTAGAGCCCACAAAGATGTTAAAAGCATTTTTATCTCACGTTTCCCTTTACTTACACGGGTGTCAAATAAGTACAGTACAGTGTAATGGTTAGGAGGAAAGACCCTGGCGCCAGGCTGCCTCAGCTCATTTCCTAGCTCTACCACTTACTAGTTATTCGTAGTTGAAGAAGTCAGTTACTAACCTCTCTGGGCCTCAATCTCTCATCAGTAAAATGAAAATAATAATATCTACCTCATAGGGTTGTTGTGGGGATTAAATGAGTTACTACTAAAAAGCACTTAGTTTTTGCCTGGCACATTTTAAGGGCCACATTGAGGGTCACTATTACCTAATTGCTATCATTATCACTACTACTATCACAATAACTAAAGGAGAAAGGGAAATAATTTTAGTGTTACTGTTTAATACTCAGAAGGCTCTATGCTCTTAGTGACTGAGGTCATTTACCAAGCAAGGATATAAGCTATCTTCAATGAAATAAAATCGGTAAACAGTAAAACAGCATATAAATAAAAAATAATGTAAATAAGAGCCATAAGGAAAGCATCAACTCTGCCTTTTTAACTCATTTAATTTGTGCCTGACAGCAGACTCACATTCTCATACCTGAAAATTAATGGAATCATAAATCATAGAGTATTCTTTTCTGTGTATCTTGAACAAGACTTCCTTCTAATGTTATACAAGGTCATATGGTTATTATACACTGGTGTCTTCTATGCACATTAAGAAAACTAAAGGGGAGGCCGGACGCAGTGGTTCATGCCGGTAATCCCAGCACTTTGAAAGGCCAAGGCAGGCGGATCACGATGTCAGGAGTTCGAGACCAGCCTGACCAACATGATGAAACCCCATCTCTACTAAAAATACACAAAAAATTAGCTGGGTGTCGTGGCGTGTGCCTATAATCCTAGCTATACTCAGGAGGCTGAGGCAGGAGAATCGCTTGAACCCAGGAGGCAGAGGTTGCAGTGAGCCAAGATCACGCCATTGCGTTCCAGCCTGGGCAACAGAGTGAGACTCGACTCCGTCTCAAAAAAAAAAAAAAAAAAAAAAAAAAAAAAAAAAAACGAAAGAGGCCAGGTGCGGAGACTCACACCTGTAATCCTAGCACTTTGGGAGGCTGAGGTGGGTGGATCACTTGAGCTCATGAGTTCAAGACCAGCCTGGGAGACATGGCTAAACTGCGGCTCTATAAAAAATGAAAAATTAGCCAGGTGTGGTGACACACACCTGTAGTTCCGCTACTGGGGAGGCTGAGGTGGGAGGATCCTTGTGCCTGGAAGGCGGAGGCTGCAGCGAGCCGAGATCATACCACTGCACTCCAGCCTGGGCAATAGAGCCAGACTTTGTCTCAAAAAAAAAAAAGAAAGAAAGAAAGAAAAGAAAACTAAAGGGAGGAAAAGAGTTAATAATAACTGTTTATTCCTCTCTCTCTCTCTTTTTCTCACAGCCCTTGGTTGGCTCTGCTGTAGCTTAGAATTCCAAATGATCCCATTTTAAAGAGCTCACATAGCAACAACTTGATTTTGCTAGTAGAGGATTTCTAAATCCTGTTAAGTATGTTACAGTAAAAAGGATTCTAAATTTTTACACTGAGATTAATGTTAATCAGTGTCAAATGCATAGCTGCAAATGTACAATTACCCACACCTCCAACAAGGACAAAATGTAAATATCTCTACCAGCACCTTCTATCAGAAACCCTAGAAGGCTAGATAAAATTTCTTCCTGTAATCTGCCTTTAGGTGTATCTTCTAGAGGCCCTTAAAATGGTGAGCTTAAACAAACGGACACATAAATATAATTCAAACAGAAGGTAACCCAGAGCTAGCTCACCTTATTTACTAAAGGAAGTGGCCTATGGTACTGCTTATGATAGATAATACAAATGCCACCAAATATCAGGAAGAAGAAAAGAGTATTAATGGTTTAAAGAAAGCAGAGCTCTTACTCATAGTTAACAAAAACTGTAACTCATAAAAGTACTAAATCTTGGTTACTAATATAAATTGTCATCTTTGGGTAGTCTGTTAACTCTTTGCCTCTTACACATTCAGATTAAAAGAAATGGGTCATAAAGATGTGGGTGATACAGACTAGACATCTGATTTACATATAATATGGTTTTATGGGTATGTTTTATAGTCGTTAACTAAATCTAAAACTGAAAACTTCTGAGCACCAAACACACAACTCGGAGGAAACGCTCACTGGAGTATTTTGGATTTTAGATTTTCAGATTTGGGATGCTCAATTGGTAAATATAATGCAAATATTACAAAATCAGAAAAAACTAGGAAACCAAAACACTTCTGGTCCCAAGCATTTTGCATAATGGATACTCAACCTGTACCACAGTACATTAAAGTACAATAAATGAAAGTATATGACTGTGACCTGCATTGCAACAATAGGGAAAGGAGAGACAAACTCTAAGTGAAACAAGATTGGCCAAGTGTTCATAATTATCGACTCTAGGTGATGGATATATGGGTAGTTCATTTCATTATTTGCCCTTCTTTCTTTATATGTTGGGAAATTTCCATGACAAAAAGTTTATTTTAAAAAAGCCGCGTGCAGTGGCTCACATCTGTAATTCCAGCACTCTGGGAGGCCGAGGCAGGCAGATCATGAGATCAGGAGTTCAAGACCAGCCTGACCAACATGGTGAAACCCCGTCTCTATTAAAAATACAAAAATCAGCCAGGCGTGGTGGCGCACGCCTGTAATCTCAGCTACTCAGGGGCTGAGGCAGGAGAATCGCTTGAACCCGGACGGCAGAAGTTGCAGTGAGCTGAGATGGTGCCACTGCACTCTAGCCTGGGCGACGGAGCAAGACTCTGTCTCAAAAAAGACATGGATGTACTTCACACTCATTATAATGGCTATTAGAAAAAGAAAAAAGAAACAGATAATAGCAAATGTTGGCAAGGATGTAGAGAAACTGGAACCCTTGTGCATTGATGAGGGGCATGTAAGATGATGCAGCTATTACGGAAAACAATATGGCAGTTTCGGGAAGGGCAAGGTGGCTCATGCCTGTAATCCCAACATTTTGGAAGACTGAGGCAGACCCAGGAGTTCAAAATCAACCTAGGCAACATAACGAGACCCGATCTCTAGAACTTAAAAACAACAACAACAACAAAAACTGGAAGAAAAACAATATGGCAGTTCCTCAAAAAATAAAACAGAATTAACATACAACTTAGCAATTCCACTTCAGGTACATACCCAAAAGAATTGAAAGCAGGGTGTTAAACAGATATTTACACATCCATGTTCACAGCAGCATTATTCACAATAGCCAAAAGATGAAGTAATTCAAGTATCCATCCACAGATAAACAGACAAACAAAATGTGGTCTACGCATACAAATGAGTATTATTCAGCCTTAAGAAAGGCAGGAAGTTGGCCGGGCGGTGGGTCGTGCCTATAATCCCAGCACTTTGGGAGACTGAGGTGGATGGATCACCTGAGGTCAGGAGTTCGAGACCAGCCTGACCAATATGGTGAAACCCTATCTCTACTAAAAATATAAAAATTAGCCAGGCGTGGTAGCAGGCACCTGTAATCCCAGCTACTCAGGAGGCTGAGACAGAAGAATTGCTTGAACCTAGGAGGCAGAGGTTGCAGTGAGCTGAGATCGCACCACTGCGCTCCAGCCTGGGCAAGAGAGCAAGGCTCTGTCTCAAAAAAAAAAAAAAAAGAAAAAGAAAAAAAGAAAGGCATGAAATTATCACACATCCTACAACATGGATAACCTTGAACATACTATGCTAAGTTAAATAAGCCAATCACAAAAGGACAAACACTGTACGATCTCATGTATATGAAGTACCTAGAGTAGTCAAATTCATAGAGACACAAAGTAGAATATTAGTTACGAGGAGCTGGGGAGAGGGGAAAATAGGGATTTATTGTTTAACTGGTACAGAGTTTCATTTTAAGAAAATAAAAACCTATTGAGATGGAAGGTAGTAATGGTTGCAGAACAATGCTATTGTACTTAATGCCACTGAAATACTGAAATGGCTAAAATGGCCACCGAAATGGTTAATGGTCAATGTTATATCACAATTTAAAAAAAAAAAAAAAAAGACTTGGATGATAGCTTTTAGGCACAATAAGAAACTAGTGAATAGCAGCAATGAAATAAAATTTTCAAAATTATTAAGAGCTGGTAATGTTCTATTTCTTGTGATATTCCGTTTCTTGAATTGAAATTCAGTTGAGTTGTGGTTACACAGATATTTTAACTTTTTATTATTGTATTGAGCTGTACAGTTATTAATTATGTGTTTTTATGGGTATCCTTTATTTATCAAATAAAATCATACTGCACAGTTAAGAAGCAAAAACACAACATTTTTCACATTTGTACCAGGCATAAATATCTAAACAAACTTAGAAATTAATCAATTTTGTAAGTATCACATTTGGTCCAGAGGTTTAGGTCACATCCATGCTCTAAATGCCACAATCAGGCTTATTATTTTATTACCAGCCTAGAAAACATTCACATGTGAGATTTGTAGCTGAATCTCTTACACTTACCCTATTTTTCAGCTTCAATTACAGTTTCAGCATCACTCTACCTACAATCAGCCTGAATGCTGGGAAGAGCCAAAAGGATCTGTGTTATCTTTCAAAGACAGCATGCCACTCTGCTCCATTTCCCCTTCTCCCAAAGGATACTTGTGATCTGTGTGCATGGAAATGATTTGGAATGAAATGCTTTTCTCTGCACAAACCATATTTTGACAACTAAGGGACAACTGGCTTCTTTGTAAGGCCTGATGACTGAAATATTCTGAAAAATTCCAGGTTTAATCCACTTCATCAATTATCTAACATAATTGACTTATCTCTACAAACATTTACTAAGCGTCTACTATGTGTTAGGTATACTGCAACATGTTAGTTATGAAAAGAAGATTAAGAAAGTCCCATGGACGGGCATGGTGGCTCACACCTATAATCCCAGCACGTTAGAAGGCTGAGTAGGAGGATCACTTGAGACCAGGAGTTCAAGACCAGCCCGGCCAATATAGTGAGACTCCATCTCTACCAAAAATTTAAAAATTAGTTGGGTGTGGTGGCACGTGCCTCCCGGCTACTTGGGAGGCTGAGGCAGGAGGACTGCTTAGGCCCAGGAGTCCAAGGCTATAGTGAGCTAAAAAGGTGCCCCTGCACTCCAGCCTGGGCAACAGAGCAAGACCCTGTCTCTTAAAAAAAAAGAGTCCTAGTCCTCAGAGTCCAAGTTAGACACAAATAGCTGTAATTAAAGAAGATACATGATACAAGAGTGTATAACCACTAAACATTTAATGTTCTAGGCATTAAATTGGGCATTATAGAAAAATATACCACTTTGTTGCACCTCTATTGATGGTTTATTTCCACACTGAAAAAAAAAATTTGTAAAAATGGTACAACGCTGAAATAACCTGAACTCTCCAAATCAACAGAGCTGAAATGCCTGGAGGAACTAATGAAGGTAAAAGAAATCTACAACAGAGAAAAAAAAAAAGAGATATGAAAAAAAAACTATAAACAACAACAACAACAAAAGATATGGAAAAAACAAAAAACAAAAAAAGAAATCCATAACAGAGAACTAGAAGAAGAAAACCAGCAGAATCCAGACCCATGGTTCTCAATTCAAGTGATTTTGTTCACTGGGAGACATCTGGCAATGTCCAGGCTGGGGTGCAGTGGTGTGATCTCAGCTCACGGCAACCTCCACCTCCCAGGTTCAAGCAATTCTCCTGCCTCAGCCTCCCAAGTAGCTGGGATTATAGGTACCTGCCACCACGCCTGGCTAGTGCTTGTAGTAGAGACGGGGTTTTGCTATGTTGGCCAGGCTGGTCTCGAACTCCTGACCTCAGGTGATCTGCCAGCCTCGGTCTCCCAGAGTGCTGGGATTACAGGTATGAGCCACTGCACCCAGCCAGAAACATTTTTGATTGTCACAACTGCAGGGCTGGGGGTGCTACTAGCATTTAGAGGGTAGAGGCCAAGGATGCTGCTACACATCCAATGATGCACTCTGGTCTAGCCTTCAGCCCCAAACACAAAGAATTATCCATCCCCAGGCCAGGCGCGGTGGCTCATACCTGTAATCCCAGCACTTTGGGAGGCTGAGGCAGGTGGATCACGAGGTCAGGAGATCGAGACCATCCTGGCTAACACAGTGAAACCCCATCTCTACTAAAAATACAAAACATTAGCCGGGCGTGGTGGCAGGCGCCTGTAGTCCTAGCTACTCGGGAGGCTGAGGCAGGAGAATGGTGTGAACCCGGGAGGCGGAGCTTGCAGTGAGCCAAGATTGCGCCACTGCACTGACAGAGCGAGACTCTGTCTCAAAAAAAAAAAAAAAAAAAAATTATCCGGCCCCAAAATGTCAACAGTCCTGAAATTGAGAAACCCCGATCTAAAGAAATTTCACCTTGCAGATACTCCCCCCAGTTTTTTACGTGTACAGCCAAAGATCCCATCCTTTTAAGGCTCCATCCTTTTGGGCTGCCTTGCTGTAGGGTGGCCCTGAGTGTGCTAATCAGCAGCAGTGTCCGTGGCAGTGGGCAGATCCCAGAGCTCTGAGTGCTGGCTGTGATGTCCCAACATAGCTGTCTACAAGCAAAAGGAAAAGCTGCCCCCTGGTTTGGTTCCTTCCCTGCAAGTTATCTTCCACCTTTTCACTTATGTCCTTCCCATTTCAAATTAGATCCTAAAGTCCTTCAATCACTTTCTTGCCTCAATGGATTACACCTGCCTTGAAAACCACAACCTTGGATTATGGCTCAATATAATCACTGCTTGCTGCCCTCCACTGCCCTATGGATATCTTACTGAGATCATTAATGAACACTGACTGCCAAATATAACACTTTTCTACTAAGCTCTCAAAGCAAGTAATGGAAAAAGCAACAATCTGATACTATTGAGCTCTCTCCCCTTCATAATCACTCCCCTTTGGGGCTTCAAGGGCACCATTCTTTCCAGGTTTTTCTTCCTATCCCACTAGGCCTTCCTCCATCTACTTTACTGAGGCCAGCCACTGATCTATTAGCAGTATCTGTCAGGAAACAATATTGAGAAATGGCAGTCTTTATGGCATCCATCTGCCTTTTTGTATTATGAACTTTCTCTGGGTGACACCCATGGCTTCTACAACCACTGTTGTGCTGATAACTCCCAAAATCCATATCCACAATCTAGTTCTCTTTTTGTGGTGCCAGACCTGTATATTCAACTGTCTAGTGGACATTCCATCATTGAGAGGCACATAGCATATAGAAAAGTGGTTAACAGTAAGGATTCTCATCAGGCATGGTGGCTCACGCCTGTAATCCCAGCACCGTGGGTGGCTGAGGCAGGCAGATCACTGGAGCCCAAAGTTTGAGACCAGCTGGGCAACATTGTGAGACTCTGTCTCTACAAAAAAAAAAAAAAAAAAAGAAAAGAAAATTAGTCAGGCATGGTGGTGTGCACCTGTAGTCCCAACTACTCAGGAGGCTAAGATGGGAGGGTCATTTGAGCCCAAGAGGGTGAGCTGCAGTGGGCCATAATTGCACCACTACACTCCAGCCTGGGCAGCACAACGAGACAAGAAAGAAAGGAAAGAAGAGAGTGATAAAGGAAAGAAGAGAGTGATAAAGGAAAGAAAAGAAAAAGAAAGGAAGGAAGGGAGGGAAGGAATGAAAGGAAAAAGAAAGAAAAGAAGAAAAGGAAAGAAAGAAGGAAAAGGAAAAGAAAGAAAGGGAGGAAAGAAAGGGAAGGAAAAGAAAAGAAAGAAAAGAAAAGAAAAGAAAAAGAAAAGAAAGGGAAGAGGGAGAGAGGGAGGGAGGGAAGGAAAGAAGAAAGGAAGGAAGGAAGGAAGGAAGGAAGGAAGGAGGAAGGTCAAGTTTTTCTTCTGGAACCTCAAGTTTCTCACATCTAACATCTCTTCTAGTTCTTTTTTTTAGACAGAGTCTCTGTCTCCCAGGCTAGAGTGCAGTGGCATGATTTTGGCTCACTGCAACCTCCCCCTCCCAGGTTCAAGCGATTCTCCTATCTGAGCCTCCCAAGTAGCTGGGATTATAGGCACCTGTCACCACGCCCAGCTAATTTCTTCTAGTTTTAATAGTCCAAGCTTCGGGAGAAAAGATAGTTTTAGCATAGGTAGATGAAAGGAAAAATTATTTTCTTAAAGATGTTGACACTCACTGGGAAGTTGATTTTCCTTTAGACAAATTCAACTGAAGAGATGTTGAAGAGTACGGGAAAGGCTGATTTCTTGACTCACTTTACTTTTTTAATTAAAAGAAAACTTTTTTTAAACATAACTTCAGTAGGTTAGGACTAATAAGTTTGCTGCAGGAACATCAAGGCAATTACTCTTTTCAACTCTGGCAGAAATTCAACTGTAGATATGCTGAATAAACTGGACACATTAAGATGCTCAGAAAGCAGGAGAAGGCCAGGCACAGTGGCTCACACCTGTAATCCCAACACCTTGGGAGGCCAAGATAGGAGGATCGCTTGAGCTCAGGAGTTTGAAACCAGCCTAGGCAACACAAAGACCCCATGTCTACAAAAAAAACAAAACAAAAACAAAAAAACAGTTTTAATCAGCCAGGCATGGTGGCACGTGCCTATAGTTCTAGCTGCTCAGGAGACTGAGGTGGGAGGACTGCTTGAGCCAGGAGGTCAGGGCTGCTGTGAGCCATGATTGCACCACTGCACTCCAGCCTGAAGTGAGACACTGTCTCAAAAAATAAAATAAAAAAGCAGGAGAATCTGTGCCTGATCTGTTGAGTCAGTGTGATGAGACTCATGGTTTGGAATTTATAGTGCAGATTATGGCTTTTATTCTTTCCTACGGCTCTTCTCTTTAAGGGAAAAGGGACCAGAATCATATAAGGCCATAGTTTTCTTCTTTTGTTTTTTTGAGATGGAGTTTCGCTCTTGTTGCCCTTGCTGAAGTGCAGTGGCACAATCTCGGCTCACCGCAACCTCCACCTCCTGGGTTCAAGTGATTCTCCTGCCTCAGCCTCCCGAGTGGCTGGGATTATAGGCATCCACCACCATGCCTGGCTAATTTTGTATTTTTAGTAGAGACGGGGTTTCTCCATGTTGGTCAGGCTAGTCTCGAACTCCCAACCTCAGGTGATCCGCCCGCCTTGGCTTCCCAAAGTGCTGGGATTACAGGGGTGAGCCACTGCGCCTGGCCAAGGCCATAGTTTTCAAACTGAGATGTGTATAACATACATGTGATACATTCTTCTGAAGTATCAATCTTACTAGGTAGCAGAAAAAAAAAATTGAAACATTTTTACATCTAAACAAACATTAGGGCAGAGAATGCAAAATTGGCACATATTTTTAAGTTAAAACATGAGAAACTGCGACACAGAGCTTCTGCAGTGGCTGCTTGGAGTCCACCTGCAAACAAACACTGGAGAAGCTCTGCATCCAGTCCAAACACCCAACATTTTATATTCGAGAATACTCAGGCTCCCCTGGCCATATAACTGGCTGGAAGCAGAGACAGGACTAATGCCAGGCTGCTCTGCCTATAACCCAAGCTATTTCTGCTGCCACTCACTAGAATTTTTATCCCCATTTGACTCTGGTATATTTGTTTGCTTCAAGTAATGAATTCCTACTGAGGTGAAATTAAATTCCAGAAACTGAGGAAAAGACAGCTACCACACACTGAACCCCTTCAAGATTCTTTTTTTTTTTTTCGAGATGGAGTCTCGCTCTGTCGCCCAGGCTGGAGTGCAGTGACTCCATCTCGGCTCACTGCAAGCTCCGCCTCCCGGGTTCATGCCATTCTCCTGCCTCAGCCTCCCAAGTAGCTGGGACTACAGAAGCCCGCCACCATGCCTGGCTATTTTTTTTTGTATTTTTAGTAGAGACGGGGTTTCACCGTGTTAGCCAGGATGGTCTCGATCTCCTGACCTCGTGATCCATAAAAGAAAAAAAAAGATAAATTAAATTAGGCATTATAAAAATGTAGAACTTTTGCTCTGTGAAAGATACTGTGAAGAGAATGAAAAAATAAGCCACAGATTGGGAGAAAATATTTGCGAATAACATATCTGATAAAGGATTTATACCCAGGATATATATAAAGAACTCTTGGCCAGGCACAGTGGCTCACGCCTGTAATCCCTGTACTTTGGGAGGCTGAGGCAGGTGAATCATCTGAGGGCAGGACTTCGAGACCAGCCTGCCTAACATGGTGAAACCTCATCTCTACTAAAAATACAAAAAATTAGCCAGGCGTGCTGGCAAGCACCTATAATCCCAGCTACTCAGGAGGCTGAGGCAGGAGAATCACTTGAACCCGGGAGGTGGAGGTTGCAGTGAGCCAAGATCGCGCCATTGCACTCCAGCCTGGGCGACAAAAGCAAAACTTCCTCTCAAAAAAAAAAAAAAAAAACTCTTAAAATTCATCAATAAGAAAACAACCCCACTCCCGTGGGCAAAAGATCTGAGAGACACTTCACCAAGGATATACAGATGGCAAATAAGGATATGAAAAGAAGCTCAACACTGGCTGGGCGTGGTGGCTCACGCCTGTAATCCCAGCACTTTGGGAGGCCGAGGCGGGTGGATCACCTGAGGTCAGGAGTTCTAGACCATCCTGGCCAACGTGGTGAAACCCCGTCTCCACTAAAAATATAAAAATTAGCTGGGCGTGGTGGCAGGCATGTGTAATCCCAGCTAGTCGGGAGGCTGAGGCAGGAGAATCGCTTGAACCGATGAGGCAGAGGTTGCAGTGAGCCGAGATCGTGCCACTGCACTTCAGCCTGGGCAACAAGAGCAAAACTCTGTCTGAAAAAAAGCTCTCCCTCTCCCTCTCCCCCTCCCCCTCCCTCTCCCCATGGTCTCCCTCTCCCTCTCTCTCCAGGGTCTCCCTCTGATGCAGACTGGAGGCTGGACTGTAGTGCCGCCATCTCGGCTCACTGCAACCTCCCTGCCTGATTCTCCTGCTTCAGCCTGCCGAGTGCCTGGGATTGCAGGCGCACGCCGCCACGCCTGACTGGTTTTCATATTTTTTTGGTGGAGACAGGGTTTCGCCGTGTTGGCCGGGCTGGTCTCCAGCTCCTAACCGCGAGTGATCTGCTAGCCTCGGCCTCCCGAGGTGCCGGGATTGCAGACGGAGTCTTGCTCACTCAGTGCTCAATGTTGCACAGGCTGGAGTGCAGTGTTGTGATCTTGGCTCGCTACAACCTCCACCTCCCAGCCGCCTGCCTTGGCCTCCCAAAGTGCCGAGATTGCAGCCTCTGCCCGGCCGCCACCCCGTCTGGGAAGCGAGGAGTGTCTCTGCCTGGCCACCCATCGTCTGGGATGTGAGGAGCCCCTCTGCCCGGCCGCCCAGTCTGGGAAGTGAGGAGCGCCTCTTCCCGGCCGCCATCCCATCTAGGAAGTGAGGAGCGTCTCTGCCCCGCCGCCCACCGTCTGAGATGTGAGGAGCGCCTCTGCCCAGCCACGACCCCATCTGGGAACTGAGGAGTGTCTCTGCCCGACCGCCACCCCATCTGGGAGGTGAGGAGCGTCTCTGCCCGGCCGCCCCGTCTGAGAAGTGAGGAGCCCCTCCGCCCGGCAGCCGCCCCGTCTGGGAAGTGAGGAGCGTCTCTGCCAGGCAGCTGCCCCCTCCAGGAGGTGGGGGACAGCCTCTGCCCGGCCAGCCGCCCCGTCCGGGAGGCGGGGGGCGCCTCTGCCTGGCTGCCCCGTCTGGGAGGTGGGGGGCCCCTCTCTCCGGCCGCCACCCCGTCTGGGAGGTGTACCCAGCAGCTCATTGAGAACGGGCCATGATGACGATGGCGGTTTTGTCAAGTGGAAGGGGGGAAAGTGTGGGGAAAGGAAAGAGAAATCAGATTGTTGCTGTGTCTGTGTAGAAAGAAGTAGACATGGGAGACTCCATTTTGTTCTGTACTAAGAAAAATTCTTCTGCCTTGGGATGCTGTTAATCTATGGCCTTACCCCCAACCCCGTGCTCTCTGAAACATGTGCTGTGTCCACTCAGGGTTAAATGGATTAAGGGCGGTGCAAGATGTGCTTTGTTAAACAGATGCTTGAAGGCAGCATGCTCGTAAAGAGTCATCACCACTCCCTAATCTCAAGTACCCAGGGACACAAACACTGCGGAAGGCCGCAGGGTCCTCTGCCTAGGAAAACCAGAGACCCTTGTTCACATGTTTATCTGCTGACCTTCCCTCCACTATTGTCCTATGACCCTGCCAAATCCCCCTCTGCGAGCAACACCCAAGAATGATCAATAAATACTAAAAAAAAAAAAAAAAAAAAAAGAAGCTCAACATCATTGGTCTTTAGGGAAATGTAAATTAACGACAATGAGATACCAGTACATAGAACTGCGGAAATTAAAAGAAAAAAAAAAAAGCCTGACAATACCAAATGCTGGAAATAATATAGAGATACAGAAGAACACGAATTCTCATTCACTACTGGGAGAAATACAAAATGGTACAGTCATTTTAGAAAACAGTTTGGTAGTCTCCTGTAAAGTTAAACCATAAAGTTACCAAACAGCCTAGCAATCCCACTCTTAGGTATTTACTCAAATGAAATTTCACACTAAAACCTGTACATGAATGTTTACAATAGCTTTCTTTATAATCACCAAAAACCAGAAACCCAGATGTCCTTTAATAGGTGAATAGACACCAGGCGCGGTAGCTCACGCCTGTAATCCCAGCACTTTAGGAGGCTGAGGAGGGCGGATCACCTGAGATCAGGAGTTCAAGACCAGCCTGACCAATATGGAGAAACTATGTCTCTACTAAAAATACAAAATTAGCTGGGCGTGGTCGCACATGCCTGTAATCTCAGCTATTCGGGAGGCTGAGGCAGGAGAATCATTTGAACCCGGGAGGCGGAGGTTGCAGTAAGCCAAGATTGCACCACTGCACCCCAGCCTGGGCAACAAGGGAGAAACTCCGTCTCATAAAAAAAAAAGGTGACTAGACAAACTATGGTACATCCAAACAGTGGAATACTACTCAGCAATAAAGAGCATTGGACGCATGCAACAACATGGAAGAATTTTAAACGTATTTTGCTGGCCAGGTGCAGTGGCTCACGCCTATAATCGGAGCCTGAGGCAGGTGGATTGCTTGAGCTCAGGAGTTCCAGACCAGCCTGGGCAACGTGGTGAAACCGTCTCTACAAAAAATACAAAAATGAGCCAGGTGTGGTGGCACAGGCCTATAGTCCCAGCTACTTGGGGTGCTGAGGTAGGAGGATTGCTTGAGCCCAGGAAGTTGAGGCTGCAGTGAGCCGAGATGGCGCCACTGCACCCCACCCTGGGCAACAGAATGAGACCCTGTCTCCAATCAATCAATCAATCTACCTTTTAAAAAAATGTATTTTGCTAAGTGAAAAAAGCCAAACCTCAAAGGCTACATATTGTATGATTACATTTTAAGACATTCTGGAAAAGGCAAAACAATAGGGATGGAAAACAGGTAAGTTGTTGCCAGAGATTGAAGGAGATAGAGGGGTTGACTACAAAGGGGCCACTATAAGGGATTTTTTAGGGTGATAGAACTGTTCAGTATGGTACTGTGGGGTATATATCTGACTCTATGCATCTGTCAAAACCCATAGAACTAAACATCATAAAGAGTACACTTTACTATATGTATGCAAAAAATTTTTAAAAATGTTTTTTTGGGACAGAGTCTTGCTTTGTTGTCCAGGCTAGAGTGCAGTGGCACCATCATGACTCACTGCAGCCTTGACCTCCCTGGCTCAAGCCATCCTCCTGCTTGAGCCAGGAGAAATTGGGACTACAGGTATGTGCTACCAGGCCTGACTAATTTTTTTTTTTTTTTTTTTTTTTGTAGAGATGGGCTCTCACTATGTTACCCAAGCTGATCTCAAACTTCTAGGCTCAAGCAATCTTCCCTCCTTGGCATCCCAAAGTGCTTGGATTAGAGGTGTGAACCACTGCAGCTGGCCACTGTATGCAAATTTTTTAAAATAACCAGAATATCTGGGAACCCAGGATAGACTACAGACTGTAACAAATGAAATCTAACTGCATTACAAACGTCTGATATAACCTCAGAGAGGAAAACAAAAGGAGCTGATCTAAGTAACTTCATAAAACAATGTTACTACTCGATACTGTAAGGATAAAAACAAACAAACAAACTGTAGGCAAACATTGTACTCTAGTTGGTAAATCTGTTTCTCACAGGAGTAATCACTGAAACTACAGGTTACACAAATAAGTAAATATACTATAGGGAATGAGAGCTAAATTTCTTACTCTGAGAAAGAAGTCACAAATAAGCAAGGGGGGAAGACTAGAATGAATCTTGTGGTGCTGGATTAGTCAGAGATACCAGTATAAACCCATGCTTATTTTAATATACATACAGATAGAGAAATAAATATAAATGTGTGTATATATAGATTAATATACATACATACATTTCCTAGCTCTTTCCACTGAAAGGGACTAGAAGCATCTTGTAATACCAGACAGGAAGTACTAAACACACACACACACACACACACACACACAGAGAGAGAGAGAAAGAGAGAGAAAGGAAGGAAGGGAGGGAGGGAGGGAGGGAAGAAGGGAAGAAGTGAGGGAGGGGAAGGAAAAGGAAGGAAAAGGAAGAAAGGAAGAAAACAAAAAGAAAGAAAGAAAAGAAAGACTCTGATGAATGCTAAAATCAGAGGGTGAAACTTTAAGGAGAAATAGGACATCTGCATAGCCTGAGGGTATCTCCCCTAAAATATTTATTAATTACTGTGGTGCTTTTAACATATGTCCGCAAATTATTTGATAAGCTTTCATCCTGGAAATGAAGCTTAATTCTCCTTCTATTCAGTGTGGGCCAGACTTGGCAAATGATTTCCAACAAATAAGACTAGGTACTGTCATTTTATGGAAATGGAAAAGAAAAATAACACAAAAAGAGAAAAATCGTGACTTTTTCAGTGGAGAAACGTGTATACAATCTCAACCAAATGATCAAAGTTACCATCACCAGTAATAAGCCATGCTAATACTATGTTGATATCATACTTTGATATGATCCAATGAGAAGGGTACTTCACTTCTGTGGTATACTTTCCCAAAATCCATAATGCCAAGTCTAATCATGAGAAACCAAAACCCAAATGGAGAGACATCTACAAAAGAGCTGACCAGTACCCTTCAAAAGTATCAAGGTCGTAAAAGACAAGGAAAGACTGAAAACTGTCAAAGATTGGAGGACACTAAAGATACATGATGACTAACTGCAGTATAGTATCCTAAATTGAATCCTGAAATGGAAAAGGGACATAAGTGAAAAAACTGGTGAAATCCAAGACTATAATTTAGTTAATAGTATTGTACCTATATCAATTTCTTAGTTTTAATAAATGTACCATGATGATGTAAGATATTAATATTAGGACAAGGTAGATGAAGGGTATACAGGAACTCTTGGTACTATCTTTGAAACTCTTGTGTAAATCTACAACTATTTCGGGCCAGGCACAGTGTCTCACACCTGTAATCCCAGCACTTTGGGAGGCAGAGACGGATGGATCACCTGAGGTCGGGAGTTCGAGACCAGCCTGACCCACATGGAGAAACCCCATCTCTACTAAAAATACAAAATTAGCTGGTTATGGTGGCGTATGCCTGTAGTCCCAGGAGGCTGGGGCAGGAGAATTGCTTGAACCCGGGGGATGGAGGCTGCAGTGAGCCGAGATCACACCATTGCACTCCAGCCTGGGCAACAAGAGCGAAACTCTGTCTCAAAAAAATAAAAATAAAAATAAAAATCTACAACTATTTCAAAATCAAAATTAAACCTGTAATCTCAGCTACTTGGAAGGTGAAGTGGGACGACTGCTTGAGCCCAGGAGTTTGAAACCAGCCTGGGTAACACAGTAAGACCGTGTCTCAATCAATCAATCAATAAAAAATTATAAAAACAATAATATAGGACAGTTTCTTAACTTTAGTACAATTAATATTTGGGGCCAAATAATTCTGTTATGGGAAGTTGTCCTGTGCCTACTAGAATGTTAGCAATGTCTCTGGCCTCTACCCATTAGATGCCAGGAACCCACCTCCCCAGTTATTAGAACCAAAAATGTCTCCAGGGATTGCCAAACGTCCCCTAGGAGGCCAAATCACCCCAAGTTGAGACTACTGATATAGCTATATACATTAACATATAAAGATATCCATAACATAGTGTTAAAAGAAAATAGAATAGTATCTAACCTCTGAGTCAATTTATGTAATAACATATACACACATGACACATGTGCTTAAATATATATACAAATGTCTGGAAGGATGTGAACCAAAATCATTACTCCAGGATGCTAAGACTATGGTTAAATTGTCTCTGTACTTTTCAGTATTATTGGATTTTTTTAATAAGCATGTCTCATTTTTCTTTTCTTTTTTTTTTTGAGATGGAGTTTCGCTCTTGTTGCCCAGGCTGGAGTGCAATGGCGTGATCTCGGCTCACTGCAACCTCCGCCTCCTGGGTTCAAGTGATTCTCCTGCCTTAGTCTCCTGAGTAGCTGAGATTACAGGCATGCACCACCATGCTTGACTAATTTTTTTGTATTTTTAGTGGAGATAGGGTTTCTCCATGTTGGTCAGGCTGGTCTCGAGCTCCTGACCTCAGGTGATCTGCCCGCCTCAGCCTCCCAAAGTGCTGGAATTATAGGCGTGAGCCACTGTGCCCGGCCCCCGCATGTCTCATTTTTCTGAACACAAAAATGCTTTGTTCTCATTTTTTTCATAGTGCTTCCAATTCAATAACCAAAATCCTGTTGGTTCTGTTTACAAAATATCAAAATGGTTACCTATTCTCTCCAGCCAAAGCCCAACTCCAGCCTCTCTCACCCAGACTAATGTAACAGAATCCTAAACTGTTTTTCCTTCTCTAACCCACTCTCCACCCAGTTACTTCATAAAATAGATTTACAGGCCAGGTGCAGTGGCTCACGCCTGTAATTCCAACCCTTTGGGAGCCCGAGGTGGGCAGATCACGAGGTCAGGAGTTCGAGACCAGCCTGACCAACATGGTGAAACCCTGTCTCTACCAAAAATACAAAAATTAGCCAGGCGTGGTGGCATGCGTCTGTAATCCCAGCTACTCAGGAGGCTAAGGCAGGAGACTTGCTTGAACCCGGGAGGTGGAGGTTGCAGTGAGCTGAGATTGCGCCACTGCACTCCAGCCTGGGTGACAGAGCGAGACTCTGTCTTGAAAAAAAAAAATAGACTTACTACCACTTCCCTCTTTAAAACCTCAAACCTCATGGCATGACTTTTGAGGGCCTCAAAAATTTGTTCCCAGGGTCTATATTTTTAGTTTTACCTCCTACCACTGTCCCTCAAGTACCCTCTATGCCAGATAGTTGCTGGTCATTCCTTGAAAACATACCATGCATTTTCTTAACTTTGCCCATACTGTTCTTTTGTCAGTAATATTATTCTTCCCACTTTTCTGCTTGATAAAATGTACACAGTGGTACAGAGGAAAAGAATGGGATGGAGGATGAATGAATAAATAAATAAGAGTTAGAGGAAAAAGTATAAAACAGCATGGAGATGAGGATTTAATAAAGTAATTTTTGGTAGGGAGGAGACAATAACAGCACCCACGGCAAAAGGCTACGGTAAGGATATTAGATAATATTTGTCAAACTTTTAGAACTGCCTGACATATATATTATTCTTGCTATTATCTTCAGTAGTATAATTATTATGATCATTCCTGTAATGAGGGCTTGAACTCTGACTGCCACAATGAGGGAGGTACAGGGAGGCTGCTACTCACAAGCAGAGCCCCAAAGGGATCAAGAGGCCAACAGGGTCCTGGTCTGATTCAAGTTTCTGAGGAATCCAAAACTACACAGAAAAACAAAACCAATTCCATTAAATCATAATGGAGCACATATGTGAATTCCTATATACCCCAAGTAACTTTTACTCCTCAAATATATCTTTTTGAAGTGGAGCTGCTTCAACACCCTGCCTCAGGCACTGAAACATCAGGGTAGCACTCATCCTCATGAATCTGAATCTGCAAGCCTCATCTGTGCTCTCCTATGGTTTCCTGTTTGGCCAGTAGTCACTTCTCCTTCCTTATATAACACAGATTTGACTCCAAAGTTCTCCCTGTAGGTGCAAAAACATGACCACATATGTACAACATACACAGCTTAATACTGCAGCCAAAAGAAAACTAAATTCACTTACAATGGAGGTGAACCAAGGGACCTAGAAACTCATTATTTATATGTGTATCTATCTATCTATCTATCTATCTATCTATATATATATATGAATGATGAGTCGAAAATTTTGAGATTTCCTTTTTAGCCTCTTGTAAGTCTCAGTCCTTCTAAAAGACTGCCTTTGGCTGGGTGCAGTGGCTCACGCTTGTAATCACAGCACTTTGAGAGGCCGAGGCTGGCGGATCACCTGAGGTCAGGAGATTGAGACCATCCTGGCTAACACGGTGAAACCCTGTCTCTACTAAAAATACAAAAAATTAGCCAGGCGTGGTGGCGGGCGCCTGTAGTCCCAGCTACTCAGGAGGCTGAGGCAGGAGAATGGCTAGAACTTGGGAGGCTTAGGTTGCAGTGGGCCGAGATGGAGTCACTGCACTCCAGCCTGGGTGACACAGCAAGACTCCATCTCAAAAAAAAAAAACAAAAAAAAAAGGACTGCCTTTGTCAGTTGTGGCAAATACCTTCCAGATAGACCCCTTTTCTCCTGGTTAATGGGTCTTCAAAAAAAAAAAAAAAAAAAAAAAAACAGGTCTTCAAGCCTTTTATTTCACATTTTATTAAGCCACTGTGATCCACCATCCCATCTCTCCTTTCATATCCCTCCCCCAAGCATCCCATATCTCCCTTGATCAGACAGTCTTTTGGTACAAACACTGCTCCTACAGTATGTCCCAAAGCAAACAAAAAGAATACAGAGGCCAGGTGGGGTAGCTCATGCCTGTAATCCTAGCACTTTGGGAGGCCAATGCAGGAGGATCACTTGGGGCCAAGAGTGTTCAAGATCAGCCTGGGCAACATGGTGCTTCTATTAAAAAAAAAAAAAAAAAAAAAAGAACAAAGAGCTCCACATCTATTGGATGACGAGATGACACATATTCTGCTTGCTTACTAGTCAGACTGCCAAAAATCATTTGTTTCTCCTCTTGTAGGTTTAAACAAACACAAAAGGAACTGTGCTCCTATGTACGGCTACTGCTTCTCCACAGGACTTGAAAAACTGAGGCATTAGAGACACTTCCTCTCTATAAACCCGAACAGAACACTTTGTTTCTTTTCTCTTAGCATATAGTTGGTAGTTTGTATTTCCAGGCCATCATTGTACATGTTTGGCAAGGGCCTTCAATTTTCTCAGTACAATGTTTCATCCAGTCACTGAAGGCCCGGCACTGTACCTTGAATTTACAAGCCAAGAAAAAGACTCAGACTGAAAAGAAGACCTTCGGTATCATCTTCCTGAAATACATCAGACTCTACAAATGAGTTAGAAGACCCAGATCCAATTCCCAGTGTCTTGCAGTGTGATCTCTAGACAGCTCTTTAATCTTCTGTAGCTCCAGTTTTTCCATCCTGGAAAACAGGGATTGTATTACCTGTCCCTCCTTGAATTCAGACTCTTACTACTGAATGAGAATATTTTTATTTCTATAATTTGTGAAACAACCAGCATTCAGAAGACTCAGAAAATAAAGCACAAATGTTGTTTCTCACTTCTGTCAGAATGGCCATGTAGAAATCCTCAGCAAAACCCAAGAGAAATCCCAAAGAAGGTAATCCCCTCAGAAAGTAGTTCTGACTTCCCAATCCACAACTACCTTGCATAAGAATCATGGAAGGGCATGTGTTTTCAGGACCTCCTGGGGCTGTGTCATAGAAAAAAAAAGAAAAAGAAAAAAGAACACTGGGAAGAAAGAGGACAGGCAGTACCTTCAGATGCTAGATGGCTACAGAAGCAAGTCACTGCATATCAGGCTACATGAAGAAATGATCACCATAGACACAATACCTTTAACAACCCCATTGTAGTTTTACCTCAAAGCTTAAAGTACTTATTCAATGTTTACAAAAACAAATACTTTCTCTGGATAGGAACTGCCCTGTAGGTGCTGTAGGGTTGACCTTGGGTAGGTGTTGCCTTGGATGACCCTACATTTTAAAGCAGGACAAAGGGATGACAAAAGCAGTATGAAGTACGAGACAATTTAACATTTAAGATAGTGTTGTACAATAGTTTCTGAGTTACTGGTACACTTCTGAATAGAAAATTTTCAGCAGCACACCAAAAGGAATTATTAAAATGCAAATATTGGTTTTAAAAAACCCAATTTAGAAACTTGAAAAAACTTTCTATGATCACACTTTCTATTTGGTCACCCTTTGGTGTGTTACAACAAAGAAGTTTACTGTTCTGTCTAGGCTCTCCACAAGTCCAAGTTTACCCTTTGTTCCAATAAACACTATCTGTCTTTGATACGAACTTGACATTAGATTCTATTAATATCTCTTAGCTGCAGCAAATTTTATCCCCAAAGTACATCAGGTGGCTTCCAGTCAGCTCAACACTCCACTTGACAGATATCACTATGAATTAACACTGTGATTTACAATATGAATCCTAAAATACATCTTTTTCCTGATCAAAATGTTGCACACTCCTAAGAAGGATAACTGGCATACAAGTTAAAAACTCCTGGCCTGGCGCAGTGGCTCATGCCTGTAATCTCAGCATTTTGGGAGGCCGAGGCTGGCGGATCCCGAGGTCAAGAGATCGAGACCATCCTAGCTAACACAGTGAAACCCCGTCTCTATTAAAAATACAAAAAATTAGCCAGGCGTGGTGGCACACGCTTATAGTCCCAGCTACTCGGGAGGCTGAGGCAGGAGAATCGCTTGAACATGGGAGGCAGAGGTTGCAGTGAGCCAAGATCATGAGCCTGGGTGACAGAGCGAGACTCCATCTTAAAACAAACAAACAAACAAACAAACAAAAAACTCCCTACTGATTGAACCCCACAGCCCCTGGTCATCTTAAAGGAAATGGCTTTGTGTAGCAGATATGCCACTGGGGATGGAAAGCAGACACTTTCATGTTCAGACTCCAGGTCTGCTACTTATTCTAAGACCTTAGGCCTATTTTCTTAACTGTGAAGTGATAATATCCATTTTATGAGACTATTGTGAGGATTTTAAATATATATATATATATATTTATCACCAGCACAGTGTTCCATGCCTATAGTCCCAGCTACTTGAGACAGGAGGACTGCTTGAACTCAGGAGTTCAAAGTTACAGCAGTGCCAGGCGCAGTGTCTCACACCTGTAATTCCAGCATTTTGGGAGGCCAAGGCAGGCGGATCACCTGAGGTCAGGAATTCCAGACCAGCCTGGCCAACATGGTGAAACCCCGACTCTACTAATAATACAAAATTAGCCAGGTGCAGTGGTACATGCCTGTAGTCCCAGCTACTAGGGAGGCTGAGGCAGGAGAATCACTTAACCTGGGAAGTGGAGGTTGCAGTGAGCCAAGATGGTGTCATTGCACTCCAGCCTGGGCCACAATAGCGAAACTCCATCTCAAAAAAAAAAAAAAAAAAAAAAGGTCAGGCATGGTGGCTCACACCTGTAATCCCAGCATTTTGGGAGGTTGAGGTGGGCGGATCACGAGGTCAAGAGATCAAGACCATCGTGGCCAACATGGTGAAACCCTGTCTCTACTAAAAATACAAAAATTAGCTGGGCCTGGTGGCATGTGCCTGTAGTCCTAGCTGCTCGGGAGGCTGAGGCAGGACAATCACTGGAATCCTGGAGGCGGAGGTTGCAGTGAGCTGAGACAGTGCCACTGTACTCCAGCCTAGTGACAGAGCAATACTCCGTCTCAAAACAACAACAACAACAACAAAAACAAAGTTATAGCAGTGAGCTATGATCACACCACTGCATTCCAGCCGGGGCAACAGAGCAAGACCTCAAATAAAAAAAAAAAAAAAAAAAAAAAAAGAAGAAACTGTAAACATTTGGTAAACAATGCTTTGAAAATTTGAGTTGTTGATATTTATTATTGCTTTGCCTGTGGAGTTACTTGAAATTGAAAATGTTATTTCAAGTAGCTGGTGATTCAACATCAACAATATCATTTTGTTTACATGTTTACCAAATACTAGTGAGTCAACCTCAAGTCACTGAAAAGCAGCATCTCCTTTCACTGGTTGAAAACACAAGTTGGGCCAGGCGCAGTGGCTCATGCCTGGAATCCCAGCACTTTGGGAGGCCAAGGCGGGCGGATCATGAGGTCAAGAGTTTGAGACTAGCCTGGCCAACATGATGAAACCCTATCTCTACTAAGAATACAAAAATTAGCCGAGCATGGTGGCGGGCGTCTGTAATTCCAGCTACTCGGGAGGCTGAGGCAGGAGAATTGCTTGAACCTGGGAGGCAGAGGGGGCAGTGAGCAGAGATTGCGCCACTGCACTCCAGCCTGGGCGACAGAGCAAGACTCCGTTTCAAAAAAAAAAAGAAAAGAAAAAAGATAGAAACATTTCTTTGGTACACAGCTATGAGTAACGAGACATAATAGCTACTATAGAGCTATATCCAACCCTCACTGCCAGAACCCAGTAACCTACTTAAAAACAGATGTAAGGCTGGGTGCAGTGCCTCACACCTGTAATCCTAGCACTTTGGGAGGCTGGAGCGGGTGGATCACCTGAGGTCAGGAGTTCGAGACCAGTCTGGCCAACATGGCGAAACTCCGTCTCTACTAAAAATACAAAACTTAGCTGGGTGTGGGACAGGTGCCTGTCCCTCACCCTAATCCCAGCTACTTGGGAGGCTGAGGCAGGAGAATCCTTGAACCCAGGAGGCAGAGGTTGCAGTGAGCCAAGATCGCGCCACTGCACTCCAGCCTGGGCAACAAGAGCGAAACTCTGTCTCCAAAAAAAAAAAAAAAAAAGAAGAAAGAAATGATAGAACATAAATATTGGCATGGACCTTAGGTGTCATCAGTGTAACTCCATCTTACTGAAACTCTTATTACTTAAGTCTCTGAGGTATCAGACCACAGATCTACTATTATACCATTCTTGGATATTTTTTATCCAAGTACCATACGTACTGCTCACAAATGAATGTTCCTTACACACTGCCTTCATCATGTTGCTCATCTCACATTCCATATCTGCAATTGAACAGTCTCCTTTTACTATCCTACCTACACACTATGGCCATTTCACCTTCTAAATCTTCATCTTCATTCATGTTCCTTTTTTTTTTTTAAGACTAGTCATGTACAGTAGTGAGAAAGGGCCAAAGAGTAGAAAAGGGAGTTCCATCTGTAACTGACTGTGAACAATCAACTGAGACAACTCAATACCTTTGGACCAGCTTCATGTTCTTTCCTTTAATAAGCTTTTTCTTCTTTCTTACCTATCCAAACTTGACCTATTTTTCAAGCCCTTTTTCAGAGAGCTTTCCATACTAAGCCAGCCTTCGATAATTTCTCCTGTCTCAGAAATTCTATAATACTTGTCATAAAATCTAGCATCTGTAGTCTCTCTCCTCCCATCATCTTGCAAATCCATTAATATCTCTGTCCAAACATTTATTAGCTCTGCCTTGTTTTATGTTCAGCTGGACTAAAACTCAAGGGCAGAAATTATGATTTTGTCTCTCCAGTAGGGCCTCGCAGAAGATAGCAGCTGCTGTATTTTTAGCTCTTATTATGTGCCATATATTGTATTAAGTACTGCACATACTTTATCTCATTTAATCATCACAATAATGTTGTGTTATTGATATTATTCTTCCTACTTTACAGAAGAAGAAACAAAGGCATGAAGAGGTTAGGCTATAGCTGCATATCTTGGAAAAGACAGCTGGGATTTGAGGTAAATTGTCTTCTGAAGCTGGCACAAAGTAGACTGCAAACAAATTATTTTTTGAATTATCCGATCGTTTCATGTGTGCTGATGGTCTTGTCATGCCACATAAACTAATGAAAGCAGAAACTATGCCCACTGGCTTCTGGGTGAGTTGGGGAAAGGAACTGCCCTTCTTTGCTGAGTACTCATCAGGTGCTATGTTCAGTGCCAGGCATTTCATGTTCAACATCTCATTTACTCTGTGAAGACTCATAACTGTAAATTCTCCTCAACAAATAGCTGCTGTAGTTCCTCCATCAGAGATTTACCCAAAATGTCACCCACTACCCACTCTTAATGGAGCAAAATGCTCCCAGATGTGATGTACACCCCTTCTGGGCCTCCCAGTTCGAAGAAGAGGACAAAGCCCCTTCAACTTTAAATCAGCCATTATGATTTAAAACCTCTACTTAAAAAAGCATTTACCACAAGTCTGGCCTTATTCCGGACAGGGCACTCTGTTCTTCGTTCTAACGCTCATGATCCCATTTATTAAGCACTATAACCTTGTGCGGTAGGTGACATTTTCCTCACTTCACAGATATATAAAATAACGTCCAAATAAACGACATTGTTGATCCGAAGTCACATGGCCAATGGCAGATTCAGGACTAGAATCCAGGTCTCCTGACTGTCAACCCTATTCCACTCCCCCAGCAGACACCATAGGTGGTATCCAATTTATCCTGATCTCGCTGGGTTAGGGTTAGAGTTACAACAAAAGCTCTGGAATAATTTTTATTCAAAAGATATTTACTGGATACCTATCTGTCGACCTTGTAGGTTCAAATACCATGTCTTCCACTTATTCGCTATGTGACATGGAAAAAATCGTTTCACCTCCCTAAGCCCCAATTCCTTTCTCCATAAAAGGAGATAATAGTATCTACCAAATAGTAACGTCGTGAGAAGTTGATGAGACGATGATAAGGGAAACATCTGGCACTGTGTCTGGCATGCGGCGGGTGCTTAGTAAGTATGGGCTCCCTTTACCTACCCCCTCCGCCCCTACAAGCCTCGGGGTTCACCCTTTAAGACCTTTGCCACAGGGTGTCCACGCGGCCTCCGGGGTCCCCAGGCGCCCGGGCCAGCCGCACTGCCATACCTGCATGGAGTCAGCGCTGACGATCTCACCGCCGAGCCGCTGGCCTAGCTGCAACGCCAGCGTGGATTTGCCGGTGCCCGTGGCCCCGAGAATCACTACAAGAGGTAGGGTCCGTTGCAGGCCCCTGAGCCCACTGCCCACGGGAACTGCTCGTGCAGCCGCCACGGACGCCATCTTATGGCAGTCTGCGCTTGCGCCGGAGCAGCTGTCCCCATGGCAACCGTCTATGCGCCTGCGCGGATCTCAGGCTTTGTAGCGAGGTTGCTTAGGGAGGAGGGAGCGGCAGGACCCAGGCGACGTGACTGCAGTCAACTAACTGGTGTCAGAACCTCAACTACCCGCCGTCTTTTTTTTTTTTTCTTCTTATTTGGAGACGGGGTCTCCCTCTGTCGCCCGGGCTGGAGTGCAGTGGCGCGATCTTGGCTCACTGCAACCTCCGCCTTCTGGGTTCAAGAGATTCTCCTGCCTCAGCCTCCCGAGTAGCTGGGACTACAGGCGCCCACCACCATGCCCGGCTAATTTTTTGTATTTTAGTAGACACGAGGTTTCACCATGTTGCCCAGGGTGGTCTCGAACTCCTGAGCTCAGGCAGTCCACCCGCCTCGGCCTCCCAAAGTGCTGGGATTACAGGCATGCGCCACTGCGCCAGACCACCTGCCGTCTTAAATGGTAGATGGCAACCCTATCTAAATAGATCCGTCCCTATTATTCTTTCACAGCACTCAAGTTATTTTTCTTTACAGTACTTATTACAATATAAAATTATAAATAGGTCTCTTGTTTTTTTGTCTGACTTATTGGGACAAATTCTGCCTAGATCATTGCTGTATCTCCAGTGTCTAGCACAGTACCTGGTACCCAAGAGACACCCAATACTTGTTCAATGAAGAGGAGAATGACCTGCCGGTCTAGTGCCCGGGGCAGTAAGCTCAGAGGTGTGGCATTCTCCAGAATGAGGTCTGCCCAGTTCTCAGGCCAGGGCAGCTGCTCTAATATTTTCATCCCATAGTACGACCTCATACTCAATCACAAAGCAAACCTTTGGCCCGGCACAGTGGCTCACGCTTGTAATCCCAGCATATTGGGAGGCCAAGGCTGGTGGATCACCTGAGGTTAGGTGTTCAAGACCAGCCTGACTAACATGGTAAAACCCCGTCTCTACTAAAAATACAAAAATTAGCCGGGCGTGGTGGCGCATTCCTTTAATCCCAGCTACTTGGGAGGCTGAGGCATGGGAACCGGGGAAACGGAGGTTGCAGTGAGCCGAGATCGCGCCATTGCACTCCAAACCTGGGCAACAAGAGCGGAACTCCGTCCCAAACAAAACAAAACAAAACAAAAAAACAGAAGGCAAACCTTTTCATCTCCTTGGCCAAAGAATGCAACATGTGGAGTGAGAACAGAGAAAAACAAGCAAGTAAACTACAATCCGCAAAATAGGAAAGGGAAAAGGAACGCAGGTAGAAAGGATTAAAGTTGGCCGGGAGCCGTGGCTCACGCCTGTAAACCCAGCAATTTGAGAGGCTGAGGCGGGTGGATCACCTGAGGTCAGGAGTTCGAGACCAGCCTGACCAACATGGTGAAAACCCGTCTTTACTAAAAATATAAAATTAACTGGGCATGGTGGTGCACACCTGTAATCCCAGCTACTTGGGAGGCTAAGACAGGAGAATCACTTGAACCGGGAGGCGTAAGTTGCGGTGAGCCAAGATCATGCCATTGCACTCCAGCCTGGGCAACAAGAGCTAAATTCCTTCTTAAATAAATAAATAGCCAGGCGCGGTGGCTCACACCTGTAATCCCAGCACTTTGGAAGGCCAAGGCATGTGGATCACAAGGTCAGGAGTTCAAGACCAGCCTGGCCAACATGGTGAAACCCCGTCTCTACTAAAAATACAAAAATTAGCCACGCGTGGTGATGGCATATGCCTGTAATCCCAGCTACGTGGGAGGCAGGGGAATCACTTGAAGCCGGAAGCCGGAGGTTGCAGTAAGTCGAGATCAGCCACTGCACTCCAGCCTGGGCGACAGAGCAAGACTCAGTCTCAAAAAAAAAAAAAAAAGAAAAAAGAAAGAAAGGATTAAAGTTGTAGCAACCCTGAGGTTAAAATGGAGGTGGAAAAAATTAGGACCAGAGAGGACCAAAATTCCAGAGACCACACCATTTTAAGAAAGGCCTTTGGAGTCATATAGAGCTGGGTTCAAATCCCAGCTCTGCCATTTATCAGCTCTGTGAACTTCATTAACTTCACCTCTTTTTTTTTTTTTTTTGAGACAGGATCTTGCTCTGTTGCCCAGGCTGCAGCGCAGTGGTGCAATCAATCACAGCTCACTGCAGCCTTGGCCTCCTGAGCTCAAACAATCCTCCCACTCAGCACCCGATCACCCCACCCCAGCTGGGACTGCAGACCCATACCACCACGCCTACTATTTTTTTTTTCTTTTTGAGAGATGAGGTCTTGCTATGTTGCCCAGGCTGGTGACCGACTCCTGGGCTCAAGTGATCCTCCTGCCTGGGCCTCCTAAACTGCTGGGATTACAGAAGTGAGCCAGCACTTCTGGCCTAACTTTACCTCTTAACCTCGGTGTTCTTATCTTTAAATTCCTCTAAAGATTGCCATGAGGAGAAAATGAAGTAATATCTGAAGAGTGCCTGCTACAATGCCCTGGCACATAACACCCACTATTTGTTGAACACTTTGTGTTATTATAATGGTAACACCCCATCTGCCTCTCTAAAGAGGTAAAAGCAGCAGCCTAAGGGCAGAGAAATTTTCAGTAATGTGTAAAGGTGCCTAAATACCTATTCTACTAACCCCTTGTTAGCCAATTTAAGAGTTCTAGGCCAGGCGCAGTGGCTCACGCCTGTAATCCCAGCACTTTGGGAGGCCAAGGCGGGTGGATCACAAGGTCAGGAGATCGAGACCATCCTGGCTAACAAGGTGAAACCCCGTCTCTACTAAAAAAATACAAAAAACTAGCCAGGCTTGGTGGCGTGCACCTATAGTCCCAACTACTCGTGAGGCTGAGGCAGGAGAATGGC
Source organism: Homo sapiens (assembly GCF_000001405.40). Classification (NCBI taxonomy): domain Eukaryota; kingdom Metazoa; phylum Chordata; class Mammalia; order Primates; family Hominidae; genus Homo; species Homo sapiens. Next base: position 39,886,361 of record NC_000001.11, read on the forward strand.
GTGAACCCGGGAGGCGCAGCTTGCAGTGAGCTGAGATCGCGCAACTGCACTCCAGCCTGGGCGACAGAGCGAGACTCTGTCTCAAAAAAAAAAAAAAAAAGAGTTATAATTGCTTTTTCACTGAGATTGGCTCTAACTCTCAGGTCATATCACCAGGATCCCCTGGGCCAAAGGAGTGACCCCTGCAAGTTTCAAGCATTTGACAGGCCTGCTGGAATGACTGCTAATACATTTATCAGTCACTTGAATCCCCATTGGCATAATGACCACTCTTGCAGATCCAGCCTAAACCTTGTTGCCACGTACATTGTTTGGAGAATACCAGTTCCCAGTTCTGGGTCCCCTGTCCCTCCTTTTCTCAATCCAGCCTGCTTTGATCAAAAGCCCTGTTCTCTCCAATTTGTAGTACCCGCCTGGGGCTGGGTTTAAAATGGAGATGCATGGCCACATATTGGCAGACACTCTCACATGATGGTTGTTAACTGTAGAACCTTTGCCTGGAGACTTTCAGAGGGTACAGTTACCATGACAACCACCAGAAAGATGGCAGGCCAGAGAAATGATGCAATTAAAGGAAAAGGGAGGCTGATTTCATGATGACAATCTGACCATGACAGAGTATGCTCACTCACAGATGGGATAGCACTGTCTAAGTCATGAACCAGGTGACTATTACCAGAAAGAGAAAAAAAGATGGGGGTGGAATTTACCACCAAGAGACCAGAAGATGAAGAGACTCGTTACCAAGGCAACTAGGGAGAAAGGAATGGAAAAATGGAGCTTCACCATAGCAGCAGAAAATTGCTTCTAGCCAAGCAACACAGGACTGTTGCTATAGAAACAAAGAGAACAGGGATCCTACAGACCATGGGGAGAATTATCACCAAAATGCTGAGCAGGAAAGACTCCTAAATCAGAATGGAGCCTGTGGTCCAAAACAAATGAGGAGAAGTGAAAAAAAAAAAAAAGGACCATTTCCATTCATCGTAATTCTATTAGTCCTACCAAAAGAGAATGGGAACATATTTTTTAAAATACCTTAGGCTATTTTATTTGTAGCTTTGTTTGTCTCCCTAGCGATCTTCTGAACTCTAAATTATACTAAAAATAGGTCCTGAAAGATATTCTGTAACTTGAAATCCTAATTGGAGACATTAAGTTCAAGGGAAAATTGGGGAATTGAAGTCTATGACCAAGAGATAATAAGTATTTCTTTAAAAAACTACATAAAACCCTCTAATGGGAAGCTTTTCAGGGTAAAAAAGAGATAAAAGAAGGCAATAGGGAGTCAGGGAAGCTAGTTGTACTCATGCCTAGGTATTGGCTCTGACTCCCCTTTCTGTGAGGCCAGAGGGGAAGGAGCTCATTGTGTTCTGGAAGGGAGGCTCAGAAAGAAAGAGAGTCTCTCACTTAAAATGTATGTATATGTCTAGAGGTGATAGATGCAGAATCCCATCTCCAACGTGCTCCACGCATTACAGATTATTATGGGCAAAGAAATCCTGGTTTTAAAGGCAAATGTATCAGGATAAGTTCAGTCTGGAAGAGCATATCTAAAATGTAGAAATGAGGTACCAGGGATACTCAAATTACTTGGAGAATAATAATTCCTTGCCTGCCCTACTGAAAGCCCACAGTCAGTCATTTAATTCTCATCCCCACTGTGTGTAAGTCATACCCCAAGGGCAGATATATAGTTAGGATTTCTGCACCTACCTCACCTTCTTTAGGAAATTGAAAGCAATACATAGGGTGGGATGGGCACAGAAAGATGGCAGAAAAGGAGAACGTAGGAGGTGCAAAAAGATAGGGAGGAAAATCTCAGTGATGACCCATGAGTGTTTATTCAGTAGTATTTCCTATCCTCTGTATACTTTAAATAACTCATTCAAAATCTCTTTTAAAAAGAAAGAAATTTGGCCGGGTGCGGTGGCTTACGCCTGTAATCCCAGCATTTTGGGAGGCCGAGGCCGGCGGATCACCTGAGGTCAGGAGTCCGAGACCAGCCTCAACATGGAGAAACCCCGTCTCTACTAAAAATACAAAATTAGCCGGGCGTGGTGGTGCATGCCTGTAATCCCAGCTACTCGGGAGGCTGAGGCAGGAGAATTGCTTGAACCTGGAAGGCGGAGGTTGCGGTGAGCTGAGATTGCACCATTGCACTCCAGCCTGGGCAACAAGAGCGAAACTCCATCTCAAAAAATAAAAGAAAGAAATTTACAGGGAGAAGGCAAAAGATGAAGCCATTACAGTAAAAGGGCCATTTAAAGCAGATCATCCAAAAGGTTCCAGATGGAATTTTAGAGTATGTGGTGACATTTAGGACAGAAAAAGGAACATGCTATGGGAGGCCTGAAGCATCTAACTCCAAGGTAAGGAAGAAAGTTGGGTCAAAGACCAACACTAGCTTTTTAAAAAATTGATTTATACAAGTTTATAATAGAGATGAAGTTTTGCCATGTTGGCCAGGCTGGTCTTGAACTCCTGGCCTCAACTAATCTGCCCACCTCACACTCACAAAGAGCTAGGATTACAGGTGTGAGCCACAGCACCCGGACAACACTAGCTTTTTGGTACAACCTAAGATGCCTTTGCAGCCCAATCTTCACACTAATTAGCTACCCCAAGTAAAAAATATTTTCTGTGGGAGATATTTTATGATGAACGTTATTCCTATATTAGATTCCTAGGCTTGTCATAAATTACTACAAACTGGGTGGCTTAAAACAAGGGAAATTGGCAGGGCATGGTGGCTCACCCCTGTAATTCCAGCACTTTGGGAGGCCGAGGCAGGAGGCCAGGAATTCAATACCAGCCTGACCAACATGGCGAAACTCCATCTCTACTAAAAATACAAAAATTAGCCGGGCGTGGTGGAGCACTCCTATAGCCCCATCTACTTGGGCAGGGGCAGGGATTAGGCACGAGAATCGCTTGAACTGGGAAGGGAGAGGTTGCAGTGAGCAGAGATTGCACTACTGTACTCCAGCCTGGGCAACAGGCTGTTTAAAAAAAAAAAAAAAATCTCAAAAACAAACAAACAAACAAAATAAAGGGAAATTTATTTTCTTGTGGTTCTGGAGGCTAGAAGTCTGAAATCAAAGTGTCCACAGGGCCATGCCCCCATGCTTCCCTTTAGGGAAGAATCCCTTCTTTCCTCCTCTAGCTTCTGGTGGTTGCCAGCAATCTTTCATTGTTCCTTAGGATTACAGGCTTGCACCACCACACCCGGCTAATTTTTGTATTTTTAGTAGAGATGGGTTTTCACCATGGTGGCCAGGCTGGTCTCGAACTCCTGACCTCGTGATCCACCCGCCTGGGCCTCCCAAAGTGCTGGGATTACAGGCATGAGCCACTGCGCCCGGTTTCATTTTTTTTTTTTTTAAGAGACAGAGTCTCACTATGTTGCCCAGGCTGGTCTCAAATGCCTGGCCCCAAGTGATCCTCCAGCCTCAGCCTCCCAGTGTCAAGATAACGGCTTTTTAGGGCTGGGCATGGTAGCTAATGCCTGTAATTCCAGCACTTTGGGAGGCTGAGGTGGGTGGATCACCTGAGGTCAGGAGTTCCAGACCAGCCTGGCCAACATGGTAAAACCCCATCTCTACTAAAAACACAAAAATTAGCTGGCCATGGTGGTTGGCGTCTGTAATCCCAGCTACTTGGGAGGCTGAGGCAGGAGAATCACTTGAACCTGGGAGGCGGAGGTTGCAGTGAGCCGAGATTGTGCCACTGCACTCCAGCCTGGGTGACAGAGCAAGACTCTGTCTCAAAAAAAAAATAAAAAATAAAAATAAATAAATAAATAATAACAGCTTTTTAATTTATTTATTTTTCTTTTGCAGAGACAGGGTCTTACTATGTTGCCCAACCTGATCTTGAACTCCTGGCCTCAAGTGATCCTTCTGCCTCAGCCTCCCAAAGTGCTGGGATTATAGGCATGAACCACTTTACCCTGCCATCTTTATATCCTGATGAGTCTCAAGCCTGTATCTTCCATTCAAATCCCTTTCTAAAGCCTCAGTATCACATTTTCAACTTGCTGGGTACTTCATTTTGGATGACCCCATCACTTTAATTTCATCATGTCCCAAACCACAATCAGTTTCTTCCCCTGACTTCCCTATTTCAAAGAGGATGTTTGCTCTTGAAAGGATCCCCTTAGAAATCTAGTGCAATCCTCCTTATTTTGTAAAAATGAGACTACCCAGCCAGCAAATCAGACCAGATTTCTCCCCTGTCCCCAGATTTGACACAACCTTCTTAACTGCTCTTCCCCAAAGCTATTCTCTTAGCCTAGAACATCCTTCTTTTCATTTAGCCAAATACTACCTGTACTTCTAGTTCTGGTTAATGTTACAATTTCCAACAAAAACTTTCATGATGACTCCAAACAAAATGTTCTCTTCCCCTTCTGAGGTTCATAGCACTTCTTTGAGACACATATTGCCTTAGTTTGTGATCATGTGTGTTATCTTTTTGTTATTATTATATTACTTCAGACCAGAATATTTTCTGATTGTGTTTCTATGCTCATAAACTTCCAGAAGGAAGGAACCATACCTTCATGTATCATTGCAAACATATTGCTGTCACTATGTAGCTGGCACTGTTCTAAGAACTTTACATGTAACAACTCCTTTAATCTTCACAACAGTCCTGTGACATAGATATCATTATTATCTCCATTTTACAGAAGAAGGATACTTGTAGGACTCAGAGAGGTTGAGTGATTTGCCCAACATCACACAGGTAGTAACCCCAACTCCTTGTTTTTTGTTGTTGTTGTTGTTGTTTTAGAGATAGGGTCTCACTCTGTCACTCAGGCTGGAGTGAAATGGCACAATTATAGCTCACTGCAGACTCCTCAAACTCCTGGGCTCAAGTGATCCTCCCATCTCAGCATCAGCTTCCGGAGTAGCTGGGACTGACTACCGGCACAGGCCCGCTTGCCAGCATTTTTTTTTTTTTTTAATTTCTTAGTAGAAATGGGATTTTGCTATGTTGCCCAGGCTGGTCTCAAGCTCCTGAACTCATGTGATCCTCCCACCTCTGCCTCCCAAAGTGCTGGGATTACAGTCATAAGCCACTGTGCCTGGCCCCAAGTTCTTAACCATGGCATCTACACCACCTTCTGTGAATACTTTTTGTCTTTGCAAAACCTGGGCTCCAACCCCTTATATCAATATTTTTTTAAGTGTGCCCTCAGGAATTCACCTCCCTCCTTGCTTGTTAGCAATGCAGATTCCTGGCCCTGACCTACGGTAGGCAAATTCTTTTTTTTTTTGAGACGGAGTCTCGCTCTCTCTCCCAGTCTGGAGTGCAGTGGCGCGATCTCGGCTCACTGCAAGCTCCGCCTCCCGGGTTCACGCCATTCTCCTGCCTCAGCCTCCCGAAGAGCTAGGATTACAGGCACACGCCATCATGCCTGGCTAATTTTTGTTTTTAGTAGAGACGGGGTTTCACCATGTTGGTCAGGCTGCTCTCGAACTCCTGACCTCGTGATCCGCCCGCCTCAGCCTCCCAAAGTGCTGGGATTGTAGGCATGAGCCACCGCGCCTGGCCGGGTGGGTAGATTCTTAAGACACACTCAAGTTTGAGAGTCACTGTCTTAATAATATAGGCATTAATGACTAAATGGAGTCAGTTGACTGTGGCTCAGTTTAAAGGCACCACAGTGCCCAGTAAGGAAAAGTAGAGGGTTTGTATGTGCAATGGCTTTGCTGATGCACAACCTCTGCTGGCCATGGGCTGTGAATGCTGTGAACCAGTCTGAGGCTCCAGTCTTTGCCCTCCCTCCTCCGCTGCCTATTTCAAGCTCCCCAAACCTGGCTATTTCTTTCCTAATAATTTACCACCTCTTGAAGCATCAATATGTGCACTCTGGGAAGATTTATTATTTTACCAATTCCTTCTATCATCTTTCAGATATGACTAATCTATATTCTGGTTGTGGCTTGTTAACATGGTTTAAATAATACTAATCATTTACTGAGCACTTACTATTGCCCTGACGACCCAAAGAAGTGCATGCTATTATTTCTACCTATTTTATAGATAAGAAAACTAGGGTTAGGAAAGGTTAATAATTTGCCCAAGGTCAAGAAAATGCTAGAAAATGCAGGGCCAAGATTTGGAACTGAGACTGTTGGGTGTGGGTGACCACTTAACCATACTGCTTCCCACAAGTTTAAAAGAAATCCATTATTTACTGGGCACCTACTGGACCCTTGGCACTGAGCCTAATCATTTAATAACACACCTGATTAGAGACTTTCTTTTTTAAATATTTACATTTGCTTGCCAAGAGAATGGTAACATTAATACAGTTGCTCCCTTTGGCCAGGAGTGTAAATAAACAGACATTAACAAGAGCCGCCCACTGGGCTTACAGTAGAAATGCCCACACACCAACCAACAGAACTCTAGCTGACACATTTAGACACCTCCTCTTTCCTCCTTCCCAGTCACCCGGTCATCAATCATCTCCCAGCTGGTTATCTTATCCTTAAAAAGAAACCTCTCTCACACTCCCTCCTATCACTTATCACAGATCAGCAAAGCCATCCCCATCCTCTTTTTCCCCTTTTAAAGTTAATATTCTGGAATATCCTGACCTCGGGAGCACTGTAGACAAATTCAGCACGTCTAAGATAGTTCAACCTGTCTCAGTTCCCCAAAATAACTGCCAACAGAGGCAGAAGTTAAACATACACTTTAGCCTTTTATTGTCTAACAGAGATGATGTCCTTCTCTCTTTGCTACACCAAGTGTGGCTTCTGGGTCACCCCGTATTGTCTATGTCCTGAGTTGGGAGTGTGATCCCTTAGGTGCATTATTCAGAGGCAAACCTAATTTGTAGAAATTGTCCTCTGAAATCCAGGAATAAACTCCTGACTATTTTCAGACAAAGATAGAGGTAGGAGTCTGTAGAAAAGAGCTAGGAAGGAGCTTAAAATACTTCGCATTCCAGAAACACCCTCCCTTCCCCCAGGAGATGGCTTTATTCCCACTCCTTTCTCAGCAGAGTTGACTCAAAAGAGCTGAAGCTTGGAGTCAGGCAGCTGGTACTAGGTGTGTGGGCTTAGGCAAACAACTTAAATGTCTCTGAGCTTCAGTTGGCTTTTCTGTGAAATGGGGCTGACAGCATCCTGCTCTCCAAGTTATTGTAAGAATTAAGATATGCAAAACTACTAACATTCATGCCTGTACCCATGGGTCCATACTATTGTACTAAGTGCTTTCAAAAATTTTTATTGAATTCTTTCAAGGTCCAGTAAAGGGAGATACGTCCTACAAACCAGACCCTTGACTAATGGCCTCAAAAAAGGAAGAAAAATACACTGGGAGTTTTAAGAAAAGAGTTCCAATAATCCATGTCAGTTTTACCAAACAGTTTCTTAGGTTCTAAGTGTGTTACCTATGTGCAGTGGGGGACAAGTGGAAAAAGCTTACCTGATAGGAGACTGGGCTTGGAATCCTGATTTTGCTATGACTTTGAGCAAGAAAACTCTCTGGGCTCCAGTACCATCAGGCAGATATTGCTTACTTACCAGGTTGGAGGGTCACAAGAGGGTCATTTTGTAAATGTGAGGAATTAAGAGGAGCTTTTTGACCGTACTGAGGCTCCATAGGAATTCGGGTGGGCAATACCAACCCAAGTCCCATCTGTAAGGAGGAGTTAGTGGAGGCTTCTTTCACCATGATGCTCATGGCCATCCTGAACAGCAACTGATTGCTTTTCAGTCCCAGATGGGGCCCCTTTGCAGCAAGACTATGCCACCCAGCACACATATGCCTCAGAGTTGCTGGTCATGGGACATTTGCTCCATTTCATCCCAATAAGTGGCAGGCACAATAGCCCCAAAGAGAGTTACAACAAGCAGTTAAATGACGGAATTCCACGTTTACCTTCTCCACATACCCCGTGCTAACAAACAAGCTGATCATCATAATATAGTGACTAAGACCTCTTGCTCTGGAGATAGGCAGAGCTGGTTTCAAATCACAACTGAATTACAAGCTTGTGAATTTGCATAGCTTTGTTTACTCTTAGAACCTCAGTTTCTTCATCTGTAGCCCTGACACATGGTTGATATGGCAGAGTGTTCAGACATAAGCAGTGCCCTATGAGGAACAGCTATTACTGAATTCCCCTGTCTTGCATTTACAGCAAGTTTATGAGAACTATGGGAGGAAAATGAAGCTTAAACTTTCTTTCATTAATTAAGGAGGAAGAATGTTTTTTTTGAGACAGGGTCTGGCTCTGTTGCCCAGGCTGGAGTGCAGTGGCGCAATCTTGGCTCACTGCAACCTCTGCCTCCCAGGCTCAAGCCATCCTCCCACCTCAGCCTCCCGAGTAGTTGGGACTACAGGCGTGTACCACCATGCCTGGCTAATTTTTGTATTTTTTGTAGACATGGGTTTTTGCCATGTTGCCCAGGCTGGTCTTGAACTCCTGAGCTCAAGCAGTCTGCCTGCCTCAGCCTCGCAAAGTGCTGGGATTACAGGCATAAGCCACTGCACCCAGCCAGGAGAAAGAATTTTAAAACTATCTTTCTGTAAGAAAAAAGTACATTGCAACATAAATTCTCAGAAAAAAACTTTAAAAGACATCTTGCAGAAGGTCATCATACCACTAAGATAAGAATAACACCATCCTAAAGAGTATAAGGCTTTATAGTTTAGAAAGCAGTTTTAAGTCTACCCCTTCATTTAATACCTGCAAAAACCCAGTGAAGTAGCATTTATCCCCATTTTACCGATAAGGAAACTAGGACTCAGAAAGATGAAACTAAAGGCTGCAGAAGTGGTGGAGCCAGGATTTCAAGCCTTCTAAAGTACAAATTCAGCACTCTTTGCAATTCACAAGAGAATTCCGTGTTCACTGAGTACTGAGCCTACATTGTTTCAACATGTCTGAAATGGCATTTCAGGAACCCAGAGTGGAATGACCAGGTTAGCAACATGGTTAGAGAAGTGCAGCCCTCTGGATCACTTGTGGCTACCCTGAAATAGTTTTCCGTGGTTGAGGAGGACTCAGGTGGCATAAGCTGCCCCCACTCTGACATGTTTGAGAAATCTTTTATTAGAAGATGTCCCAGAAGGCAACATTTTAAAATCAGGCAATCAGTAATCACAACTAAATACAAAATTTCAGGTGAACTTGCCTTTCAAAATAAATCAGACCCTTGCAACAGGAAATTGCCCCAAGAGTTTTTTTCCTTGTACAAAAACAGTTAACACCACTTTGCAAAAGGCATACAAAAATACAATATAAAAAAAAAAGACTCCCCCAGCATAATAGCCAACAGCAGCTTATAAAACACAAGCTATTCAGTTGAGACATCAGTAACCTACACCCAAACTGTCCTCCATAGACAATTCCAGAAGTCAGCTGGCTTTTGTAAACCATGCTCCAGAAGGGTAGAGAGGCTATTTCCAAACATCCCCTGGGGTCCTCTGAGGCCAAGAAGCAACCTCAGAAAGAAACCATTATGGACAATAGATTTGGAAGTAGCAGCTGGTTTTCCAGAGCCATATATAGTACTTACCACCCCCTACCCACCCCAACTTCCAAACCCAGAGCCAGCAGGCACCTGCTGTCCTGGGCAGAGTTCTGGAGGGGCTGCTGGTCCTTCTTCCAGGACAGGCTTAGAGGTGCCTGAGGTTACCCACATGACAACTGCTAGGTTGGGTGACTTTCCCAGACTAGAAGCTGCACGTGGATTCCACTTGGAGCTGCCGAGTCCAGCTGGGGTAAAATCCATCATGGTTGGCTAAGCATATCTCCTGGAGGCTCCTTTAAAACCCACCAGAAGCAAGTCCACCTTCTGGAGCACTGGATGAGTCCCAACAGCTCTCCCCAAAACTTCAGAAACGCCCAGATTCTGGGAAAGATATCTGATTCATGGCAGGCTGGAAGGGGCCCAAGGGTGGCTGCAGAGCCAGCAAGCTCCTTGGAATTGCATGAGGAGGACAGATTTGCATGGTTCCAGAAGAACTTCAAACTTGCCGCTCAAGGATTGAGATGAGGCAGGTGGGAAAGAGGCAGCAGTACAGTTCTCCCTCTGAGGTGTCTTACACCTGCCTTGAGAAAAGACTGGGCCTCAAGTGCCCCTCGGAAAACACCTGGGCAGGGATCAAGTTCATGGGCCAGGACTCCAAGCTATCCCCAGGCCCCAGGCTAGGACCGATTTCCCTGTGTCTTGGGGAAATATTTCTGACCTGTGGGAAAGGGTGCTGTAGAGCCCATTGCATAACAAGGCATAATGGAACAAAAAAGTCCCTTGTGAGGAAAGAAAGGTCCCTCCCTCAGAGGAGAGAGCCCAGAGGGCTCTGAGACAAAGAATCTAGAGGCCAAGCTTTTTAAGTGTTCCCAGGGTCGCAGCATTGGGAGTGGGAGGAAGGGGGTCAGCTAACATCATAATATATAAAGGTTTCCAACTCCTTGGCTACTGTAAAGTGTCTGACAGTGAGGTAATGGTCAATGTTGATCAAGTCTGCAAGCTTGTCTTCACCCAAGACAGCTCGTGTGTCTTCTGGAAAAAGGAGCCTCAGGGAGAGCATCCAGGCCCAGCTGTCCTTGCATCACCCCAGAGACACCAGTTGGGAGCATCCTTTCCTAGCCTAAAGCTCATGCAGAGTGTGAGATTTCATGCAGGCTGGAGCCCCTGACAACATCCACCACCTGTTGCATAGCATCTGTCAGCCTTTTCTTCAGAGCTAGTGAGCTAGGCAGACCCCAAGGCTCCTCAGTCAGCTGCCTGCTGGGAAGCCAAAGGCGCCAGAGAACATACAGCACTCCCATGAGTCAGGGAAGAGGGAGAGCTGGGTTTCAAGGTTTCCAAGAATGCAAGCCTTTATTGTGTGTGCACCGGCTGCAATGCATTCTGGGATCTACTGTCCAGACTGTCCCACCATAACCAAAATGTGCAAATTACTAAAGGGGAGAGGGAGGTTAAAAAATAAACTTGTGTCTTCGTAAGACAGAACTGTCAGGCTTTTTGGTCAGTTAGTAGCCAGTGAGGTATGCAATTCTTTTCTGCAACTGCTGCTGCCGGCATCGGAGCTGTCTTTTCTCTGTAGCCATCCTCTTCTCAGCCCCCACCAGGGCTTGCAAGTATTCCAAGGCCTTGCTTAGGATCACTACTTTGGGGGCCTTGGAGCAGCTGGCCAGGGTGGGCACCTGGTCCCTCAGCGCCAAGAATCGCGAACGCAGGTCATTCCGCCTCTTGCGCTCCAGGAAGTTGTGATTCTTCCTCTTGGTCACATCCTCAGTATCAGAACTGACAGGTTTGGGGTGGCAGGACTGGGCAGCCTCACTTTCTACAGGTGGGGGACTCACAATCTCTTCATCCTCCTCATCTTCCTTTTCCCCTGCAGCATCTCTCTCCAGAACCTCTTCTTGGGGACCCCTCTCTGAAGCCTCTTCTTGGGAGCAGCTTTCTGGAGGAAAACGGGCAGCATAGTTGTGCTGTTGCTGATGGATGGAGATGTGGAAATGCTTCATGCAGGGATCCAGGGGGTCTGCTCGCACCGTGATGGTGACCGGCTTCCGAATACCCAGAGACTGCCTCTTCTCTACTGTCACAACATCAATTTCTTCATTCTCTGTCCGAGAAAAGAGATCAAGAGAAGAAACACATCCCATGAGAAACACAAACATAGACCCTACAGCTTTAGCTGTCTACGCTGGTGCTTGGGAAGGTAGGAGACATTTTTCCAATTTAGATATATACAAATCGAGGTGAGCAGAAAGCTGATTCATTTGTAATGTGGTAAGGGCACAGTGAAGGAAAGGAGGGGACATTAGCAAGAAGGAAAATATTCTCCAATTTCCTTTTGCACAGCAAGGCTTAGATAAGAACAAAAGGCAGACCCAAGCCAACAGCCCCCAGTCTGCAAAGGCTCTCCCCTCCCCCACGGAGGGGTTGGAGAGAAAGAGCTACCGGCCTGGGACAAAGTTTAGCTATAAAGATCTTCCCCAGTCGGGCTCTTTCATGCCCCATCAGAATTGTAAATGAGGGGTCTGTGGGCAGAGCTGCCCTTTGTTCCTGCCCAGCACAGCCTGCACTTGGGGAATTGTTACTTTTCACAAGTTATAAATCCTATTATTCCCCCACCTCTCTATTCTGCCATCCCTTTCAGCTGAAGATTCAGAGAAGGGAGGGCTACAACCCATCCCTCTTCACCCACAGAGGGGAGGGAAAGGGTTTCCCTTAGGAGCATTTTGCTCCTGGGTTCAATGGGTTTCTAAAGTCATCCATCATTTATAGGTCGCCTGCCCCACCTCCTTCCCTGGACTAGAAGGTTAGATTTGTAATCATAGGTCGGCGAAGCTGCAGGAACTTCACAAAGGTACAAGCGACCATTTCCAAACTACCTGCACCAGAGGCAGAGACTGGGCAGCAGAATGTCCCAGATATGGGGCTCATAACACCAGAGACCTGGAGACACCTGGACACGCCCTTCTCATTCACTGGCTTGAAGGTCTCTTAGGTTAACCTAACCAGGAGAGGGGCAATTGGGAGAAAAGTCTCCTCCTGCTCCACACATTTTGCAGCCTCCACACAGAAGTCCACCTTAATGGATCTCGGCCTCGCAAAGGAAGAGCTCCGTTCTCAGCTTCTTTGCATATCAGGAAGCTTGAGCCCCTTTGTCAGGAAGGCTTCCATTGTGTGGACAATCGCATTATTTCTCCATTAATAAACCTGACCATTCAGCCCTCCTGGCCCCAAAGCCCATGATTGGCTGATTACGCTGTGTTTGGACTTCTGTCTTACCCAGCCCCTAGCCCCTATTGGGTGAGCTCTGCTGCCAATCACTTTCCCCACCCCCCGCCTCATTGTTTGCAATCTGTTGCATTTTGTTCCAGGCCATGTGGCCTGTGAGTGAACTAGAAGCTCACAAACAGGTTCAGGTTAAAGGGTAGGTTAGAAAATGATTCAGCAGGCTTCCCTACATCCCAAACCTTTAATTTTCAGTGTTAAGCCTCGTGGCTCAGGAAGATTCTATCTAAGAAAGAAATAATTTAAGACACCATTCTCCCTTTCAGAGAGTAGTGTCTTACTCTATCCAGACAAGGAAATGTCATCAGCAGGACAATCAAGTCCAACCCCATCGTGTGCAAATGGGGAAACTGAGGCCCAGATCAGCGAAGTCCACATATCACCTTTGTAACGTTCTGGATCTCAAACTAAAATGTCCAACTTCCAAAGCAATGCTCTTTCCACTCTACCACTCCACCAGCCGTTGTAGAGATACATCTTTATTGGTTTTTTGATCTCAAGATTCTCTTTCCAGCCATTAAACAAACATAAACTCTTGGTGTAGAAAGCAAGCTGGTTAAAAATGACCTTAACACAGTGGACCAGGAAAAAAAAGACTTTTAATTTTTGTTATCCTATTTTTTCTCTCAAGTGTAGGAAAACTTCCATACCCCATTCCCCAGTTCCCTATCAAATGGTCGTGTAAAAGTTATTCCTAAAAGCTACAGTGAGCTTTCTTGGTCCTAATTTATTTGTCACTAGCCACAGTCTACACTCTACAAAAATACCCTCTCCAGGATTTCTCACGGGTGTGGAGGTCTAAGATGCCAGAATAAGAACAATGTAGTTTAGTGGCACAGGATGCCCCAGTCTGCCCTCAGCGAGGTTGCACTTGCATCAAGGATGGGAGAGGAGGGCCTGGAGTTCTACTGCCTTGACCCCAGCATGTAGCCCACAGATTGCCACAAAGTAGGGGCCAGTGAATATTTGTTGAATGCCAGGGAGCAGCTGACGCTGGAGATCTATTGAGGGGGAGCAAGAAGGACACTTTTCCATCTCAGGACAAACAGCAAGGCAAGGTGTAGTGCTTCTAAGATAAGCTACCACAAAGACCCCAAACATCAAGGAAGAGGTGCCTGGTTGGGATGGAGCATTGGGGAAGAGGGGCTGGCTAGATGGCAGAAAGCTGGAGCTGACTTGTAGTGATTGTCTATCTCTAAGCCTCAGTTTTTCCATCTGTTAATGGGGAGTGTTCATTCTTCCCTCCCTGTCTCAGGGATGCACGAGTGGTAAGTGGTGGTGGGGAGGCACGAGAAGAGGGCATTTATTATTGGCATTTTAAAGTAAAGCCAACTGGAGACCTAGGTTTTTAAAAGGACGAAGGTTTTGGCTTTGCACAAAAGGCTCTCGGCTTCTTCTCCCCCTAGGGGAGTGTGAGTTTCCTAGGGAAAGAGGCAGCAGCAAAAAAACTTCAGGTTTGGAGTGTCTCTTAAGGTACCCCCTTCAATCCCTTACAGTCCAACCCCAGTATTGTCCTCTCTAAGCGCCAACCCTCACCTCAAATCCCTTGTCCCCTGGGGCTCCAATAATCATCAAAGGGAGGCTGGCTCCCACGCCACTTTTCCAAACTGTTTACCAACACACCCACGTGCCAGACAGACACGGTTGGGGACTACACGGGCAGCTTCAGCCAAAGAGAGGCGGAGATGGCCCAAGAGCTTGAGAAGAGCCAATGCCTGACCTCAGGCAGGGGCAGAGCTTTGGCCACCCATGGGGTGGCCCCCTCTTGGATGGCTCGGGGAGGTCCTTACCCGAGTCGCTTGGGCTCTCGGACCCGGAGCAGGCCTGGGTCTTGGGTTCGCCCAGCGGACAGGGGGCGGCGGGCGCCGGGTTGCCGGCTTCGAGGCTGGGAGTGCAGTCCGGGGCGGCGGACGCCTTGGGCGGGTTCCCCCGGGGCGCGCCAGGAGCGAGCCGGTCGCTCACAGCTCTCTCCAGCCGTTCCCGGGCCGAGAAGCCGCTCCACATGCAGTCACGGCGTATGATGGAGGCGTAGTTCCTGCCCCAGCCTTTCGAGTGGCCCCGGGATTCCGCTTCGTCTCCGGTGCACCCTCCGGGCCACGGCTCCGGGGGACCAATCCCGGGGGCCGGGTCCCCTGCGCCGGGACCCAAGCCCCAGGGCGGCGACGTGGGGGGCGATGGCACCAGCTCGAATTTCTTCCAGATGTCCTCGCTGGGCGCCGTGGAGCGGTAGAAATCCTCCCCGCAGTCATAGTCGTAGAAATAGTGCTGGTACGAGTCGTAGTCCATGTCCGCTCCCTGCGGGAGGGAAGGGGGGACGTGCTGACCGGGTGCCGGCCGGGCGAAGGAGGTGTCCCCGGGTCCCTCGGCACAGTCGGCTGCCGGGCTCTCGTTCCTCCCCAACCCCACCAGCTTGCAGCCTGCGCCCAGTCCTCGCGTCCCGGGAAGCCGGGCCCCGGGTCAGAGTGGTAGGGGAAGCCAATCGCAGCGCGCGGACCCGACTGTGGGCAGCGAGTTCAAAGCAAACTTTGCCAGCGCCGCCCGGAGCGCAGCTCCCAGGGCCCGGCGGGGCCGGGCGGGGGCGCGCCGTGCCCAGAAGGCAGCCTGCAGCCAGCCCGCACCGCGGGACCCGCGCCCGTGCCCTGGCCACCCGCAGCCTCACCTCGCTCCAGCCGCCCGCCACCTGGAGCGGACCGGCTCCCCGCCGGCTCGGGGCAGCCCGGCAGCCAGCACACACGCACATGCGCGCCGCCGAGAGCGCGGCCCGCACTCACAAGCGCGCCCCCCCCGCGCGCGCGCCCTCCCTCGCTCGCGCACGGCGGCCCGGACGCTCTCGGGATCGGCGCGGGAGCGCGAGCTGCAGGCGCATTGTTTCCTGACTGCCTTATATCTCGTCGCGCGCCCGGGACCCAGGGACTGGGGGGCGGGCCCTATGGGACAAACCCCGCCCTCTCCCTGCCTACTACGGGCAGTCGACAGGTGGGGCCGGCCCCACCTCCTGGCAGCGCTCGCCCGCTCCGTTCAATCCCCGGTAGCCCCCCAAATAAATTGCACGCTGGGGAGCGCAAACAGGAGGAGGGCTGATGCGGCCCGGCGGCCGCTTGGCGGTGCCAGCCGGCTGAGCTAAACCGTGCTCCTTGCCCACTCCGAGCTGGGGAATTAGGGCTACTCCCCGCCCCACCCTGCGCGCCTACTTTCCCCGGCGCACCCCGCTGGGTTCAGGTGCGCCCGAGCCGCCGCGAGGGGTAGGGGGAGGGAAACGCGCCACCTGGCGGCCCTCAGCCCTGAACTTGGGCTGGTCCCGGCGTCCGTCTGGTCACCCGTCGGCCCGTTTCTTGAGCTCAGTGGCCCAAGCCTGGATGGCATCGAAGCGAAGATTCCGGGATTTAGAGCCCGAAACGTAACCTTCCTGAGCTTCAGTTTCATCTGTAAAATGAAGGGATGGTAATGCTTACCTCACAGGGTTGTTGTGAGGCTTCAGGGAAATAAGAGCATCTAGGGAAGGGGTCTGGTCTAGGTGGAGAGGCAGACGGCGCTGGCTTAGCCCCCGCTTTGGGGAGGCGGTGCAGAAATGAGGAATTTTTCCCAGGGCAAAGCCAGCTGAGACCCGCCATGCTCCCTCTCATCTCACACAAAACACTGTAGGAGCTGTACAGTAGAGAATGAGGATTTGGCATCTGGAAAATACTGCAGGACCAAGTTGTTTCAAGTTTTGCCCTGCATTGCTGGCCAAGATGATAGATAACCCCTTTGTATAATCTTCTTTTTAAATTTTAAATATATTTTGTTAAGAGACAGGGTCTCACTCAGCGTCAAGGCTGGAGTGCAGTGGCTCGATCATGACTCGCTGCAGCCTCGAACTCCTGGGCTCAAATGATCCTCCCTCCTTAGCCTCCGAAAGTGCAGGGATTACAGGCACGGGTCACCGTGCTGGGTCCCCCTTTGTGTCATCTTCTACACAGATGACCTTTGGTGGAAGAGAAAAAATTAAACTATACGGCCAGTCTGAGATTTAGGCCAGAGGAGAGTAACTTGGGACAGCAGCCAATACATCTAGATTCCTCCACCTGGCATCAAGGTCTGGTGTCTGTCTACCCCAGCCTGATTGTCTGCTGTCTCTCTCTTTCCCTCCCACCCCTGTGGTCTAAGAACACCAAACTACTCACTGTTGGCAGACGGAAGTGAGAAGGGCAAGCAATTCAGTGTGGTTGGAGCATGGGACACGGATGTGTGTTGTTATATGGGTTGGGAAGGCAGGGAAAATGACAGCCTTCCGTTTTAGATACGTTGGGTCTGTGCTGCATGTGGGACATCTTGAAGGCAGAAACCTGCTCCTACTTGCTTTGTGATTTCTGCACCTAGAACAGCTTCTGGCAGACATTTGTGAACTAACTGACTTACTGAGGGACTCAGCTAACCAGATTTCACTGAGACAGCTTGTGTGCCCTGCTTTGTGCTAAACGGAAGACACAAATCAGAAGGGTTCCAGGTTTGGTTGCAGCCCCAAGGCACAGGCATTGGATTGTCCTTTAGTGACTTTTCTCTGGTCCACAGATGTCTGAGATGGTTGCTGTACTAGTCTGGGTTATTGGTTACAAATAACAAAAACCAACCTTAGGCAGGGCACAGTGGCTCACGCCTGTAATCCCAGCACTTTGGGAGGCTGAGGCGGGCAGATCACAAGGTCAGGAGATCGAGACCATCCTGGCTAACACGGTGAAACCCCATCTCTACTAAAAATACAAGAAAATTAGCCGGGTGTCGTGGTGGGCACCTGTAGTCCCAGCTACTCAGGAGGCTGAGGCAGGAGAATGGCGTGAACCCGGGAGGCGGAGCTCACAGTGAGCCGAGATTGCGCCATTGCACTCCAGCCTGGGCGACAGAGCGAGACTCTGTCTCAAAACAAAAAAACAAAACAAAACAAACAAACAAAAAACCAACCTTAGACAAATGTAAGCAGAAAATGACTTTATTGGAATAATTGGTGGTATAGACCTCAAGGGAGGCTGGAAATTTATGTTTGGAGAATGGGCCTTCTTTACCTAGACTACAGCCCCCACCCTGCAGCTCTTCCCATGGTTTCATTGTAGATGATATATGGGGGCAACCAGGAGGTGCTGCCCCTCCTCAAGAAGTAGGAAAAAGGAAATTAAGTTGTCTTCTGAGAGTTAACACTGCTTCTTCACTTTGCATACTTTTGTTTGTTTAATGTCTTCCTCGTCAGACTGTAAACTGAATGAGGGCAGACAAATGTCAGCCTTATTCATGGCTGTACCCCAGGGCTTTAGAACAAAGCCTGGCACATCATGGGTGCTGAGTATATGACTGAACACAAAACTCTAATGTTTTAGTTTTTGCGTTTTTTTTTTTTTTCCTTTAAGACAAGTCTCACTCTGTTGCCCAGGCTAGAGTGCAGTGGCGCAATCTCGGCTCACTGTAACCTCCGCCTCCCCGGTTCAAGTGATTCTCCTGCCTCAGCCTCCCGAGTAGCTGGGATTACAGGCACCTGTCACCACGCCTAGCTAATTTTTTTTTTTTAAAGATCATACTGCTTCTGTCCCTTTTTTTTTATTATTATTATACTTTAAGTTCTAGGGTACATGTGCACAATGTGCAGGTTTGTTACATATGTATACATGTGCCATGTTGGTGTACCCATTAACTCGTCATTTACTTTAGGTATTTCTCATAATGCTATCCCTCCCCCCTCCCCCTAATTTTTTGTATTTTTACTAGAGATGGGGTTTCACCATGTTGGCCAGGCTGGTCTTGAACTCCTGACCTCAAGTGATCCACCTGTCTTGGCCTCCGAATTTTTTTGTTGTGTTTTTTTGAGACAGGGTCTCATTCTGTTGCCCAGACTGGAGTGCGGTGGTGCAATCATGGCTCACTGCAGCCTTGACTTCCTGGGCTCCAGGGATCCTGCTACGTCAGCCTCCTGAGTAGCTGGGACCATAGGAGGCATGCACCACCACACTTGGCTAATTTTTTGTAGAGATGGGGTCTCCCTATGCTGCCCAGGCTGGTCTCAAACTCCTGGGCCCAAGTGATCCTCTCACCTTGGCCTCTCAAAGTGCGGGGATTACATATGTGAGCCACCACATCTCACCTCTAATGCTTTAAAGTAGAGATATGCCAATTGTATTAGTTTGTTTTGACACTGCTGTAAAGAAACACCTGAGATTGAGTAATTTATAAACAAAAGAGGTTTAATTGACTCATAGTTCCGCATGGCTTGGGAGGCCTCAGGAAACTTACAATTATGGCAGAAGGGGAAGGAGAAGCAAGCATCTTCTTCACAAAGCAGCAGGAAAGGGTGTGAGTGCAGGAAAAACTGCCATTTATAAAACCATCGAGTCTCGTGAGAATTCACTCACTATCACAAGAACAGTATGGGGGAAACTGCCCCCATGATCCATCACCTCCTACCAGGTTTCTCTCTGGACACATGGGGATTACAATTCGAGATGAGATTTGGTTGCAGACGCAGAGCCAAACTATACCTTATAGAGACAGAAGAACTCTCAGGCCCAGTCTAGACTACAACCTGGTTAAAAGTATTAATGCAGCTAAAGAAAGAGGGTGCCAGTTAGGAGGGTCTGGGCAGCCAAGGAAGCCAGAGATCAGGGAGAGTTGCCAAGACAATCACCAGCAGTGTCCCTTCTCTGGGGACAAAGATGCTGGTCCAGGAAAAAGGGAGATGGAAGTACCATTCTTTGGAGCCACTCAATTCACCCCCTACCTCACTCATGCTCTGGATCACCAAGCAACCCTCTAAAAACCATTCTGTTTCCTATGTAGATCAGTCCACAGGGAGAGAATGCACTCATCATTGAACAGGAAGATCCAGTCTGCTTCAAAGCCCTGCTTCCTCTTATAAATTAATGAATTGGCATCTGATTTGCAATATCAGTCTCATGAACCTGGTTAATGTGTGTCTGTTCTGTAGAGATGCTGCTGCTTTTAGGGCTAACAACTCTGGTTTCTAAGCTGGACCCAGGATGCTGATGAATTTACCAAGGTAACAAATGCTACCCCAGGGACCTTCCATTTTTCTGCAATATTTTATTTCCTTTATTTTTTCTAAAATATGTTTTTAATCAAAATACATGTAATAATTTTTTAAAAAATCAATTAGGCATATGGCAAAGTTAAAAAAAAAAGGCCATCTTCTGTCTTGCCATCAACTGATTCCCACTCCCCAAAGGCAGCTATTGTTTTAGCTTTTTGTTTTTTGTTTTTGTTTTTGTTTTTTGAAACAAAGTCTCACTCTGTCGCCCCGGATGGAATGCAGTGATGTGATCTCAGCTCACATCACTGAGTGTGTGTGTGTGGTGTGTGCCACCATGCCCGGCTAATTTTTATATTTTTAGTAGAGACAGGGTTTCACCATGTTGGTCAGGCAGGTCTCAAACTCCTGACCTTGCGATCTGGCTGCCTCAGCCACCATGCCAGGACTGTCCCTCATATTTCTTTCCATATTTTGACCAATACAGAGATCTACTTTTTCCTGATTTTTAAATTTCTTTCTTTTTCTTTATTTTTTTGAGATGGAGTCTTGCTCTGTTGCCCAGGCTAGAGTGCAATGGCATGATCTCTGCTTACTGCAACCTCTACCTCCTGAGTTCAAGCAATTCTTCTGCCTCAGCCTCCTGAGTAGCTGAGACTACAGGTGTGCGCCACCATGCCTGGCTAATTTTTGTATTTTTAGTAGAGATGGGGTTTCACTATGTTGGCCAGGCTGGTCTCAAACTCCTGACTTCAGGTGATCCACCCACCTCAGCCTCCCAAAGTTCTGGGATTACAGGCGTGAGCCACCATGCCCGGCCCTTTTTCTTTTTCTTTTCTTTTTCTTTTTTTAAATTGCCCTTGCAGAGCAAGCCTAACTCATACTCATAGGTAGAGCTTCCAGAGCCAGCCTAAATTTCCTTTACTTTCTTTTTTTTTCTTTTTTCAAGACAAGGTCTCACTCTGTTGCCCAGGCTTGAGTGCAGTGGCACCATTTTGGCTCACTGTAGTCTCAGCCTCCTGGGCTCAAGCGATCCTCTTACCTCAGCCTCCCTAGTAGCTAGGACTGCAGGTGCACACCACCACACCTGGCTAATTAAAAATTTTTTTTTCTTTTCTTTTCTTTTTTTTTTTGTAGATACAGGGTCTGACTATGTTGCCCAGGCTGGTCTTGAACTCCTGGGCTCAGTGATCCTCCTGCCTGGGCCTCCCCAAATGCTGGCCTAAGCCACTGTACCCAGTTTATAATTCCTTTCTTATACAATATTTTTTTTCAGTGTTAAATTGCCTCAGTTTTTCTTTTGCTTAGATTTCTACATATCTATTATGAATTTAACCCTACACATTCCCACTAGAGCTACAAAGATTACTCCATATGGTCAAACACACTAGGTAATCAGTCTATCAGTTACATTTTTTTTCTAGGAATCATCTTGGTTGGAGTCCTTTGTCTTCCTGTTCTAGTCTGAACTTATTGATCTCTTGGCCTGCTTCACAATTGTCATCCTGTGACTTCCCTTTACCATCATCTTGGAAATTCCCTCTGCTTCTCTCCTGTGTCGCATCCCCTGTTTTCTGGAGCTTGTTTCTTCCTCTTTCTCGTTTTACTTCCTCACTTTGGTGGAGCATATCCTCCAGCAGCTGCTTTGAGAAAAGGTACTTGGGAAGTAAAAGTTTTGAGACTTTGTGTTTCTGAAATTTTCTTTGGTATACCCTTTGGTTGATGGTTTGGCTGGCTAGAGAATATTAGATTAGAAAATAATTTCCCCTGAGAATTCTAAAAGTACTTTTTTTCTGTTTCTTAGCAGCCAGTATTGCTATTGAGAAGACTGATGTCATTTTATCTACAAACCTTTGTATGTGACCTGTTTCTCTGGTAGCTTTTAGGATATATTCTTTGTCCCTGGCATTTTAAATGTTTTCAATGATGTGCCTTGGTGTGGGTCTGTTGGAATAAAGAATTTATTGGCCTTTCTCCCCAGTTCCTTGGAGGTAACCTCTAAATCCTTGGAATTTCCCAGGTAATAGGTGTGTCTGTTATTTATGGCAGGCACTGATAGCTTATGCTAATAAGGTGGCCCATGGGGGACCCCTAGATAGTTTAAGATGACTCATGATAGGGGCTGTCCATGCCAGAAAGACAAACCATGTGATTAGAGTGCTGGGCTTTTGAGCCACTTGATAATCAATCTGACCTCTGGGCAGGGGAAGAGGGCTGGAGATTTAGTTAAATAATCTGGACAATGATTCAGTTAATCGTGCCTACATAATGAACCCTCAATAAAAACTCTGGACACTGAAGCTCTGGTGAGCTTTTCTGGTTAATAATAGTCTGTGTGTATTGTTACACATCAATGTGCCAGAGGATGATGCATCCTGACTTCACGGGAAAAGGACACTGGAAGCTTTAAGTTTGGGATCCTCCAAGACCTTGCCTTTTGTGTCTCTTCTTTTGCCTGGTCCTGATTTGTATTGCCTTTGCTATAATAAAACTGTAACTAT
This sequence comes from Homo sapiens, assembly GCF_000001405.40. Taxonomy (NCBI): domain Eukaryota; kingdom Metazoa; phylum Chordata; class Mammalia; order Primates; family Hominidae; genus Homo; species Homo sapiens. The sequence goes on from NC_000001.11 coordinate 39,908,656, forward strand.
AAGTTTAGTGCTTTCCTGAGTTTGGTGTTCTGTGGAATTATTGAACCTAAGTAGGTAGTGGGAACCCCCAGATTTGTAGTCATTTGGTCAGAAGTGTGGGTGGCCTGGGAAACCCTGAGCTTCTATTAATAGCTGGTTTCTGAAGTGAAGGCAGTCTTGTGGAGACTGTGCCATTAACTTGTGAAGTTTGGCCTAACTCTAGATAGTGTCAGAATTGCATTGCAGCATCTTTTTGAATTCTTTGCGCTAAGCCTTTTTATTTATTTATTTATTTATTTTATTTTTATTTTTTTTAGATGGAGTCTCGCTCGTCTCCCAGGCTGGAGTGCAGTGGCGCAATCTTGGCTCACTGCAAGCTCTGCCACCTGGGTTCACGCCATTCTCCTGCCTCAGCCTTCCGAGTAGCTGGGACTACAGGTGCCCATCACCACGCCCGGCTAACTTTTTGTATTTTTAGTAGAGACGGGGTTTCACCATGTTAGCCAGGATGGTCTCGATCTTCTGACCTCGTGATCTGCCTGCCTCAGCCTCCCAAAGTGTTGGGATTACAGGCGTGATCCACTATGCCCTGCTATTTATTTTTTTTAAATTGAGACGGAGTCTTGCTCTGTCACCCAGGCTGGAGTGCAGTGGCACAATCTCAGCTCACTGCAACCTCTACCTCCTGGGTTCAAGCAGTTGTCCCACCTCAGCCTCCCAAGTACCTGGGATTACAGGTGCCCATCATCATGCCTGGCTAATTTTGTTATTTTTAGTAGCGATGGAGTGTCCCCATATTGGGCAGGCTGGTCTTGAACTCCTGACTTCAAGTGATCTGCCTGCCTTGACCTCCCAAAGTGCTGGGATTACAGGCAGGCGCCACCACACCCAGCTGCCCTAAATCTTTTAATATGGAAACCAATTCACTCTGTAATTATTCCTTTGGGAAATTCCTCCCCTCCATTTTTTTTCCCTTCTCCCTCTCTGAAACTCCTGTCTTGTCTTTTCTTTTCTCTCATCTCTACCTTTATGTGTTCTGTTCAACTTCCTAGGAGTCAAACTTCTAATCCTTTTTTTTTTCTAAAATAAAAATAGAGATAGGGTTTCCCTATATTTGCTAGGCTGGTCTCAAACTCCTGAGCTAAGCAATCCACCTGCCTCAGCCTCCCAAAGTGCTGGGATTATAGGTGGATTATTAGTGTGAGCCACCACACCCAGCCAAACGTCCAATCCTTTTATTCATGTTCTCAACTTCCAATCCTTTTCTCAACTTAAACATTTTTTGACTGATATTTTTTAATTTTTAAGACCTCTTTTTCTTGTTGTTCCCTAAATGTTCCCTTTTTGGAGCTTCCTGTTCTTTTTCCATGGACACAATCTTTTTCCCATTTTCCTCTGAGGCTATTAATAATAGTTTTCATACTTATTATAAATTTTGAAAGTCTTTCCTGCTCCCTGTTTTCTCTGACTTCTCCCTTGCTTACTTTGCTCTGTGTGTTTCATTAGAGGCTTTCTCAAACATCCGATAATCCTTGGTATAGATGTTTATGTATATTACAGAGTAGAGCCAGGCATGGTGGTGTGCATATGTAATCCCTTGGGAGACTGAGGCAGGAGGATTGCTTGGGCCCAGGAGTTCAAGATCAGCCTGGGCAATATAGTGAGACCACATGTTAAAGAAAACAAAACAAAACAGTGAGGCATTAAAAGCTGATTGAAAGCTCTATATGTGTGTGTGGGGAGGTATTTGATTACTGAGCTTCACTAAAGGGTTTTAGGCAGGTACCTAGCAGGGGACTCCTCAACTGTCAGTATGAGTACATCTTTCTTTTTCTTTTTTTTCTTTTCTTCTTTTCTTTTCCTTTCTTTTCTTTTCTTTTCTTTTTTCTTCTTTTCTTTTCTCTTCTTTTCTTTTCTGGGACAGAGTTTCACTCTTGTCACCCAGGCTGTAGTGCAATGGTGCAATCTCGGCTCACTGCAACCTCCGCTTTCCGGGTTCAAGCTATTCTCCTGCCTCAGCCTCCCAAGTACCTGGGGATTACAGGCGCCTGCCACCATGCCCAGCTAATTTTTTTTTTTTTTGAGACGGAGTCTTGCTCAGTCGCCCAGGCTGGAGTGCAGTGGCACGATCTTGGCTCACTGCAAGCTCCGCCTCCCAGGGTCACGCCATTCTCCTGCCTCAGCCTCCCAAGTAGCTGGGACTACAGGCGCCTGCCACCATGCCCGGCTAATTTTCTTTTTTTTTTGTATTTTTAGTAGAGACGGGGTTTCACTGTGTTAGCCAGGATGGTCTCAATCTCCTGACCTCGTGATCCACCTGCCTCAGCTTTCCAAAGTGCTGGGATTACAGGTGTGATCCACTGCACCCAGCCGCAGCTAATTTTTTTTATTTTTAGTAGAGACGGGGTTTCACCGTGTTGGCCAGGCTGTTCTCGAACTCCTGACCTCAGGTAATCCACCCACCTCAGCCTCCCAAAGTGCTGGGATTACAGGCATGAGCCACCTACCTTTCTATTTTCACATATAGAAGGCCTCTAATCTACCAGGGCGAGGTTAGAAACCTGGCTGCCAGCCTTCTGGGTACCAAGAGGGGAAAGGAGATGAAGGGATCTATCTTATGGTTCAGCTAATCCCTCCCTGACTTCAGTACAGTCCATCACTCTTGTTCTCAGCTGTGCCTGGTGTTCCCAAATCCACAGCCTCTCAATTCAACCTGTCTCCCGCCAGGTAGGAAGAGGGCAGTCACCTGATTACAGAAGTTGAGGGAGAAAATTTAGGAGTCTAATTCCTTTTACTTTCATCCAATCTTCTTCTTTTCAGCCCCATCCTACCATCCTGCCTTTAGAAATATCCAGTGCCTCCAGTTGATGAGCTGTTCTTGGGTTCTGATGCACTCATGGGCTTGCTCCTTGTTGATACTTCTCCTTCTCCCACTCCCACCATAAGCAGTTAGTTTCTGATTTTTCTGGCCTTTTGCTAAATCAGCCAGCCCTTATCTGTCTGCTTTCAAGCTTCACAAGGTTTGTATATATCTGTCAATTGCTGTTGTCTCCTCCCCCTCATTTTCTTTTTTTAAAAATTGAGGAAAAATTCACATGCCGTAAAATTCAACATTTTAACCATTTAAAGTGTGCAATTCAGGCCAGGTGCAGCGGCTCATGCCTGTAATCCCAACACTTTGGGAGGTCAAGGTGGGCAAATTGCTTGAACCCAGGAGTTCGAGACTAGCATGGGTAACATTTCTACAAAAAAAAGACAAAAATATTAGCTGGCCAGCATGGTTGCTCACACCTGTAATCCCAGCACTCTGGGAGACCAAGGTGGGCGGATCACCTGAGGTCAGGAGTTTGAGACCAGCCTGGTCAACATGACAAAAACCCATCTCTACTAAAAATACAAAAAATTAGCCGGGCATGGTGGCACAGGCCTGTAATCCCAGCTACTCAGGAGGCTGAGGCACGAAAATCGCTTCAACCCAGAAGGCAGAGCTTGCAGTGAGCCAAGATCGCGCCACTGCCCTCCAGCCTGGGCGACAGATCGAGACTCTGACTCAAAAAAAAAAAAAAATGTATTAGCTGGATGTGGTGTTGTGCGTTGCAGTCCCAGCTGCTCACTCAGGGAGCTGAAGCGGGAGGACTGTTCTAGCCCGGGAGGTTGAGGATGCAGTAAGCCATGATTGCAGTGCTGCACTCTAGCCTGAGCAACAGAGTAAGAACTTGTTGCAAAAAAAATAAATAAATAAAAAATAAAAAATAAAGTGTGTGATTCAGTGGTTTTTTTATTTGCCTATTTGTGCCAACATTTGTTATTTTCTTTTTTTTTTCTTTTACGATGTTTCTTTTTTATTTATTTATTTATTTTTTATTGATATTCTTGGGTGTTTCTCGAAGAGGGGGATTTGGCAGGGTCACAGGACAATAGTGGAGGGAAGGTCAGCAGATAAACAAGTGAACAAAGGTCTCTGGTTTTCCTAGGCAGAGGACCCTGCGGCCTTCCGCAGTGTTTGTGTCCCTGGGTACTTGAGATTAGGGAGTGGTGATGACTCTTAAGGAGCATGCTGCCTTCAAGCATCTGTTTAACAAAGCACATCTTGCACCGCCCTTAATCCATTCAACCCTGAGTGGATACAGCACATGTTTCAGAGAGCACAGGGTTGGGGGTAAGGTCACCGATCAACAGGATCCCAAGGCAGAAGAGTTTTTTAGTACAGAACAAAATGAAAAGTCTCCCATGTCTACCTCTTTCTACACAGACACAGCAACCATCCGATTTCTCAATCTTTTCCCCACCTTTCCCCCCTTTCTATTCTACAAAACCGCCATTGTCATCATGGCCCGTTCTCAATGAGCTGTTGGGTACACCTCCCAGACGGGGTGGTGGCCGGGCAGAGGGGCTCCTCACTTCCCAGTAGGCGCGGCCGGGCAGAGGCGCCCCTCACCTCCCGGACGGGGCGGCTGGCCGGGCGGGGGGCTGACCCCCCCACCTCCCTCCCGGACGGGGCGGCTGGCCGGGCGGGGGGCTGACCCTCCCACCTCCTTCCCGGACGAGGTGGCTGCCGGGCGGAGACGCTCCTCACATCCCAGACGGGGTGGCTGCTGGGCGGAGGGGCTCCTCACTTCTCAGACGGGGCGGCTGCTGGGCGGAGGGGCTCCTCACTTCTCAGACGGGGCAGTTGCCAGGCAGAGGGTCTCCTCACTTCTCAGACGGGGCGGCCGGGCAGAGACGCTCCTCACATCCCGGACGGGGCGGCAGGGCAGAGGTGCTCCCCATATCTCAGACGATGGGCGGCCGGGCAGAGACGCTCCTCACTTCCCAGATGTGATGGCGGCCGGGAAGAGGCGCTCCTCACTTCCTAGATGGGATGGCGGTCGGGCAGAGACGCTCCTCACTTTCCAGACTGGGCAGCCAGGCAGAGGGGCTCCTCACATCCCAGACGATGGGCGGCCAGGCGGAGACGCTCCTCACTTCCCAGACGGGGTGGCGGCCGGGCAGAGGCTGCAATCTCGGCACTTTGGGAGGCCAAGGCAGGCTGCTGGGAGGTGGAGGTTGTAGTGAGCGGAGATCACGCCACTGCACTCCAGCCTGGGCACCATTGAGCACTGAGTGAACGAGAGTCCGTCTGCAATCCCGGCACCTCGGGAGGCCGAGGCTGGCGGATCACTCGCGGTTAGGAGCTGCAGACCAGCCCAGCCAACACAGCGAATCCCCGTCTCCACCAAAAAAATACGAAAACCAGTCAGGCGTGGCGGCGTGCGCCTGCAATCGCAGGCACTCGGCAAGCTGAGGCAAGAGAATCAGGCAGGGAGGTTGCAGTGAGCCGAGATGGCAGCAGTACCGTCCAGCTTTGGCTCGGCATCAGAGGGAGACCGTGGAAAGAGAGGGAGTGGGAGACCGTGGGGAGAGGGAGAGGGAGAGGGAGGGGGAGGGGGAGGGAGAGGGAGAGGGAGAGGGAGACGGAGAGGGAGAGGAATATCTCTATTTTCTTTTTTTTTCCTTTTTTTGAGATGCAGTCTTGCTCTGTTGCCCAGGCTGGAGTTCAGTGGCACGATCTCGGCTCATTGCAACCTCCACCTCCTGGGTTCAAGCGATTCTTCTGCCTCGGCCTCCAGAGTAGCTGGGATTATAGGTGCGCGCCACCACCCCCAGCTAATTTTTTTTGTATTTTTAGTAGAGATGGGGTTTCACCACGTTGGCCAGGCTGGTCTTGAACTCCTGGGCTCAAGTGGTCTGCCTACCTTGGCTTCCCAAAGTGCTGGGATTACAGGTGTGAGCCACAGCCCTGCCCGTTATTCTCGAGCTTATTATTATTATTACTACAGCCATCTTTAATGGGTGTGGAAGTGGTATCTCATTGTGGTTTTTTTGTTTTTGTTTTTATTTTGTTTTTTTTTTTTTTTTTTTTTTTTTTTTAGACAGGGTCCCACACTGTTGTCGAGGCTGGAGTGCAATGGCATGATCTCTGCTCACTGCAACCTCTGCCTTCTAGTGGGCTCAAGCAATCCTCCCACCTCTGCCTCCTGAGTAGTTAGGATTATAGGCATGCACCACCAAGGCTGGGTAATTCTGTATTTTACCAATTTATTTTATGTTATTATTATTATTATTATTTGAGATGGAGTTTCGCTCTTGTTGCCCAAGCTGGAGCGCAATGGCATGATCTTGGCTCACTGCAACCACTGCCTCCTGGGTTCAAGTGATTCTCCTGCCTCAGCCTCCAGAGTAGCTGGGACTACAGGCGTGTGCCACTATGCCCGGCTAATTTTTGTATTTTTAGTAGAGGCAGGGTTTCACCATGTTAGCTAGGCTTGTCTTGAACTCCTGAACTCATGTGATCTGCCCGCCTTGGTCTCCCAAAATGCTGGGATTATAGGCATGAGCCACCACACCCGGCCTATTATTATTTTTTGATACGGAATCTCGCTTGTTGCCCAGGTTGGAGTGCAGTGGCATGTCTCAGCTCACTGCAACCTCTGCCTCCCAGGTTCAAGCAACTCTCCTGCCTCAGCCTCCTGAGTAGCTGGGATTACGGACACATGCCACCACATCCAGCTAATTTTTGTATTTTTTAGTAGAGACTGGGTTTCACCATGTTGGCCAGGCTGGTCTAGAACTCATGAACTCAGGTGATCCGCCTGCCTCAGCCTCACAAACTGCTCTGATTACAGGCATGAACCACTGTGCCTAGCCCTAATTTGTGTATTTTAGTAGAGACAGGGTTTCACCATGTTAGCCAGGCTGGTCTGGAATTCCTGACCTCAAATGATGCGTCCACCTTGGCCTCCCAAAGTGCTAGGATTACAGGAATGAGCTACCGTGCCGGGCCTTCTTGTGGTTTTGAGTTGCATTTCTCTAACAACTAATAATGTTGATTATCTTTTCATGTGCTTATTGGCTGTTAATATATCTTGTTTGGATAAATGTCTATTCAAATCCTTTGTCACTCCCCACTTTTTTTTTTTTTTTTGAGACAGGGTCATATTCTGTCACCTAGGCTGGAGTGCAGTAGCACCATCACAGCTTACTGCAGCCTTGACCTCCTGGTCTCAAACAATCCTCCCCGTTCAGTTTCCTGAGTAGTGTAGCTGAGACCACAGGCATGTGCCACCATACCTGGCTTGCTTATTTATTTATTTGAGATATTGTCTCGTTCTATGGCCCACACTGGACTGCAGTGGCATGATCATGGCTCACTGCAGCCTCTACCTCCTGGGCTTAAGTGATCCTTCTACCTCAGCTTCCTGAGTAGCTGGGACTAGAGGCCAGCCACCACACCCAGCTAATCTTTTTTTTTTTTTCAACACACAGTCTCACCCGGTCGCCCAGGCTAGAGTGCACTGGCTCTATCTTGGCTCACTGCAACCTCTGCCTCCTGGGTTCAAGTGATTCTCCTACCTCAGCTTCTCGAGCAGCTGGGATTATAGGTGCATGCCACCATGCCCGGCTAATTTTTGTATTTTTAGTAGATACCCAGATCTTACCATGTTGGCCAAACTGGTCCCCAACTCCTGACCTCAAATGATCTACCTGCCTCAGCCTCCCAAAGTGCTGGGATTACAAGTGTGAGTCACCATGCCTGGCCCCAGCTAATCTTTTGATCTTTTGTAGAAAGGAGGTCTCTCTATGTTGCCCAGGGTGGTCTTGAACTCTTGGACTCAAAGGGTCCTCCTGCCTGGGCCTCCCAAAGTGCTGGTATTATAGGTGTGAGCTACCACACCCAGCCACCTGGCCCATTTTTAACTGAGTTGTCTTTTTGTTGTCATGTTGTAAGAATTTATTATATAGTCTGGATACTAGACTCTTTTTATAAAATTTTATATATTTTTAAGAGCCACTCAGAGCTCAGTGTCAGTGGGGATAAAACTGGATACTAGACTTTATTTTTTTCTTTTGAGGTGGTGTCTTGCTCTGTCACCCAGACTGGAGTGCAATGGCGTGATCTCCACCTCCCGGGTACAAGTGATTCTCCTGCCTCAGCCTCCAGAGCAGCTGGGATCATAGGCGCCCACCACCATGCCTGGCTAATTTTTTTTTGTATTTTTAGTAGAGATGGGGTTTCACCATGTTGGTCAGGCTGGTCTTGAACTCCTGACCTCAGGTGATCCACCCGCCTCAGCCTCTCAAAGTGCTAGGACTACAGGCGTGAGCCACCGCGCCTGGCGTTCCTTTTTTTGTGTGTGTGCTCGTAAATTAAAACAATTTCTTCTAATCCACTTGCTGTCATTTTAGTGGAATTTCAGGAGTGGAGATAAGCACATGTGAACAATCTTCATATTTAGCCAGAAATTTGTTCTTCCATTTATTTATTGATTGATTGAGATAGGGTCTTGCTCTGTCACCCAGCCTGGGGTGCAGTGGCACAATCTTGGCTCACGGCAACCTCCACCTCCTGGGCTCAACGGTTCTCCCACCTCAACCTCCGGAGTAGGTGAAACTACAGGCACACGGAACCACACCCGATTAATTTTGCATTTTTAGTAAAGACAGGGTTTCACCATGTTGGCCAGGCTGATCTTGAATTCCTGGACTCAAGCGATCCACTTGCCCAGGCTCCCAAAATGCTGGGATTACAGGCATGAGCCACTGCATCTGGGCTGTTCTTCCTTTTAAGCTGCAACAATTTCTTTTCTTTTCTTTTTTCTTTTCTTTTCTTTTCTTTTTTTTCTTTTCTTTTCTTTCTTTCTTTCTTTCTTTCTTTCTTTCTTTCTTTCTTTCTTTCTTTCTTTCTCTTTCTCTCTCTTCCTTTATTTCTTTCTTTTCCTTCCTTTGATGGAGTCTCGCCAGGCTACGGTTCAGTGGCACGATCTTGGCTCACTGCAATCTGCACCTCCGAGGTTCAAGCGATTCTCCTGCTTCAGCCTCCCAAGTAGCTGGGATCACAGGCATGAGCCGCCATGCCCAGCTAATTTTTGTATTTTTAGTAATGATGGGGTTTCTCCTTGTTGACCAGAATGGTCTCGATCTCCTGACCTCGTGATCCGCCCACCTTGGCCTCCCAAAGTGCTGGGATTACAGGCGTGAACCACTGTGCCCGGCCAACAATTCTTATTTTCATTAGGCAGATTCCTGATCCAGGTTGTCTGAGAGGGCTTTCTGGAGGAGGGAAATTTGATCTGATCCATAAGATGTCTAGGATTTTAGTGGAAGTAAGGAGGTGAAGAGGGGAGAGGAGGAGAAAAAAGATTTAGGGAGGGGAGAGTTAGGAAGAGGAAGGGCTCTGGAGCTGGCCCCAGAAGAATTAACCAGGTGTAAAATCTGGTTTCTTATCCTATATCTGTGGCTCTGTTACCTTGGCTTGGGTTTCACTGCAAAGCTGTGCTTTCCTTAGAACCCTAAGGAATGTGGCCTTGCTTTAAGTTCAGTGAAAAAGGGGTTCAGGAGATCTTGTGTCTCCCTCTGCAGCCAACCTGGGGAAGGGACCAGGCTTAGAGAGAAAACAGCAGCTTTCAAGAACAGGCCAGGAGTGGTGGCTCCCGCCTGTAATCCCAGCACTTTGGGAGGTTGAGACAGGCAGATTACCTGAGGTCAGGAGTTCCAAGACCAGCCTGGCCAACATGATGAAACCCGTCTCTACTAAAAATACAAAAATTAGCCGGGTGTGGTGGCGGGCACCTGTAGTCCCAGCTACTCGGGAGGCTGAGGCAGGAGAATTGCTTGAATCTGGGAGGCAAAGGTTGCAGTGAGCCGAGATCACGCCATTGCACTCCAGCCTGGGTGAGAAGAACAAAACTCCATCTCAAAAAAATAAAAAAAAAAAAATAAACAGAAGTAGGATGAAGGAAAAACTACTCTGAAGCAGTGTTACGGTGAGCAGGCTTGTACTGACCCTTAGTTTTCTCATCTCTAGAGAGGTTTTTTCCTATCTAGCAGCATTATTGGAGAATTAAATTAAACTGCAAAGTTTTAGCACAGTGCCTGGCACAGAGGAGAATTCCAAAAATGTCAGTTTTCTTCTCTTCTTCTTTTTGTTTTTTTAATTTTGAGACAGAGTCTCGCTCTGTTGCCAGGCTGGAATGCAGTGGTGCGATCTTGGCTCACTGCAACCTCCGCCTCCCAGGTTCAAGGGATTCTCCTGCCTCAGCCTCCCAAGTACCTGGGACTACAGGCATATGCAACCATGCCCAGCTACTTTTTATATTTTTAGTAGAGATGGGGTTTCACCATGTTGGCCAGGATGGTCTTGATCGCCTGACCTCGTGATCTGCCCACCTCGGCCTCCCAAAGTGCTGGAATTACAGTTGTGAGCTGCCGCACCTGGCCTGGACATTTAAGGTAAACAATCTGGGTAAGGTCCCAATCAAGGCCCTCAAAGCCTGGCTAAGGAACTTGTACTAAAGCTGAAAGCATTGGAGAATCATAGGAGGCTTGTGAACGGAAGAGTGACAGATATATCTGTGCTTTGGAAAGATCACTTCTGGGAGAAAAGAGTCCTGGTGTAATGCAGGATGCAGCATCCTGAGCCCCAGATCTGCATCTAACAGACTCCATGGTTTCATCTTTGCCCAACACATGAATGGCCTCCATCAGTGTTTCCCCAGTGGGCTATGAATTGTGTGAGAGCTTGATTCCTAACACAAACTGAATCTTCCAGTTTACCTTCTCAGAGATAGAGCTAATTAATTGCAGGGGTCAGGGTCAGGCGGGGTATTCCCCAAACCTGAAGGGCTAATATAGCCAGCCTGAGCTGCCACACAGAGGATGAGATGGGATTTCTGAGCAGCTCTGGAGATTGTGATAATGACTAAAGCCCAAGGAGGCCCTCCTGGCACTCCCCCTCACGGGGACATAATACTAAGTGACTTGTGCTTGAGGGCAATTGTGAGACTGTTATGTACCCTTTTTAAGGTACTTTTTTTTTTTTTTTGAAGTGAAAGCAAGTTTATCAAGAAGGCAAAGAAATAAAAGAATGGCTATTCCATAGGCAGAGCAGCCCCTTAAGGTCTTAAGGAGGATTGATGACAAACTTCCTCCGCACCCTTCTTAAGGTGCTGAGCTCTGGGCACAGGTGGAGCAAGATAATCACCTGGAAATAACAATTCTGTCCACTAGAGGGAAACCCAGTCTAGAGAGATGGGGAGGGAAACCCAGGCTAGAGAGATGGGGAGGGAAACCCAGGCTAGATGCGTGGGAGCCCTGAGGCTGGAGGAAACAGAAGGAGCTGACGGCCCCAGGAGCCAGTGGACCCAGTGATCTAGGTTCAGTGCTGTGCTGGAACTGGCTTGTATCAGCTTAGTGAGAATTGACTCTTGCATTTTCAGGAATCTTGAGAGCTGGTTGGTAAACTTGGTCATTAAATATTAAATTATAGCTGGGCACGGTGGCTCACACCTGTAATCCCAGCAATTTGGGACGCCCAGGTGGGAGAATCGCTTAAGCCCAGTGCGAGACCATCCTAAGCAACATAGGGAGACCCTTGTCTCTACAAAAAAATCAAAAAATTAGCCAGGCATGGTGGTGTGCACCTCTAGTCCCGGCTACTCAGAAGGCTGAGATGGGAGCATCACTTGAGTCTGAAAGGTCCACGCTGCAGTGAGCTATGATTGCACCACTGCACTCTAGCCTGGGAGACAGAGCAAGACCATGTCTCAAATTTAAAAAAGAGAGAGAAAAAAAAAAAAAAAGGCCAGGCATGGTGGCTCACGCCTGTAATCCCAGCACTTTGGGAGGCCAAGGCGGGCGGATCACGAGGTCGGGAGATTGAGACCATCCTGGCTTACGCGGTGAAACCCCATCTCTACTAAAAATGTAAAAAGTTAGCCGAGTGTGGTGGCAGGCGCCTGTAGTCCCAGCTACTCGGGAGGCTGAGGCAGGAGAATGGTGTGAACCTGGGAGGCGGAGGTTGCAGTGAGCTGAGATCATGCCACTGCACTCCAGCCTGGGCAACAGAGCAAGACTCCGTCTCAAAAAAAAATAAATAAAAAATAAAATTAAAATTAAAAAATAAAAATTATAATGTGTCATGGAATTAGGGCACAAAATTAATAAAGTAAAAATTAAACTATATAAATTTACATTTAAATAAACTATATTGGCTGGGCATGGTGGCTCACACATATAATCTCAGCACTTTGGGAGGTCAAGGTGGGCAGATGACTTGAGCCCAGGAGTTTGAGACCCACCTGGGCAACAGGGTGAAACCCCATCTCTACAAAAAATACAAAAATCAGCTGGGCATAGTGGTGAGCGCCTGTAGTCCCAGCTACTTGGGAAGCTGAGGTGGAAGGATCACTTTAGCTTGAGAGATCGAGGCTGCGGTGAGCTGTGATTGCGCCACTGCGCTCCAGCCTAGTGATGGAATGAGCCCTTGTCTCAAAAATAAATAAATAAAATAAAAATCAATCCCTAATTATTTTATTATGTTTTACTATTATCTGCCTATCATATCAGTTATGGTGAAAGTACTATGTAGTGGTTTGCTACTGTCCAACTTCAACTTTGATTTTTTGTTTTGTTTTGTTTTGTTTTGTTTTGTTTTGAGATGGAGTTTCATTCTTGTTGCCCAGGCTGGAGTGCAATGGCGCGATCTTGGCTCACTGCAACCTGTGCTTCCTGGGTTCAAGTGATTCTCCTGCCTCAGCCTCCCAAGTAGCTGGGATTACAGGTGCCTGCTGCCACACCTGGCTAATTTTGTATTTTTTTAGTAGAGACGAGGTTTCACCATGTTGGCCAGGCTGGTCTCAGACTCCTGAGCTCAAGTGATCCACCCGCCTCAGCCTCCCAAAGTGCTTGGATTACGGGCGTGAGCCACTGTGCCCGGCCCAACTTCAACTTTGGTAGCTTGCAGTTGGTCATGGCAGATTATTTACTTCATGGAAACCCACAAATGCTACAAATCAGGGTTCCCCACCTCCTGCCGCCCACCTTCCAGTTTGTTAAACATTTGCCAGGCTATCGCTGCTTAGGCATCCCCACATCAGGTGTTATGGGGAGGACATGGAATTTTCCAGAGGTCTTGCTGACACAGACACACTCAGAGATATCCCTGTGGAGGGAGCACCCCATTTCAGCTGGTAGAAGTTGTTGGGGGCATCATGGGAGCATTGTTGTGTTGTTGCAGGAACGTGACCTGGAAGTTCCCACCCTGACTCCAGCTTTGCGCAACTGTTCCATCCACCGGAAATTGGTCTATACTTAAGTGCTCAGGCATCCCTTTCTGTCTGCCTAGCAACGAAGTAAGGTTGGTGATCATCCAGTGCTAGAACGATCATCCCCCATCAGAAAGGAAGCTTTATGAAGGGCAGGGAAGCCCCCACCTCGGTTCATATCCTCAGGCCTGGCTCAAGTCCCTGGGCCTAAGTATTGGAGCCGCCACACAGAAAACCCAGGAACAAGCAAGACACTGGAGTTAGGCACATCTAGGCTGCGCCACCCCTAACTGTGTGACCTGAGAAAGGCACCTAAACCAAACTGGTCTTGTCTCCTAACCTGTCAAATAGGGAGATTCCTGCTTATCATGCCTGACCGTGGTGAAGATTAAATAGGATCATCCATGCAAAACTCTCAGCTGGGCGTTTCCATCACCTAGAAGGTGTTCCATGATGTCAAAGCTATTATTGTTTTCATACTTGGGATGGGGAGTGCCGAATTCAAATCGGTTCTGAGTGCGGGTCTACTCTGACACCCTGTGTGTCAGAAGGAGGGGCGGGACTAGGAGGCAACAAATCCATTACAGCACAGTTGGCAGATGTGTCCAGTCACACAGCCGGGAAGTGGACCAGGGACTGGACAGCAGCCCTCCGCCCAGGACTCGGCCAGATGTTCCAAGCCTAGCAAGGGGCGCTTCTACCCCCACCCATCCTCCCCGACAACCTAGGCCTGTGGCTTGGAGGAGGCAGAGGTGGGGGTCGGCAGCCGGACGTCGCAGGCCCCAGGCTGCGCGCAGGAAGCGGCTCCAAGGTTGTCCTAGAGCCTCAAAGCGGCGGAAGGGAGGGAGCAGCCGGCACCTGCATTGTGCGAGCCCCGCTCCCCGCTGAGCTTCTGTGACCTCTGGCTCGCGCTCTTGGCATCCGCTGCTGGGGCAGGGCCCGCGGCTTTCAGACAGGTATTAACCGGGCAGAGGATACTAGATCTGCGCTGGCTTTCATTCATTCACGCATCCACTCATTCGTGCATCCATCAGTTATCGAGCTGCGGCAGGAGTTAGTGCACAAAAACATAGTCCATGATCGCAGGGACCATACTCCTGCTAAATCATGGAGGTTTGGGGAGTTCCTTCAGACTCTCAGTAAACTTATTCGTGGAGGTCTGATTTTTTTTTTTTTTTTTTTTTTTGAGACTGAGTCTTACTCTGTCGCCCAGGCTGGAGTGCAGTGCCGTGATTTCATTTCACTGCAACCTCTACCGCCCAGGTTCAAGCGATTCTTGTGCCTCAGCCTTCGGAGTAGCCTAGCTAATTTTTGTATTTTTAGTAGAGATGGGGTTTCGCTATGTTGGCCAGGCTGGTCTCAAACTCCTGACCTCAGATGATCCGCTCGCCTCAGCCTCCCAAAGTGCTGGAGTTGGTTACAGGCATGAGCCACTGCGCCTGGACTGATTGTCAACATTTAAAAGTTATGAAATTTCATTTAAAACTCAGATTTTGGCTTCTTTTGAAGGGATTGAAGATCTGAGATGCTTGTGTTATATAAGTTGCTGATGAGTGTCATGCTAGAGAGGGCCGGGTGCGGTGGTTCACGCCTGTAATCCCAGCACTTTGAGAGGCCAAGGTGGGCAAATCACCTGAGGTCAGGAGTTCGAGACCAGCCTGACCAATATGGTGAAAACCCGTCTCCACTAAAAATACAAAAATTAGCTGGGAGTGGTGGTGCACACCTGTAATCCCAGCTACTCGGGAGGCTGAGGCAGGGGAATTGCTTGAAGTCGGGAGGCAGATGTTGCAGTGAGCTGAGATCACCCCACTGCACTCCAGCCTGGACAACAAAGTGAGACTCCGTCTCAAAAAAAAAAAAAAAAAGAGTGTTATGCTGGGGGCAAGGGGCTTTTTAAAATAATGTAATACATTATTTTAAATATTATTTGTAGCCTCTTGCAAAGTGGTGTTAGTTGTACAATAAAAAACTCTTAGACAATTTCCCTGTTACAAGGGTCTGAAAAGCAAGTTTATTTTGAAAGGCGGATATTTTATTTAGTTGTGATTTTTTTAAATTTAATTTTATTTTTGAGACAGGGTCTCATTCATTAATTTTATTTTTGAGACAGGGTCACCCAGGCTGGAGTGCAGTGGTGTGATCTCAGCTCACTGAAACCTCCGCTTCCCGGGCTCAGGCAATCCTCCCATCTCAGCCTCCTGAGTAGTTGGGACCACAAGCACACACCACTACGCCTGGCTAATTTTTTGTATTTTGGTAGAGACAGGGTTTCACCATGTTGCCCAGGCGGGTCTCAAACTCCTGAACTCAAGTGATCTGCCCTCCTCGGCCTCTCAAAGTGTTGTGATTACATGTGTGAGCCACCCAGCCCAGCCTTATTTAGTTATGATTCTTGATTGCCTGATTTTTAAAATGTTGCTTTCTGGAAATAATCTCCTTCTCCTTCTCCTTCTTAACAAGGTCTTGCTCTGTTGCCCAGGCTGGAGTGCAGCTGTGCCATCATAGCTCACTACAGCCTCAAACTCCCTGGCTAACTGATCATCCCACCTCAACCTCCTGAACAGCTGGAACTACAGGGATCTACTACGTTACCCAGGCTGGTCTTGAACTTCTGGGCTCAAGCAATCTTCCCACCTCAGCCTCTCAAATTGCTGGGATTACAGGCGTGAGCCACCACACCTGGCTCTGAGACATCTAATGAAAGATTTCTCAAACATGTCAGAATGAGCTGGTTATGCCATCTGAGTCCCCTGAACCAAGGAAAAGATTTGTAGGCCTTTAGGTTTGCATAACTGGAGGTTAGAGGGCAGAAGTTAGTAACTGGGTGGAAGAAGTGTTTATCTCACCTGAAAGTAGAGTGGAGATGGAGAGAAGGGGCAGACAGGGGACAGGTATTTAGAAGGAAGAACTGATAGGATGTGGGGTCTGGAGGAGAGAGAGGAGACAAGGTTGACTCTTGGGTTTCTGGCCTGGGAGAATGGGTGGAAGGAGGAGCCATTCACTGAACTGAGGATCCAGAGGAGGAGAATGGGCTTGCTTTTAGCTATGTGGGGTCTGCAAGTCTGGGTCAGCAATGAGGAGATCAGTGGAATATTGGGGCTCTGGTGCTCAGGAGAGGAAGCTGGGCTTAAGATTCACCATTGGTAAGACAGAGGCTCTGGGGAGTGGTAAAATCACCCTCACTGAGCTGTCTGCAAAGAGCCAGAGGCCTAGGATGCACAGTGAGGATCCATTTGTATTTAAGGGATTAAAGATGTGTGGCCAGGTGCGGTGCCTCAGGGCTGTAATCTCAGCACTTTGGGAGGCTGAGGTGGGTGGATCACCTGCAGTCAGGAGTTCAACACCAGCCTGGCCAACATGGTGAAACTCCAGCCTAGGCAATGAGAGCGAAACTCTGTCTCAAAAAAAAAAGAGGTTATGGGGTCTGGGCACAGTGGCTCATGCCTGTAATTGCAACACTTTGGGAGCCAAGGTGGGTGGATGGCTTGAGTCCAGGAGTTCAAGACCAGCCTGGGCAACATGGTGAAATTCTGTCTCTACAAAAAATACAAACTAAATTAGCTGGGAGTGCTGGCACACGCCTGTAGTCCCAGCTACTCAGGAGGCTGAGGTGGGAAGATCACCTGAGCCCAGGCGGATCACCTGAGCTGAGGCTGCAGTGAGCTGTGATGGTACCACTGCACTCCAGCTTAGGTCACAGTGAGGCCCTGTCTCCAAAAAAAAAAAAAAAGTTTTTAAGGAATTGGAAGAAAGTTAAAGGAGGAGGAGAGGAGCCCAAAAGACTGCAGGTCCAGCTGCCCCACAGGTGGCCTTAGCCTCCATCCTGCTGGGCTGGACCTATTCCCAAAACCTTACTACAGAGGCAGACTGAGGAACAGTTGGGAAGGAGGGATTCTGACCAGAGCCTGCTGTCATCAGATAAAGTGTGAGGTGGGACAAGATTCTAGGCAAGTTCAGGATACCTAAGTGCCCTTCAGCAGCTCCCTCCTGCTCTCCAGGGCCACTTAGTGGGCCTCTGGGACACTGCTGAGAAGGGAAGCTGAGAAGAAGGCCCCAACTGGGCCCCACTGGTTAGAGAGTGAGCAAACAGGACACCCAGGACATTCTTCTCAGCTGTGGGGAAGTTGGGAGGCCAGATGTACCCAGGGCTGCCATACTAGCTCCTCAGACTGCCCCCAGTGAGACATCAGGCTGGCTGCAGGCCAGGGTAGTGAGCTCCACTCCTTGTGGCCATGACGCATGGAGATCATCATTGACAGAAGCCAGCATCTTGCTTGGGAGCTGGAGATCTGGGCTGAGTAGGGCTGCACATGCAGCATGCATTGACTTTCACTATATGCCAGACACTCTCATACATGTTCTGTCTAATCCTCATGAAAAACCTAGGAAGCTAATACAATTTCCCCCATTCTACAGAAGAGAAAACTGAGGCTCAGAGAGCACAAGTCCCAAGCCAAGGATTCACAGCTGGTGACAGGCATAGTTGGGAGGACAAGCCTGGAGTTCAGGCTCTGTGTCTCTGGTTTTCCCTGGGGTGGCCCCACTTCTGCAACGGCCTCTTGCCTCCCTGACACCTGGATGTCTTTCTAGCCTTCACCCTCTCTCACACTCATCCTCCAAATCATCACCAAGTCCTGTCAGCCCTCCCCTTCTACAGATCTTGCGTCTGTCCCCTTCCCTCTACCCCTGGCTCACTCGCCCAGCTTGTGCTTCATGGTCTCCTGCCCTGGCTATGACGTCAGCTTCCTCCTTGGTCTCCCTGCCTGCCAGTTCTCCCACCTCCACCCTGCCCCATCTCTCCTCCACATCAGCAGCCAGAGGGCCCTTCTAAAACACAAGTCTGACCTTCTTAGTGCCTGCTAATGATATCCCATTGTTCTCTGGCTAAAGTTCAACTTCCCGCACAGGTCACCAGGTTCTGTGGGCTCTTGTCACTGACCTCAGCAGCCTCATGCTGACTGCTCTGCTGGCCTGCTGTGCACTCTCACCAAACAGAATGCTGACTCTCCCTCCTGGGAACAGGCCCTGGGCTGGGCCTTCTTGCCTCTGGGCCTTCGTTCCCATCACCGACCCTGCCCACCACAGTCTCTCTCACCCATCTCTGATGACTGAAGTTCTGGCCACCCTTCAAAGCCCAGCTTCATGGAGTGCCTTTTGGCCAGAGCTCGGTGTGCCTTGGATTAAAGTTCTTTGCGTTCCTCTCTCTCTCCCCTACTGAGCAGTTTGAGCTCCTGTGTGTCCCTTCTTCTGTGCCCGGCGTGGTACCTGATATGCTGAGGAGTTCTGAGAGTGTGTGGAGGGGGCACCTGAGCCTCTGTCTCCCGTCCCCTTCATCTCTGGCTCCTTGCCCTAATCTGGATCTGTTCCAGCAGCAGCAGCAGTTCCAGGTTTGGCTCCTGGCTCAGCATCAACTTCGATTCTAGCTCTGACCTGCCTCAAGCTGTAGTTCCAGCCCCTAGCCTGGCACCAGCTTTGGCTCAATATCCAGGACTAATGTGGGCTTAGCCTATGGCATTGGGACCAAACTTATAACCCATCTGTTTGCCTCTCTCCTGAGCCCAGTGCCTGGGCTCAAGTTTCCTGCCTCAGTGCTCCCCACTTAGGGGGAGGCAAGGAGGCAGAGGCCCAGAACAGAGCCCCATCCAGCCAGGGATCCTTACCCCTGCCCTGGGGTCGCCTGGCTGCAGCATCCCAGCCCAACTCTAGGGTGCTGGCCAGTGCTGTAGGAACAGGTAGTCCCTGGTCCAAAGTAAGACCTTACCATTTACAGTCTGTGAGGCTTTGAGCACTTCCTTGGACTCCAGTTCTCTTGTTTATAAAATGGGATAATATTTGGTATGAGAATGACAGGAGACAATGCTGTGGAGCTCTGGGTACAGTGCTTGGCACAGAGTAGATGTCAATAACCGTGAGGGCCTTTCCTCTTTACTGTTTTCCCGGCCCGTTGGGTCAGCTCCTGTGGGTTCCCTGTACAT
The DNA here is from genome assembly GCF_000001405.40 of Homo sapiens. Lineage (NCBI taxonomy): Eukaryota > Metazoa > Chordata > Mammalia > Primates > Hominidae > Homo > Homo sapiens. The sequence goes on from NC_000001.11 coordinate 39,927,695, forward strand.
TCCCCAGTGCCTGTTGCATAAGGGCTTTTCCTGCCACTGTGACATTGGTAGGCCTGGCCCAGCCTTGATTCCAGGCTGCTGGCTGTGACTGTTGTCCCTAGGGCATCTTGGGCAGGGCTGAGGCATCACACTGGATCTCCTGCCCAGAACTCCATGTCCTCAATGTCAGGGGCAAAGATAGGTCCATGAGGTAGTGGGGGAAAGGTTGGTCTCCCTTCTTTGCTGTGGGCTGAGGATATGTATTTGAGTTGGGGAGGTAGGAGTGCTTCCTTCTCCCCTCTAACTGCACAGCTGAGTCTCTGCCCCATCAAAGCTCTGAAGACAAGGGTTCCTATGAATATGAGAACTTGGAGATCCTTGCCCCCCAAACATAGGAACCAATATTGATGGGGGTCTGGGTGTAATGTTAGGTGAGTGTTTGGGTATGGATGTATGTGTGGGATGTGTACATATGGTATGGTGTGTCATGAGTGGAAGCATGTTAGACTATCATGTGTGTAGTGTGTAGATGTCTGTATGTAATGTGGGTGTCAGGGTGGGTGTCTCTATGTGTGATGTGGGTAGTGATGTGGGTACATGTATCTACATGTAGCATATGTGTAGTGTGTGTGACTTTTGTGTGTGAATAACTGTATAACTGTATATCTGGAGATAGATGAGGACCTGGGTATGTGGTATAAGCCGGGGGTCCTCAACCCCTGGCCTGCAGACTGGTACCGGTCTGTGGTCTGTTAGGAACCAGGCTGCACAGCAGAAGGTGAGTGGTGGGTGAGCGAGCATTACCACCCGAGCTCTGCCTCCTGTCAGAGCAGTGGCTGCGTTAGATTCTCATAGGATCGCGACCCCTATTGTGAACTGCACTTGCAAGGGATCTAGGCTGCACGGTCCTTATGAGAATCGAACTAATGCTTGATGATCTGAGGTGGAACAGTTTCATCCTGAAACCATCCTCCCGCACCCCAGTCTGTGGAAAAATTGTTTTCCATGACACCAGTCCCTGGTGCCAATAAGGTTGGGGACCACTTGTGTCAACAATATGTTTGGTGTGTCTGCATGTGATGTGCATCTTTGGGAGAGGGGACAGGAGCCACTGGGAGCTGGAGGGCTTTGCCAGTTGGTGGACAGGTGCTAGAACATTTGAGATTCCCTGCTGAACTCTCTGAGGTGACGTGGGCCAGGGTCATTGTCCACTTGCTGCAGGAGCAGAGAAGGGCAGTGGAAGCAGAGCCACGGGGGTTGAGTTCATTCCTCCAGAATGCCAGGCACCCTGTGCCCAGCCAGCTGCCTTGCCCTGATGTCTGCAAACACATCAGGGAAATAAACACAACCTTTGGAAGTCCTGGTGATGTGTCTGGGGAGGAGCTCCAGCTGGCAGTCCATACGGGCTCTATTCCCTTCCCCACTGCCCTGCCATTGACCAGTGGCTGAGGCTGGTGGGGCCAATGGCCTTAATGCCACTAGCCAGTCCTAGACTCTTATCTCAGCACTTTAGCTAAGCTCCAGAGCTTCCAGGACCTCCTTGCTAAGGGGAGTTGTCCTAATTGCAAATCAGCGTTTCTTGGACCTTTAGGCCTGTGAGGGAGGAGAGTTTAGGGACTTCTAGGGCCAAGCCATACCCAAGCTGCCTCCTCTACCGAAGAATCTAATTTTAGCCCAGGCTGGCCCCCCAGTGCTCCACCTCTAGGTGTGCCTCTTTCCTCAGAATGGGCCATGCTTCCCCTCTCAGAATGACTGCTTAAATGAGGTGATCTTGTTGGTGTGTCGTACTACACTCCAATATGTACTTCATGCTGGAGACACCCAGAATCACTTGCATTTCCAAAAACGCACTCTGTAGCCTACTGCCAAAAACATTCTACTCTGCCTGGCTAACTTTGATTCATCTCTCAAAATTCAGGTTCAGCGTCAGCTCGTCCGAATGCTTTCTGAAGCTAAAACTACTAGTTTCCCCCTAATATCCATATCATCTTGCTTGTCCTTAGTCATAAAAGGCTGATTTTTAGCTACACACATGGTTGGCCTGCAGTAAAAACCGTGTTTTCTGGAATTCCTGGAGCTAGGTGTAACTAAGTGCTAGCCAACAGATTGTATGCAAAGTGTTTTGTGCAACTTCCAGGAACTGTTTTTAATTAATTAATTTATCTTTTCTTTTCTTATTCTTTCTTTCTTCTTCTTCTTTTTTTTTTTTTCGAGATGGGGGTCTTGCCATGTTGCCTAGGCTGGTCTTGAACTCCTGGGCTCAGGCAATCCTCCCACCCCAGCCTCCCAAAGTGCTGGGATTACAGGCGTGAGCCACCGCAACCAGACTTTTCTTTGTTTTAGAGTCAGGGTCTTACTATTTTGCCCAGGCTGGACTTGAACTCCTGGGCACAAGTGATCCTCCCACCTCAGCCTTCCAAGTAACTGGGACTACTGTCACATGCTACTGCACACAAGAAGCTGTTTTGTTGTTTTTCTTTCTTCTTCTTCTTCTTCTTTTTTTTTTTTCCGAGGCAGTTTCTCACTCTGTTGCCCAGGCTGTAGTGCAGTGATGCAATCATGGTTCACTGCAGCCTTGACCTCCTGGGCTCAGGTGACCCTCCTGTCTCAGCCTCCCAAATAGCTGGGACTATAGGTGTGTGTCACTACGCCCAGCTAATTATTTGAATTTTTGCAGAGATGGGGTTTCACCATGTTGCCCAGGCTGGTCTCAAACACCTGGGCTCAAGAATCCTCCCATCTTGGCCTCCCAAAATGCTGGGATTACAGGTGTGAACCACCATAATTATGGCTGTTTAAATAGTTCCAGGACCGAGGCTGGGTGCAGTGGCTCATGCCTGTAATCCCAGCACTCTGGGAGGCTGAGGCAGGAGGATCACCTGCGGTCAGGAGTTCGAGACCAGCCTGGCCAACATCATGAAACCCCTGTCTCTACTAAAAACACACAAAAAAATTAGCCGGGCGTGGTGGTGGGCACCTGTAATCCCAGCTACTCAGGAGGCTGAGGCAGGAGAATCATTTGAACCTGGGAAGTGGGGTTGCAGTGAGCCAAAATCATGCCATTGCACTCCAGTCTGGGCGACAAGAGTGAAACTCCGTCTCAAAAAAAAAAAAAAAAGTTCCAGGACCGGGCCATTTTTCACCCCTTCCTCCTTTGGGCTGGCTGGAATGCAGATGTGATTACTAGAGCTTGAGCAACCATATTGGACAATGAGGTAGAAACATCGTGTTAAGGACGGCAGAGAATGGTAGAGCAAAACAACATAAAATATGGGGCTCTAATGATCATGGATTCACCATACTAGCACTGTACTAGTTATTTCCAGACTTCTAATTGGTGGTAATGACTGTGATTGGGGTTTTCTGTCACCCACAGCCAGGCGCAAGCCTGATACATTTCCTTTGGACCAGCTGTCTCTTCTCTTGTCCCATCAGCTCTCTCTGCCAACACACTTTATTCTAATTTCTTTATTTTTTTCTGTTTTTTTTTTTCTTGACATGGAGTCTTGCTCTGTTGCCCAGGCTGCAGTGCAGTGGTGCAATCTCAGCTCACTGCAAACTCTGCCTCCTGGGTTCAAGTGATTCTTCTGCCTCAGCCTCCTGAGTAGGTGGGACTACAGGTGCCCGCCACCATGCCTGGCTAATTTTTGTATTTTTAGTAGAGACAAGGTTTCACCATGTTGGCCAGGCTGGTCTCAAACTCTTGACCTCAGGTGATCCACTTGTCTTGGCCTCCCAAAGTGCTGGGATTACAGGTATGAGCCACTGCGCCCGGTCTATGTATTTTGTGGTTTTTTTTTTTTTTTTTGAGACAGGGTCTCACTCTGTTGCCCAGGTTGGAGTGCAATCGTATGATCTTGGCTCTCTGCAACCTCTGCCTCCCAGGTTCAAGTGATCTTCCTATCTCAGCCTTCCAAGTAGCTGGGACTACAGGGTGCAACTACTGCACCTAACTAATTTTTCTATTTTTTTTTAAAGACAGAGTTTCACCATGTTGCCCAGGCTGGTCTCGAACTTGTGGGCTCGAGTGATCTGCCTGCCTCGGCCTCCCAAAGTGCTGTGATTACAGTGTGAGCCACTGTGCCCAGCCTCATTCTAATTTCTTGGTTATATCTGCTCACTGGATTGGGAGCTCACGAGGGCAGTGTCCATGTCAGTGTCTAACAAGCCAAAAAAATGTCAGTTGTATGAACAAATGTGTGAAATACACATTCAGGTATCCAGATTTGGGCAGAGTTATAGATTTGGGAGTTATTGGTATAAATATGGTCACTGAGGTGGTGGGAGAGGATGCGGTAAAGAGAAAAGAGAACTAAAGGAAGAGGTCCTCAGAGCTTTATGATTTAAGGTCACGTTGAGGAGATAAAGCCCTAGGATATGGCCGAGAAAGAGACAGAGAGCTGACAAGGACCAGGCAAAGGGCTGCAGAGCAGGCAAGCTCAGAGATCATATGCCTTCCTCCAGCAGCTCACAGTAGACTGGGAGAGGAATCACTTGGGCCTAACCCAGGATGAGGGCAAGGGAAGGTATAGCAAGAGAAATGCCAGCCCTGTGGGAGGAAAAACAAAGTACAACTAGGACAGGCTTCTAGGTGAGGAGAAGATGGAAGGGTGGCAGGATGGATGGTCCTGATGGTGTTAAAAAACAGGTGGCTGGGTTGGGCGTGGTGGCTCACGCCTGTAATCCCAGCACTTTGGGAGGCCAAGGCAGGTGGATCACCCATGGTCAGGAGTTCAAGACCATCCAGACTTATCAATATGGTGAAACCCCATCTCTACTAAAAATACAGAAATTAGCCAGGCGTAGTGGTGCATGCTTGTAATCCCAGCTACTTGGGAGGCTGAGGCAGGAGAATCGCTTGAACCTGGGAGGTGAAGGTTGCAGTGAGCTGGGATAGTGCCATTGCACTCCAGCCTGGGCAACAAGTGTGGAACTCCATCTCAAAAACAAAACAAAACAAAAACAGGTGGCCGGGTGCAGTGGCTCACGCCTGTAATTTCGGCACTTTGGGAAGCCGAGGCAGGCAGATAAGCTGAGGTCAGGAGTTTGAGACCAGCCTGGCCAACATAGTGAAACCTCATCTCTACTAAAAATACAAAAATTAGCTGGGTGTGGTGGTGTGTGCCAGTAATCCCAGTTACTTGGGAGGTTGAGGCAGGAGAATCGTTTGAACCTGGGAGGCAGAGGTTGCAGTCAGCTGAGATCATGCCACTGCACTCCAGCCTGGGCGACAAAGCGAGACTCCATCTCAAAAAAAAAAGAACAAAAACCAAAAACAGGTGACAGGCCAGGCGTGGTACCTCATGCCTGTAATCCCAACACTTTGGGAGGTGAAGGTGGTTAGATGGCTTGAGCCCAGGAGTTTGAGACCAGCCTGGGCAACATGGCAGGAGCTCGTCTTTACCAAAAATAGTATCCAAAAATTAGCTGGGCATGGTGGTGGGTACCTGTAGTCCCAGCTACTCAGGAGGCTGAGATGGGAGAATCGCTTGAGCCCAGGAGGCGAAGGTTGCATTAAGCTGTGATTGCACCACAGCACTCCAGCCTGGGCAACAGAGCAAGACACTGTCTCAATAAAAAACAAAAACAACTACAACAACAACAAAAAAAAAAACAGGTGACATGAGAAGGAATGCAGGTGTGAGTGAACAGAAGAGAATTTGACATTTTTCAGGGTGTGACCAGGCTACATCATGCCCAGGATAAAAAACAATTTCAGGCCAGGCATGGTGGCTCATGCCTGTAATCCCAGCACTTTGGAAGGCCGAGGCGGGCGGATCACTTGAAGTCAGGAGTTCAAGATCAGCCTGACCAACATGGTGAAACCCCATCTCTACTAAAAATACAAAAATTAGCTGGGCGTGGTGGCACGTGCCTGTAGTCCCAGCTACTTGGGATGCTGAGGCAGGAGAATCGTTTGAACCCGGGAGGCGGAGGTTGCAGTGAGCTGAGATCATGCCACTGCACTCCAGCCTGGGGGACGGAGCAAGACTCCGTCTCAAAAACAAAAAACAAAAAACACCCAATTTCACCAAATAGTGTTTTTCTGGCTCTGCAGGACCCTGCCTCCCTCAAATTCCTTCTGGAGAGCTCTGGGAATCCCAGAGGCTTTTCATATATGCAGAGAGAATTAGCTCATGAGGCCCCCTCCCCATTTTCCCCTTTTCCTGCTCCAGGTCTCAGTGGAGTTGACCCTTGTCAATGCCAATACCCACAGAGAGCCCTGCTGCTGGAGAAGCTTAAAGGGGGCCTGATGTGACTTCTGGTCTCTTCCTCGGTCTGCACTGAAGCCACGACTGCCCAAAGTCAAGGACACTAGTATTGAGGGAAGTAGTGGTCAAGGGCCCAGTGTTCTAGAATCAGGAGATCCAGGTTTCCAACCTGGCTCTGCAGTTCACTAGTTCTGTGACCTTAAGCAAGTTGATTAATTTCTCTGAGCCTCTGCTTCCTTATCTGCAGAGAGGAGGGTAATAAAGAACCTACCTCACGGGGTTGTTGTGAAGTTAGAATGAACAAATGCATGTACACCACTTAGCACGGTGCCTGGCATAGACAGAGTGGTTAACAAATGTTGGTGATTATGATTTTTATTATTATAGTCATTAATTCATTTAACAAGCAAGCTCTAGGCATTCTCCCACATGTACCCAGTACGTCAGCCAAAATGTATTTCCTGATATTTCCCAACATTTAACATGTTTCCTCATCCCGCTGTGGCTTTGCACATGTGGTTTGTTCTGCCTGGATTGCCCTTCACTCCCCATCTGCCTGGCAAACTTGCCCTTTGAGCCTCAGCTAACGCCTGGTCTCCTTGAGGCGCTTGCCTGGACCTCCCACACTGGATGAGACTCCTCCTCTGGTCTTGCGCATGACCAGGGCTCATTGCACAACCCCAGAGGAGACGAGTCATACGGACCCCCAGAGTTGTGCAATGTGGCAACTTTGCCCATATTTTTCCTCTGTTTTCTTCTATCATAATTTTTATCACACTCTTACTGCAATGATTTATTTACCTGTTGGTTTCTCCCTCAGACTCTGAACTCCTCGAGGACTCTGACACAGAGTCAGGGCTCAGTAAGTGCCTGCCTGAATGAAGGGATCCTGGCCCAGTTCCTGAACCCAGAAGCTGCAGCCTGGTCAGGGAGACAGAATGAATCAACGTGAGACATGTCAAGAACTGAGCATGACTAGAGGTTCACACCCCTGAGGCTTTCCTAGGAGAGACCAACAGAGCTGTAAGGGAGGATGTGGTGGTCAGAGTGGGAGACTGGAGTGGAGATGGAAAGAATGAGGAGGTACTTAGAAAATCCAATAGCGGTCGGGCGTGATGGCTCACGCCTGTAATCCCAGCACTTTGGGAGGCCGAGGCGAGCAGATCACCTGAGGTCAGGAGTTCGAGACCAGCCTGGCTAACATGGTGAAACCTCATCTCTACTAAAAATACAAAAAATTAGACGAGCATGATGGTGTGCACTTGTAATCCCAGCTACTCGGGAGGCTGAGGCAGGAGAATCACTTGAACCCAGGAGGTGGAGGTTGCAGTGAGCCGAGATTGCGCCATTGCATTCCAGCTTGGGCAAAAAGAATGAAACTCTGTCTCAAAAAAAAAAAAAAAAAGAGAAAAACCAATAGCTAACACTTCTGGATTGTTCTGCTTAGGGGTGGAAGAATTTCAGCCCCCTCCCCCATGATTTTCATCTGGTCTAAGGTAAAGAAAGTACATTTCAAAGCTCTTACAAGGACATTATGTATCCAGGGAGGGCCACTGTGGGTTGATGCTCTTTACTAGGCCCATTTTTTGCACAGGATAGGTGGAGGCACAGCCTGGAAGCAGGACAATGCACCCAGAGCATCTGACATCACCCTGAAAAATAATTTGAGTGTTAGCCCCACTGCAGGCAGGGATCAGACTATAGGGCTCTTAGGAAAATGTTTCTCTTCCTCAGGATGGATTTAGACTGCATCTTTGCTGAGAATAAACACTTGTCTTTTGTAAGGGTGTATGTGTCTGTATATTGGATCTGCATTTAAGCACCCTACGGTCATCCTCACTTGCTCTAAAAGGCCAAGTCTGAACAATGAGGAGGAGGCATAGCTCATCACTTCTCATTGGTAGAAAGACATTAAAGGAACAGGACCACGAGGATCAAAATTGCCAAGCCTACCCTAGACTGTTTGGCTGAAACCTATTTTCTGCACCCTTCCATCCTCCTTCTTTGATACTATTCTAGACTCATGGGAAGAAGAAATACTCCTACTAAGTGTTTCTTATCCTTTTGATCCTATTGCATGTGGCTTACTAGGTGAGGTTTCCTGCACAGAGTCTGGTGGATATTTTGCCCAGTGGAGAACTGAAAAGGTAGTCTTTTTGTGGGTGTGGAGAGGGAGGATCTGAGATGAGAGAACAAAGTTAGGAACCAAGTGTACCCATGAGGGACGCTGTGAAAAACTATAACAGGTTTTGGTTGTTTTTTCCTTGGGCAGTTATGTGATATGTGCAATTTTAAATTATTTCTTCTAGTTGTATTTTCCTACAAGAATTCCTGCCTCTTCGGGAAGTCTTGCATGCACATGGGCCTTGAGTTTGTGGCGCTAGAGGGGCAAGTCAGGGGGTGGGCAAATAAAGGGGGTGTAGCCCACTCCTGGCCGTCTCCTGTGGAAGTCTATGTTAAGGAAACTTCCTTGACAGGCGAGCGTGACCAGCAGTACAGCTGCGGATGAATCCTGCTGGGTGGGAGGCTCAGGCAGAGGTGGGAGGAAGGGGACCCTGACGGGGAACAAAAGGGGTGCAGTTTTCTGTAAAGGACAAGGCGATCAGGATAAGAGGCAGGGCTCCAGAAGAGGCTTAGGAGAGCCCTGGAGAGACTGTTCTGGGGACTGAGAGCTTCAAGTCTAATTCCTGGCTGGAATGGAGGGTGGGGCAAAGTCTCTGAGAATGAGGTAGGACAGTGATGGGGGGAGCTCCTCAGACTCAGTCCCGGGCCCTGGTTGCTGCCTACCCACCCTGCCTTCCCTCGTGGAGCCAGGCTGTGGGCCTGCGCTTAGGCTTCCTTACTGCTCTCTGCTCTGCAGAAACATCCTTGATAAGCAGGATGGCTTCTGGCCACCTCAGGATACACTCTTGTGCCACCTGCCCTATGCTTTACCTACCGCTTTTTCCTGGTGGCCAGGGGAGTCCTTACGCAGCTTGAGGAAGTCTACTACCACTTTCACTTTGACCATCTCTCCTAGAGGGAGGGGGCAAGGCTGAAAGTTTTGAGGAAGAGGAGTGGAGAGAAGGGACAGGCTCAGGAAGTTACCACTCTCCCTTCTGTGACCCTCTCCCCCAACCCCCACTTCCCATCATAAGCTTAGAGCCTGGAGTTTAGAGGACAGAGACCATAGCTTACTGCTTAAGGTCTAGAACCCAGCCCAGCCCAGCCCAGCCCAGAGCCTAGATCCAGAGCCCTGAGCTCAAAACCCATCCTAATGCTCATACCAAAACCTAGAGCCTAGAACCCAAAGCCCAAGCCAGGCTGGTCCTAGTCTAAGGTCCAGCTCAGAATCCAGAACTAAAGCCCAGAGCCCAGAACCCAGACCACAGAACTACAAGCACAACACAGTCCAGGCACAAAGTCCAGCCAGGTCCAAAGACCAGAGCTCAGAACTTGGAGCCAAGCCCAGGATCTACAGCCTAGCCCACAGACCCAGAGCCCAGAATTCAGACTAAAGCTAAGCCCAGTCTGGGGACCAGAGGAGCCCAGAGTCCAGCTCAGAACTCACTCCAAAGAACCTAGGATAGACTCCATCTTAGCTCCAGAACTGAGTCCAGCCTAATAGTCATTGTGGCCTAGAATCCTAACCCCAGCCTAGCAGTTCCTTGATGCTCCTCCTAGAGGCAGCCCCAAAGAAAGAAGCCAAGCCTGCACATTCAGGAGGGGAGATTCCAGACCCCAACCCTACTACTGGCAGGAGAAAACAAGGGAATGGTGTTTGTGTGTGTTAGAAGGGGAATGTTCTGTGGTCCTCCTGGTAGTGGTCTGGAGGGTATATCCTGGGGATTCAGAGACCAGGCAAAACATGGCCTGGGGTTTTCTCTGCAAGGGCTCCCCCTCAGAACCCCAAGGGGATAGAATGCAGAGGGCTGGCACTGCTAAATTGCAGTGTGACCTTGGACAAGGCCCTTACCTTCTCTGGGTTTACTTTTCCCAGAAAGGAAATCAAGAGGAAATCAGAAGATGCTTTATTTAGACCCACAGACCCAGAAACATGGAGGAAGGGACTATTACAGATAAGCCTTTTAATCGTGTCTTTTCTTTTTAGTGACAGGTCTTGCTATGTTGTTTAGGCTGGTCTTGAACTCCTGGGCTCAAGAAATCCTCCTGCCTCAGCCTCCCGGGTAGCTGAGACTATAGACATGCACTACCATGCCCAGCTAATTCATTTATTCTTTTATTCGTCAAACAGTTATTGAGCACATATAATAAGTAGATTTATATTATTTAATTTTTTAAATTTGTTTTAGAGACAGAGTCTTGCTGTGTTGCCTAGGATGGAGTGCAGTGGTGCCATCATAGCTCACTGCAGCCTCGAACTCCTGGGCCGAAGTGATCCTCCCGCCTCAGCTTCCTGAGTAGCTAGACTACAGGTGCACGTCACCATGCCCAGGTAATTATTTTATTTTTGTAGATACAGGATCTCAGTGTGTTGTCTGGGTTGGTCTTGAACCCCTGGGCTCATGCCATCCTCCCACCTCAGCCTCCCAAAGTGCTGGGATTACAGGTGCCGGCCCAATAAGTAGATTTTATTTTTTATTTTTCTTTTCTTTTTTTTTTTGTTGAGACTGAGTTTCACTCTTGTTGCCCAGGCTGGAGTGCAATGGTGCAATCTCAGCTCACTGCAACCTCCGCCTTCCAAGTTCAAGCGATTCTCATGCCTCAGTCTCCTGAGTAGCTGGGATTATAGGCATGTGCCACCACACCCGGCTAATTTTTTTGTATTTTTAGTAGAGACGGGGTTTCTCCACGTTGGTCAGGCTGGTCTCAAACTCCTGACCTCAGGTGATCCGCCCGCCTTGGCCTCCCAAAGTGCTGGGATTACAGGTGTGAGCCACCACGCCCAGTGACAGTAAGTAGATTTTAAACAGGGGCATAAAATGGTCTGATTTTATTTTAAAAATTGGTCTGTTTTTGGAGATGGGATCAGAGGGGAACACTTAGGCATTGCTGCAACAGTCCAGAAGAGATGGGATGAAGGTCTGAAGATAGCAAGTGGCAGTGTCATCTTTATAAAGCACAGATGTGGTCATTTGACTCTTCTGTTAAGAATCCTTTCGGTGGCTCCCCACAGTCTTCAGGATGAGAATGCAAGGCCTCCTTCTATCTTCTTGGCCTCAGGGGCCACCAGTTTCCCATACAGCAGCCCAAGCTGCTCACTGATTCCGCTCCCCACACCCTCCATCATGCCTCCATGTCTGTGGTGTTCCCTTTGCCGGGCATGCCCTTACCCATCACGGGAACTCCTTCTCAACCTTCCGCGCTCAGCTCCATTATCACCTCCTCTGTTAAGCTTTGCCAGACCACCACGCCCAAACGGAATCTGGTGTTCTCAGTTTTGTACATGCAGGCCTTTGCCAAATCATTTTGTTAGTTAGTTTGTTTTTTCACAGAGTCTCGCTCTCTGTCGCCCAGGCTGGAGTGCAGTGGCGCAATCATATCTCACCGTAACCTCCACCTCCTGAGCAATCCTCCCATCTCAGCCTCCTGAGTGGCTAGGACTACAGGGGTGCACCACCACACCCCAGCTCACTTTTTTATTTTTTATTTTTCATAGAGACAGGATCTCCCTATGTTGCCCAGGCCCCTGTCATCCTAGCTACTCAGGAGGCTGAGGTGGCAGAATTGCTTGAGCCCAGGAGGTGGAGGTTGCATTGAGCCATGATCATGCCACTGTACTCCAGCCTGGGTGACAGAGTGAGACTCTGTGAAAAAAACAATTAAATCAATAATAAAAATCTCCCTATGTTGCCCAGGAGTTCAAGCCCAGGACAACATAAGGAGATTTTTGTTCTTTTATTTTTGAGATCCTCCCTATGTTGCCCTGGTCTCGAACTCCTGAGCTCAAGAGATGCTCCTGCCTTGGCCTCCCAAAGTGTTGGGATTATAGGTGTGAGCCACTGTGCCTGGGCCAAAATAATTTTGTAACAGTCTGCTGTGTTTATCTCCACAACTAGATGTGACTCCTTCAAAGGACAAGATCATCCATACCTCATTCATATATATTGCTGGGTGGGCCAAGAGTAAATTTAATGAATATATTGACAAGGCCACCTTTATATCTCCAAGTATCCTTTTACATAATTTTTTTCCTTAAGGTTCCCATGTTCTACATTTTTAATCTTGGAACATGGTAAGGAACTTGTTTTGCCATTTTCTATTAATCGAAGACATATATCCTGCCAATCAGAGGGAAAGGATAAAGGAACAAAATGAACATTTGTTGAGAGCGAACTGTAACGCTTGTTTTGCACACATATTGTCTCACTGGATCCTGAGGATGCCACTATGAGGTATTATTACAGATCATATAAATAAGACTCAGAGAAGTTGTGACCTGCCTAAAGTCACATGGCTAGCTAGTGACAGAAATGGATTCAAACCCTGATGGGGCTGACTCCAGGCCCACATAGCCCCACCTATGCTGTTATCTCTTGCTCTTAATCAGCATGAGATCACAGCGTCGCTGTGCTGATTCTGAAGCCAGCCACCCAGAGCTGGAGGTCTTGGCTTGCCACAGTGGAGGAAGTAGCCGTCACAAAGCTCTGGGTTGCCCAACATGCTTTTTGTGCAGATGGGCAAAAGGAGGCCCGAAGAGGGGGAACGACTCCAGGGGTGCCCAAGGCAGATTCTGCTTCTGCCACCCTGGTCTGAGTCCAGCAAGTCACTTACTCTAAAAGGCCCTTCCAACTCTGAGAGGGTCCAGGCTAGCAGACCAAGGCAATGTCTCCTTGCAGGAATGTGGTGTGAGCATGAGGGCAGGGCTCTGGGCAGCCAGGAAGAAAGAGGTATTCCTCAGGCTTCAGCCCCCTCGCTGTCCTCTGAGGCCACCCGGTAGCTTGGTCCAACCACTGGGGCTCCCTTAGAGGTACACTTTGGCCTCGGATGGCGTAGCTGTCTGTGCCAAGGCTGGCGTTGCGCAGCTTCTCACACTCTGTCATTCTTAACGTCTTCTTGGCAGTCAGTCTCTCTGAAAAAGTAGAGCTGTCTTTGTCTTCTGGGGAGGATCCTGACCGTGGGAAAGTCTAGGATGAGAAGATGCTGGGACACAGGTTGGTGGTGGGAAGGGCACCAGCTGTCCTAAAGAATCTCTGGGTGCTCTCCATGCCCCTCAGCCCCCCAAGAACTGAGGCTCAGCAGCCAGCCCAGTCTCAAGGCCCGCAGAGGGCCTCCCTGTGGCATGGTCCATAGCCTCATGAGATCAGATGGATCAGCCATGAGGCTGTACCTACGCCACTATTGCCCAACCAACATCCAGGCAGGAACTGGCAGCCTCAAGTGACTTCAAGGGCCCTCAAATACTTCCTGCCCGAAGAGCCTCTCTTGGGACCCTCAAGAGTCTCTCCTTCCTATTTTCTGTCCTACCTGCTTCCCCACAGGGCAAACAAAGGGGCAAGATAGGGAACAGGCTGAGGCATCCCCATCACAGCAGATGTTCCAGGAAGCCCTTGCTGCAGAGCATGCCCAACCTTTACCTCTCCAACCTGACCATTCCCGTAGAGCACTTCCCAAGATATCAATTTCCTAGTGACCGTAGAGCCAAGTGTGTTTCAAGGCATGGGCATGGCTCCTTTTCTCCAGAAGTCAGGTGGTAGATCTGCCAGTTAGGGACTGAAGAGATTTTAGCACTGGATAATAGACTGCAAGCTACCCCACCTGGCAACGCCAGAATCCAGCAGCACTTTCACTCAGCAACAGTCTCCTAGCACCAACACCCCAACAGCCCCACCTGGTAATCCTGCCCTGACAGCATCGCACTATGTTGGAAATACCACCTCGAGCCACCAGAGCACATGTGAGAGTGCCAAGCAGGTGACGAGAGATTCAAGTGCACATTTTGACCTATGACTTGGGGTTTTATATGTTGGCATGTTTCTGAGGTTGAATTACTTCTCCCCTGATTCTGCCCTTGGCCTGCCAGTACTTGAGAGGGACTGGCCAGAACTTGAGAGGGGCCGCATGTGCAGTGTGTCTACTGAAGTTGTGCGCATGCTCACTTGAGGCATTTTTCCCTTTACCAGTCAAGCATTCCTAAAGGAAGTTCATGTACCAGTTAAACTCCACCATTTTCCCTCTTAGTGCACATGCTTGACCCTATTTACCCAACTCCTGAGATGTTATCGGGAAGCTGCTGATGACCAGTTTCAGATTTTTCCATCTATTGGGAGATTCTTTCCCTGTTGCTGGCTGCGACCAATTAATACTTTAGAGAGACAGTTTGACAACCACCTGACTATCACCTGATGGTTGCCTGACATTCTTGGGAATGTCGGGAGTGCCTCTCCTACCCTGCTCATGTGTGACTACCTACTGTAACGCTGCCACAGAGTGTGAAGCTGTCTGTCCCTCAGGAAAGAGTTCTCGTTCTTGCTCCTGCTGTTCTAGATGGAAAGAATATTGCTATGAAGAAGGGGCCCAGGTCTCTGCTCCAGTCTCCTCGTGAGACTGCCCTCTGCCCACTATGGACTGGAGCCTTAGCAAAGCCTCATGGGCTTATGCCCATAATGCCAGCACTTTGGGAGGATCGCTTGAGGCTGGAGTTCCAGACCAGCCTGGGCAACATAAGGAGACCCCATTTCTATTATAAAAATAAGAACAAAACACTTAGCACAGTACTTGCCCAGCATACAGTGCATGCTCAATAATTGGGAGATGTTGTATTGGCAGTGTCCTGATTCAGTTAATGGTGCATGAGTGCTGGAGAGCTCAAGTGTTTAGGAAAAAGCCTCAAACTGTGTTTTTCCTCTACTCTCACACTACCACCACAATAATCATCAACACAGAAGACATCTGTGACCAAAGGTGTGGGAATTTTTCCCCATACCAAATGCATAGTGTTGGTGATAGTGTCAGATATGTGGAGATAATGTCAGATTTCACAGGTTGAGGGCTCAGCCCATGAGACTGCTCCCCAACCCTAACCCTAGACACCAGTCACAAGCCCAGGCCTCTGGAACTTCTGACCTACTGGCTTCAAGTGGGGTTCCCATGACCCTCTCTTTGAGTTCTATTAATTTACTGGAACAGCTCACAGAACTTGGGTGAACACATTTACAAGTTTATTATAAAGCATATTACAAAGGAAACAGATGAAGATATGTATAGGGCAAGGTATGGGGGAAGGAGCATGGAGCTTCCATGCCCTCCCTGGGACCCCACCCTACAGGAACCTCCATGTGTTCAGCTAGCCAGAAGCTCTCCAAACCCAGTCCTCGGACCTCGGCAGGTAAAGAGAGGGCAGGAGAAAGTCAGAGAGATTCTGTTTCCTGAGCCCTGTCTCTGAGCCCTAACATCAACATTATAACAAAAGACTAACAAAGGCTATGGGAGTTATGAGCCTGGAACTGTAGACGAAAACCAATACATGTATTTAACACCACAGGCCACCCCCTGGTTTTCAAACACAGATCCCTTACATCAAAAGATGTCAGAGCTGAGAGATTAGAAAAAAGAATATACATTTCAAAAGATACTGCCACATCATTAGAATCCCATTCAGTCATTAATAATTAGTCCAGTCCATCATATTGTATGAACATCTCCCACACTGAGGCCACTCAGGTTTGCAGGTTTCTTTTTCTTTTTTATTATTTTAACTTTTTTTTTTTTTAATAGAAATGTAGTCTTGCTTATTGGCCGCGTGGACTCAAACTCCTGGCCTCAAGCGATCTTCCTGCCTCAGCTACCCAAATGCTGGGATTACAGGTGTGAGTCACTGCACCTGGCCCAGGTTTCCTTTTAATCTTGTTAAGTTCCAAAAGCAGGAGTGGTCTTGGCAAACATAGAGCTTCACTCTTTCAGGCATTGTGTAATTGAGCTAAGAGACAATGTCATCTCCGGCTCTGAGCCTATTTTAAGGTGTTAATGTAACCCATCTATTCATTTCTTTACTCTCAGCTGTTATTTCTCCTTTTCTCAATTTGTCATTTATTCTTACCCAAACTTTTCCACCTCCAGAAGGGACATGAGGTTCATTCAGTGCGCTGGTCCAGATCACTGGTAGCAATGCTAGTCTGGCAAGTGTCTCTCCCTCAGTCCATTCCCATTCATAGAGGGTAGGGTTACATCGGCTCTGAAGGAGTGAGCCATTTTACCACCAGGCAATATAGGCGTATTCATTCTGTTTTTTTTTTTTTTGACAGAGTTTCACTCTTGTCGCCCCAGGCTGGAGTGCAGTTGTGCGATCTCGGCTTACTGCAACCTCCGCCTCTCGGCTTCAAGCGATTCTCCTGCCTCAGCCTCCTGAGTAGCTGGGATTACAGGCACCCACCACCATGCCCAGCTGATTTTTTGCATTTTTAGTAGAGACGGGATTTCACCATGTTGGGCAGGCTGGCCTCAAACTCCTGACCTCAGGTGATCCGCCCGCCTTGGCCTCCCAAAGTGCTGGGATTACAGGCATGAGCCATCATGCCCAGCCAGGCATACTCATTCTTAACCCCAACTTTGCTAGAGGGGTGAAGGCTACTCCCATCAGGCCGTTAGGAATTCTGACATAAGATTTAAAAACACAGTTAGTTTCTTGCTTAGAAATCATCCCTGCTTCCAGCACTTCAATTGTAGCCGTGGTCCTAGGACCACTGCTGAGGTAGAAGAGAAAAAAAAAATTTTTTTTTAGGTGATTCGGGGAAGAAAAAAGTGTACTCTTCCCTCGGCAAGAATTGCATAGTCATACCAGCATCCTCCCACCTCCTCCTCCCCACATCAACCAGAAAAACAAAAATGTAATGAGGACCCTCCTCGCTTTTATCTCCCCCTGTTTTACATAACCATATGTTTCAATTGCCTGTTCTATTTCTCTCTCAAACTATTACTCTAAGGAGGATATCTCCCTCTGTCCATTGTTGGACATTATGGGCGGTACAGTGTGTTCTTTGGTCTGATAAAATGACAGTTGGGCATCCAAATCCGTGCAATATCTTCTGTTCTGGTTTCATTTTTAAATTTTATTTATTTAGTTTTTTAAGACTAGTCAAGTGCAGTAGTAAGAAGCAGGGAAAGGGTAGAACAAGGAGTTCCATCTGTAACTGACTGTGCACAATTGAGATAACTCAGTACCTTCAGACCAGCCTGTGTGTTTTTTTTTTAATGGCACTCTGAGCGTTTTTATCTTTCACTGTGTAAGCAAAGCCCACCTCAGAGTCAGTGTTTATTTCTGTCAAGACTCTTTTTTTTTTTTGAGACGGAGTCTTACTTAGTCGCCCAGGCTGGAGTGCAGTGGTACGATCTCGGCTCACTGCAACCTCTGCCTGGTGGGTTTAAGCAGTTCTCCTGCCTCAGGCTCCTGAGTAGCTGGAACTACAGACACATGCCACCATGCCCAGCTAATTTTTGTATTTTTGTTGAGACAGGGTTTCGCCATGTTCGCCAGGCTGGTCTCAAACTCTTGACCTCAAGTGATCCACCCGCCTTGGCCTCCCAAAGTGCTGGGATTACAGGTGTGAGCCACTCTGCCCGGCATGTCAAGACCCCCCCTTTTTTTTTGAGACGGAGTCTCGATCTGTCACCCAGGCTGGAGTGCAATGGTGCAATCTCGGCTCACTGCAACTCCTGCCTCCAGGGTTCAAGTGATTCTCCTGCCTCAACCTCCTGAGTAGCTGGGATTACAGGTGCATGCCGCCACGCCTGGCTAATTTTTCTATTTTCAGTAGAGACGCGGTTTCACCATGTTGGTCAGGCTGGTCTCGAACTCCTGACCTCGTGATCTGCCTGCCTCGGTCTCCCAAAGTGCTGGGATTACAGGCGTGAGCCACCGCGCCTGGCATGACCCATTTTCAATCCCCACACTTTCAGAGGTGGGAGGATACCTTGAGGTCAGGAGTTTAAGACCAGCCTGGGCAACATAGCAAGACCCTGTATCTGTTTAAACAAAAATTTTTAAAGACCCATTTTTAGCCCTTCCCGGGTTTCCAACATCAGTCTCACTTGCCAGTTGTGTTTAGGGCCTTCCCATCAGGAAATCTGTTCCATAGCCATTGGCAGTCTCTGTCTCTCTTACCGACCAACAGAGCAGTTTTTACTGGCATTATGTGCCTGAGAGGAAGCAAAAGGAACATGTCTAGATTCAGCCCATCTCTATACTGCTGCAATACCCCCATATCCACTCATTTCATGGACACAGGTGGCCACCTCTAGGGAGTACACAGAGATATCTGCTTGTCAACTCTAGTCACCTTCTGAATGCGAAAGGGAGTTCTGACAGGTGTTAACTTATTCTACTGTAATACACCCCTCAAATTTCCATAGAGCCATGCTCCGTATGGGCATCCTTTAATAAGCCAGGTTTCCATTGCCCTTTTACCTGAGTGTATGGCCAAGCCATTGGTCACTGCCCATAAGTCAGTAGAAACCCAAACACAAGGGCTTCCATCACTGTTCAATTCTTCCATTACTGTTAGAAAAACAGCATGCAGCTCAGCCCACCAAGTTGATCTATTTTTACCATCCAAACAGGATGTTGTTCATTCACTTCGGAACTGCAGTCTGTAAACCAAGCACCTTGGGCTGGCCACTGTGGCTCACACCTGTAATCTCAGTGTTTTGGGAGGCTAAGGCAAGCGGATCACCTGAGCCCAGGAGTTCAAGGCCAGCCTGGGCAACATAGCGAGACCTTGTCTTAAAAAACAGAAACAAAAATAAGCCAGGCATGGTGGCTTGTACCTGTAGTCCCAGTTACTCGGGAGGCTGAAGTGGATGGATCGCTTGAACCCAGGAGGTCAAGGCTGCAGTGAGCCATGATTGAGCCACTGCAGTACAGCCTGAGTGACAAAACAAGACCCCATCTCAAACCACTCCCTACCCAGCCCAGGCACAGTGCCTCACACCTATAATCCTAGCACTCTGAGAGGTTGAGGCAGGCGGATTGCCTGAGCTCAGGAGTTCGAGACCAGCCTGGGCAACACAGTGACAACCCGTCTCTACTAAAACACAAAAAATTAGCCAGGCGTGGCAGCATGTGCTTGTAGTCCCAGCTACTTGGGAGGCTGAGGCAGGAGAATTGCTTGCCGGGAGGTGGAGGTTGCAGTGAGCCAATATCACGCCACTACACTCCAGCCTGGGCGACACAGCGAGACTCTGTCTCCAAAAAAAATAAAATAAAATAAAACATAAAAATAAAAAATACCCGCCCCCCTCCCTCAAAAAAAAGCACCTCACAACAAAACCAAGCAGCTCCTTGTTGGTCAATTGAGAGCTGTTCATACTGGACTGTCCAAGTGTCAATGGAATCCAGCAGCTCCTCACACAGTTTCAGTGTCTGTCTTGGGGTAAAGAGGCTCTCTGCTTGAGTGTCTCCTCCTTGCACTCTTCAGGTAGCACGATCCTGTATAAACCATTTTGATTTTATTATGAAACACTTCTGGGCACTGCCATCCCCATTAGAGTATTTCTCTGATATCACTGAAAACATCATGGGTATTTCAGGTTTCAAGATTATTTTATGCCCTTCGGTCATAGGGACAGCTTTAGTTTATGTTCCATAACAAGGTAGTAAATACCCTTCAAGTGGAAATTCTCTAGTCCAAAGTCCCAGGAGTCGTTGCTGGGAAGTGCTCACAGCCTTTTGCCAAAAGGCCAGGAAATGTTCAACATAGGGCTATCGAATGAAGAATTTGAACCTACTGGTATTCTATCTTCTACTCTGCACCATGTGGGCTTGGCAGACTTATAGGTTACCGTTTAGCATGTTCAATTAATAATGCTTGAAGGGCAGATTTACATGCCTTCTGTTTTACAAAACCAGGTAGGGGAAACATTCTCCAATAAGATACAGTGTTCATTCCCATGCTACAATCAGGTAAAAGAGATGCAACCACTTCACATGAGGTGTATTCAAATATACCAACTTTCAAAATCCTATCAACTCTTACATTTTTATGTCCTAGTTTCAGGAACTTCTCCATCCCTAGACCATTTTACCCACTCTTGTGCAAAAAGCTTTGGGTTCCCAGCCAGGGGTTGAGCCAAAGGACCCTGGCCCTTTTGCTTTTGGCTATCTTTATCTTTTTTTTTTTTAGACAGGGTCTCGTCCTGTCGCCCAGGCTGGAGTGCAGTGGTACAACCATGGCCCACTGCAGCCTCAAACTCCTGGGCTCAAGTGTACCTCCTATCTCAGCCTCCTGAGTAGCTGGGACTACGGGCACGTGACACCATGTCTGGCTAATTTTTTGAATTTTTTTTTTTTAATATGGGGTCTCCTTACGTTGCCCAGGCTGATCTTGAACTCCTGGCCTCAAGTGATCCTCCTGCCTCAGTCTCCCAAAGGGCTGAGATTACAGACATAGGCCACCACACAGGGCCTCAATTTACATCTTTTTTTTTTTTTGAGATGGAGTCTTACTCTGTTGTCCAGGCTGGAGTGCAGTGGTGCAATCTCGGCTCACTGCAACCTCTGTCTCCCGGGTTCAAGCCATTCTCCTGCCTCAGCCTCCCTAGTAGCTGGGATACATTTTTGTATTTTTTAGTAGAGGCGGCGTTTCACCATGCTGGCCGGGCTGGTCTTGAACTCCTGACTTCAAGTAATCTGCCCACCTCGGCCTCCCAAAGTGCTGGGATTACAGGCGTGAACCACCACACCCTGCCTTGATCTACATCTTGATTAATCTGTTTGACCGTTTCCCTAGGCAATTTCAGATCAGATTTCTCATTGTAATCTCTGCCTTCCAGATTTTTCAATTTCTCCCAGCTGGGGGAAATATAGGAAACTGGTTTGGGGCCCTTTAACATTGGGGACCAGTAAGGGTTCCCTTTGGTCCACCCAGGCTTCAAAAGTGTTGTATTAAGATCTTTGTTTTAAAGCCATCAATTTTCATTTTATTCATTCAGTTTTGAAAATAACCATTTAAAGATTTTCACCCCATGGGGATGAGTCCCATAACTTCTCCCTTTCTTTTTTTTCTTTTTTTTTTTTTTTGAGACGGAGTCTCGCTCTGTCGCCCAGGCTGGAGTGCAGTGGCGCAATCTTGGCTCACTGCAAGCTCCGCCTCCGGGGTTCACGCCATTCTCCTGCCTCAGCCTCCTGAGTAGTTGGGACTACAGGTGCCCGCCAGCACACCCAGCTAATTTTTTTTGTATTTTTAGTAGAGACGGGGTTTCACTGTGTTAGCCAGGATGGTCTCGATCTCCTGACCTCGTGATCCGCCCACCTCGGCCTCCCAAGGTGATGGGATTACAGGCGTGAGCCAACGCGCGCGGCCAACTCTCCCTTTCTTTTTCCTCTTAGTTTCATCCCATCAACCCTATCAATGTTTTCTTTCTTTTTTTTTTTGAGATAGGGTCTCACTCTGTCACCTGGGCTACAGTGCAGTTGTGTGATCACAGCTCACTGTAACCTTGACTTCCCAGGCTCAGGTGATTCTCCCACCTCAGCCTCCTGAGTAGCTGGGACTACAGGCACGTGCCACCATGCACGGCTAATTTTTAATATTTTTTTGGAGAGACAGGTTTCGCCATGTTGCCCAGGCTGGCCTCAAACTCCTGGGCTCAAGCGATCTGCTTGCCTTGGCCTCCCGAAGTGCTGGGATGACAGGCCTGAACCACAACGTCTGGCTAAATGTTTTCTTTATTCATCTTATTTCTTAATAACCGTTTAAAAATTTCAGTCTTCTTAGGATGAGTCTTTTGACTCTACCTTTTGCCTTTTCTCATTCTCTTGTTAACTAACCTTATGCTTTCATTAGCATCTCTAAGACCCATGAATGGAAGCTGAGACAGCAAATTTGAACTGCTGTTTGATTCTGCAGGAGTAAGCTTACATGGGGTGCCAGTGTAGAAGAGGCTCCTTTAACCACAGCACTTAGCATGACTTGGGTAATGGGCATCTTCAGTGGGTGAATGTCCCTGCCATCATAAAGCCAGTCCCATATGGCTTGCATATGAAGCATATGGGCTGCTTCATCTGGGGTGGTCCCCTTGGCATTTCTAGGTGGAGTTGGACAGTCCCCGCTTCTCAGGGTAAATAGATATTATAGTGGCTTTTATCCAGTCCACTGGATAAAACCAGTCCAAGGCTGGTCATTCCCTCAGAAATACATCTTTTGTGTGTCTGAATCACATATACCCATCTGCCATTGTTCAGTAGTGAGCTGTGGGTCCTGCATCAACCCAAACAGGCTCTTCCACTCCGCAGCAATTAAAACCAAAGATCCTGCTCCTAAACTACTTACTCACAGAATTCATTTTCGTAAAAGTTCCTCAGGAAGCTGATGATAAGGATCTACAAAATGGAATAATTCCTTCACACTATGCCCTCTGGTTTCAATAGTTACTTGGTTTTGCCCTCCTCCCACAGTGATTACTTTCTTGGTAAACACAAGTCTTAGAAGTACTTTCTGTTGTCTCTGCATAATTCTGCCCTGTGGGGGCAGCTTTGAGGCTGGTGGCCTAAATTCAGACTGATTGAGGTCTAAGCTGGTCTAGCACCAAGGTCTCACCCAGCATTCTCTTTTAATTTCACGTTAGCCATTACAGATAATAACCAAGGAACTGAATATTTAGCTTTTTTTTCTTATTAATTTGCATTTCCTTATGCATGTAGTCAATCAACTCCCTGGGAGTTGGAGCCATCTCTAAATTTCCCTGGTATCTTTGACTTTTAGTACCTAATCTAGGTACATACTACGTGTGTCCCTGTGGCTTCATACTATGGGTGAGCACATGGCCACCCAGGAATCAAAGGTTCCTCATCTTTCATCTTTTTGTACTTTCTTTTCCCAAACCACATGTTTCCTTGAGCCTGGATCAGCCCAGAATATCCCACTCCTGACACCAGTTGTTTAGGAAAAACCTCTCAAACTGTGTTTTTCCTCTACTGTCACACCACCATCACCACAATCACCAACATAGAAGAATGATCTGACCACGGGTATGGGTTTTCTTTTTTCCCCCCACACACTAAACAGTGGACACCAGCTGGGTGTCCTCTCATTCAATTCCAACACTACCTACCTGGAGATAGTATCAGATCTCATAGGTGGAGGGCTCAGTTCCCAAGACTGTCTCCTGAACCCTAGACACCAGTCACAACGCCAGGCCTCTGGAACTTCTGACAAGCTGGCTTCAAATTGAGGTTCCCATGATCCCCTCTTTGGGTTGGATTAATTTGCTGGAGTTATTTACAGAAATCAAGGAAACACCCATGTTGACTGGTTTGGGATACTACAAAGGATAAAGATGAAGAGATGCATAAGGTGAGATACGGAGGAAGGCTTGTGGAGCTTCCATGCCTTGGCTGGGACATTACCCTCAGGAAGCTCTGTGTATTCATGCTAGCCAGAAGCTCTCTGAATCCAGTCTTCTCAGAAGTTTTTTTTGGCTGATCTCAGCTCACTGCAACCTCTGCCTCCTGGGTTCTCCTGCCTTGGGCTCCTGACTAGCTGGGACTATAGGCACACACCACCACGCCCAGCTAATTTTTGTATTTTTAGTAGAGATGGGGTTTCACCATGTTGGTCATGGCTGGTCTCGATCTCCTGACCTTGTGATCCGCCTGCCTCGGCCTCCTGAAGTGCCGGGATTATAGGCGTGAGCCACCGCACCCAGCCAATTTTTTTAAAACTTAAAAATTAGACAGGCATGGTGGCACATGCCTGTAGTCCCAGCTACTCAGGAAGCTAAGGCAGGAGGACTGCTTAATATACTAGTCTGTTTTCATACTGCTATAAATAACTGCCTGAGACTGGGTAATTTATAAAGGAAAGAGGTTTAATTGGCTCACAATTCAGCATGGCTGGGGAGGCCTCAAGAAACTCCAATCATGGCAGAAGACAAAGGGAATGCAAGGCATCTTCTTCTTTTTTTTTTTTTATTTGAGACAGTCTCGCTCTGTTGCCCAGGCCGGAGTGCAGTGGTGTGATCTCGGCTCACTGCAACCTCCGCCTCCTGGGTTCAAGTGATACGCCTGCCTCACCCTCCCAAGTAGCTGGGACTGCAAGCGCGCACCACCACACCCAGCTAATTTTTGTATTTTTAGTAGAGACAGGTTTCACCATGTTGACTACCCTGGTCTCAAACTCCTGACCTCAACTGATCCACCTGTCTTGGCCTCCTAAAGTGTTGGGATTATAGGCGTGAGCCACTGCACACAGCTGGCATCTTTTTCACAAAGCAGCAGGAAGGAGAAATGCTGAGCAAAGGGGGAAGAGCCCCTTATATAACCATCAGATCTTGTAACAACTCACTCACTGTCATGAGAACAGCATGGAGGAAACCACTCCCACGATTCAGTCACCTCCACCTGGTCTCTCCCTTGGCATGTGGGGATTGTGGGGGTATGGGGATTATTAGGATATAATTCAAGATGAGATCTGGGTGGGGACACAAAGCCTAATCATATCACTTGAGCTGAGGAATTCAAGGCTGCAGTGAGCTATGATCGTGTGTGCCACTGCACTCCAGCCTGGAGGAGAGAGCAAGACCCTATCTCTAAGAAAATAAAATAAAAATAAATAAAATGAGGGTAATAAAAACAACTCTCTCCAGTGGTGTTGTTGGGACTAAATGAGATATAAAGAAAAAAAAACAGAAGTAAATGAGATAGTATATTTAAAGCACTTATGGGGCACGCTGCCCAGCATACCAGTGGCTGCTTGGTATTTGGGAGCTGTTGTATTGGCGGTGCCGTGATTCAGTTAGTGGTGACAGTGAGTGTCTCTAGTGCTGTGTTATGGGGCTCTGTCCTGACCAACAACATGGCTGGTGGAGTTGAAGTTGCAAGGGACAGCCAGATCTAAATTTAGAGTGAGAGAAAACAGTGAGCCATAGAACCAGCATCCACAACAATTTCGACAGGCTGGAATAAGCAAGATGACATTGTTCTGTTGTGAGCCTCAAGACATTACAGAAAGCAGAGGATCGGGGAGAGACCTGACTTGACCCCAACTCCGGTGAAAAGGATCTGAATGATTTAGTTGACCACAACCTGATGGGAACTAATCATGGGAGAGAAAGGCTCTGAAGCCCAGCAGTCTTAGGCTGCATTAACAATGTGTCGCATCCAGACTGGAAAAAATAATAGGCCTATTGTGCTGGCTTGGTCAGGCCATATCTGGAATCTTGCGTTGCTACACTGACAGACTGGAATCAGGCCAGGAGGGGGACCAGCCCAGCTTCAGCTCCCAGGCACTTGTGCTAAATGCTTCCTGTGCATTTTCTTGTTTCATCCCCAAAACAAATCTATTAGGTAGCTACTATTAATTTTTTTTTTTTTTTGAGACAAGAGTCTTTGTCTGTCACCCAGGCTGGAGTGCAGTGGCACGATCTCGGCTCACTGCAACCTCCGCCTCCTGGGTTCAAGCGATTCTTCTGCCTCAGCCTCCTGAGTACCTGGGACTACAGGTGTGCCCCACCACACCCGGCTTATTTTTGTATTTTTAGTTGAGACAGGGTTTCACCATATTGGCCAGGCTGGTCCGGAACTCCTGACTTCGTGATCCACCCACCTCAGCCTCCCAAAGTGCTGGGATTACAGGCGTGAGCCAGGGTGCCTGGCCAGTAGCTACTATTAATATCACCATTTTACACAGGGAGGTTAACTGAGTTGTTCAGAGTCAGCCGCACAGCTAGTAAATGGAGACACTTAGGGCTTTTCCTAATGGGTTTCTGTGTGCTTGTACCTTAGCAGGGGAAGACTGAACATTCATTCACTGAACACAATAATTCAGGCCCTAAGCTAGTTGGTGGGGACACAGAAGTGAAAAAGATGCGGTTCCTACCTGAGGAGCTCATTGTCAACCGGGGGATACAGATCACTTGTGGTATGGTGTGACTGTGGGAGAGAAGATTTGGGGGCTGCAAGGGAGCTTAGCTAACCAAGCCTGGAGAGGGGAAAAGAGACAGAACAGTGTCACACAGCTTGGAGTAATGGGGCCAGCCATTCCCTTTCCACAGTATTCAGTGCCTCACTTTGGCTCTCTTCTGCTCAGCAATGGCCAAGAGCTGTGTGCCCAGATGGGATCTGCTGGCGTATGAGGGAGCATGGTGTGACCATCCTGGGGCAGATAGACCTTATCTCTCCTCCCTGCAATCAGAGATTTAAAGAAAGGAAGAAGGAGGCTGACATTAAGGAGCACAGGAACCGGGTGGGTAGCCTTTGAGAGTTCCAGCAGCCCCTTCACTAATCAGAGAACTGGAAAGACCGGGGTGACATTGACATAAGGGACTCAGAGGTGGAACTAAAGACTGTTCTTTTCTGGCATCCGTGCCTGCCTTCTGTTCCAAACTAATGCCCTCCCATCTTCTTTTGAGGACCACATTTCTGGGCATTCTCTTTTTCAAAACTTTCCCTGTTTCAACCCTCAGTGCCTCTGGAGCCATGTATCTCCCAGGGCTTCTTGTTGGGAGACACATACACCCCATTCTGCCGTCTGTAATTTATGCTAAGAGGGATAGAGCAGGGCTGTTGAGAGCAACTGCTTTGGTATCGGACAAAACCTTTCAGGCCTGGCTCTGCTACATAACAGTTGCTTCACTTCTCCAAGTTTCCCCTTCCTGTGCTGTAAAATGGGGATAATAATAGTACCACCCTCACTTGGTGGTTTTTGAGGGCCGAAAGAGATCATATTAAGCATGGAGGAAGCTATCCATAAAAAGGCCACTGTTGTCATAGTGTACTAGCGGGCGTAGCCCCGGCTTCTCTCCACGACTTGGGAGCTCCCTTCTGGCAGGGGCAGCCACTGGATTGCCTCATCTTTCTCCCCATTGCCCGGATGCCAAGGGCAGGACGGGGGAATGGTGTGTCTTCGGGGATGAGAGAGAGGCATCAGGAGGGAAAGTGTCAGCGTACGTCCTCTAGGCTTGAAGAAGGAGAGAGGCCCTGACTCCAGATTTTAAAGTGGGCTTCAGAGCCCCTACCTTTCCTAGGCCTGGGGCTCAGAAGTCATGGGTGGTAGGCCCGACTCGGGGAGAGTCGGACCTTGGGGACCTCGGGGACCTCGGGCAGATCGGGGACCCCGGGCAGATCACTTTCAGCCTGGGGCCTCGGTTTCCTCGCGCGTGTCTGGGAGGTCTCGCGGCCTGCTTCTCGGATTGCTAGGAGCCAGCGCAGGCAGATGCCGGTTCCGGGGCTTGGAGAACGTGGCTCGGTGGCACAGAGCCGCCGGGCGAGGCGGGGGCAGGGAGGCGGGCGACGGGATTGGCTGGAGGCGGGGCAGCGGGGCTCGGGGATTGGCCGCAACCGAGAGGGCTGGGCAGAACTATAAGAGGCGCGGAGGGGGCGTGCAGCAGAGTGCGTTCCTCGTCTGCCAGCCGGCTTGGCTAGCGCGCGGCGGCCGTGGCTAAGGCTGCTACGAAGCGAGCTTGGGAGGAGCAGCGGCCTGCGGGGCAGAGGAGCATCCCGTCTACCAGGTCCCAAGCGGCGTGGCCCGCGGGTCATGGCCAAAGGAGAAGGCGCCGAGAGCGGCTCCGCGGCGGGGCTGCTACCCACCAGCATCCTCCAAAGCACTGAACGCCCGGCCCAGGTGAAGGTGAGGGCCCGGCACCCCGCGTGGAGGGCGAGGGGAGGGAGGAGGCGGAAATGGGGGATCAGGGGCGTCCCGGGGTCGGCCTGGTCAGGGGACCATTGGGATAGCCAGGGACAGGAAGCCTACGAGCCAGAGAGGACCTGGGGGTGCCCTGGGACAGGGGGTGACGGAGAAAAGCTGTGGGCGCCCTCGCCCCCCTTTGCTCACCCGCACTCCACGCTCTGCGGAGAGGCTCTGCCGGCAGCCCCATGTGATTCCCCGCTCTGCCTAGCCGGTTTCCATTCTTCCGTGTTGAGCGGCTGGGGCTTGCCGCCCCAAACCCCAGAGATGACCCCAGAAATCTGGGAAACTCCCCTTGGTTCCCCATCTCTCATCCCCTACCTCCCACTCCACCCACCTACTCTTGCGCCTCAACTCTGCTGTTAGGGCCGCTCAAGTTCATTCATAAGAACAAGAGCTCTGCTCTTAAAGGAGCCGCGTCCCTCAGGCATTTGTCTGAATGTGGATGTTCGCGCGGGAACGGTGCTTTGCGCATCGAGACCATCGACCACATCCCCAGCCCTGGGGACTTATTGAAGGACCAAATAAAATGAGGCGGCCCCCTAGGAAAGGATCTCAGGCAATAGATACCTTCGTGGGAGGTGACTGCCTTTTCCTTTTAATTTTATTAACTGATCTTTGGAAGGAGCTGGGTGAGCAATTATGCTGTTACTATGTATGAGTAATATCTACTTTCCCTGGGCAACCCAACCTCCCTAGTGCCCCACCCGGAGAGGGATCAGGCCTGAACCTGGAGGCCTTTCCTCCCGTCTCCAAGGTCCTCTAGGAGCTCAGGGGTGGAGGGCGATGGGTCGGGAAGCTGGAGAGTAGGACAGTTCCTGGGTCCGCCTGAAGCTCTGGCTGCCTATAGTGGTCAGGGATGCTCTGGGATAGGTGGAACAGCTGCGCCTGCAGCCAGCTGGGCCGGGCCCCCGTAGCTCTCTAGAGCTCTCACCAGGAGTAGGCAGGTGGATCCTGTCTCTGAGGCAGGGTGGGAGCCTGGGCTGGGCTCAGGCAGCTCTTGGCAGCAAGCGGATTTTCAGGTTGTGGCAGCTGGTGCCGGGTGGGGACAGGTCGGCTGCTGGAGCATGCTCCCCCTGAAACCTGGAAAGGAGCAGTGCCTGAGGCCTTGGGAGGAGTTCTTTAGGGATGGTGGGCTGATAAGTTTCCTTAGAATCTCCAGGAGGGAGGTGGCTTAGGGGCTACTTTCACACAAGTATGGATTCCCCTTTTCCATGTTCCTAAGAATGGAGAACACCTTTCTTTTGTATAAAGTGGGATCTCGGAGATCGAGACCATGCTGGCTAACATGGTGAAACCCCGTCTCTACTTAAAATACAAAAAATTAGCTGGGTGTGGTAGTGGGTGCCTGTAGTCCCAGCTACTTGGGAGGCTGAGGCAGGAGAATGGCGTGAACCCAGGAGGCGGAGCTTGCAGTGAGCCGAGATGGCACCACTGCACTCCAGCCTGGGCAACAGAGCAAGACTCTGTCTCAAAAAAAAAAAAAAAAAAAAAAAAAAAAAAGGTGGGATCTCCTGGATAGGAACAGGTCAAAGCAGAGTTGTTTGTTCTGGTAGAGCTGGCCAGAGGGATGGTCCTTCCTGTGGAACCTTCTTGGATGGAGGCCAGAACCTTGGGCCTTTCATCTTTTCCTCCTCTTCCCAGAAAGAACCGAAAAAGAAGAAACAACAGTTGTCTGTTTGCAACAAGCTTTGCTATGCACTTGGGGGAGCCCCCTACCAGGTGACGGGCTGTGCCCTGGGTTTCTTCCTTCAGATCTACCTATTGGATGTGGCTCAGGTGAGTGGTCTAAGCCTTCGAGGGCTCCTTCAGCATCCTGAGGTGGGAAAGACTATGCACCCCTGGGTCAGTTCGCTCAGTTTTCCCCATCTGTGAAATGGGACCCCAAATCACTACTTTGCTGCCTCTGAGTCAGTGAGCAAGAAATGAGAAGACCCTGGAAAGTATCCAGTAAAGGAGTGTCTCCACTCCAGGAGTCTTTGCTGGAAAGGTCTGGCAACTCCTCCTTGCCTGGCATGAGCAACAGAGCCTGAAGGGGTAGGCGGTAGAATGAGGGAGAATGGGGCCTGCTGGGGATGCTGTTCTTAGAAGAGACTGGCACACTGTGTTCCTGGCTGGGAGATAGTCAGCTGGCTTGACTCAGGGGTTGGTGGCTGTTGCCAGGCTTGTGGATGAGATGCATCCCACCTTTACCTGAGGAGCAGAAGGGCACTTAGGTGCCAGGCTAAGTTAGAATGCCCCAGTACACAGGGTCTTTGACTGGGAGGGGTACTTAGGGTGAAACAGGACTATTCTGTGCATTGAGAAGCCTTGGCCAGAAGCCTGGCATCCTGAGAATTCACCCTGTCTGGATGGGAGAGTGGGAGGCAGAATAGCCATGACTACCGGGGCTCCTGCACCAGCTGTCTTCTCTGTGTAGCATCTAACTTGGCAAGCATCGCATCTTAGTTGTATCCATTTACAGAGGGGGAACACTGAACTCCAGAAGGAACAAAAAACTTCAGCAGCTAATTTTTGAGTAACTCCCATGGGCTGGGCCTTGGGTGGGGTGTAAATATGAGGAACCTGCAGTCAAAGTGTAAACCTGTTGTAGTGGGTGTTAGAGCTGGGGTTGGGGGGTTAGACTAGGGAGACTATGGTATGGGGAAGAATACCCACTCCCCAGAGAAATAGCAATAGCAGGGCTTTGATGGATAAGGAGGAGTCTGGAGAGTCTGTATTTAGGGCCTGGGGGGTTTTGGGGCGGGGAGGGGGATAACTTGAGTGGGTAGTGACAAGTCCCTTTTTAAAAAGCATCTATAGGCTCCTTTTTCCACATCCAAGATAGAGCTTGAACCTGTAAGGTAGAGCTCATAACTCCCATTATACAGATGGGAACACTGAAGCACACTGTGTTCACCCCGTGAATGCTCATTCTGATATCAGGTGGTCAGGAGCTCAGGGCTGAGAGAGGGAGGGAAGGAAATGTTTGTGGATTCATTTGAATTGATGGGAATGTTTTCAAGGGCAGTGGAGGGAAGCAATTAAGGAGACAGAGCTGGGAAAGCTTCTAAGGAGGCACCCAGTGCTACTGTTATTGGAGAAATGCTATTGTCATTATTAACAAGGCAAGTGAAGATGTGTAAGGTCCATGTGGGAGCAGCTCAGGGTCACAAGATCCTGGCTGAGATAGGGAGGGAGCCTCTGCTTCTGCCTACCAGTGAGAGTTGAGGCGAGTAGAAGGATGAGGAAGTTGTCTTTTGCTTCTCCTCATTCCAGGTGGGCCCTTTCTCTGCCTCCATCATCCTGTTTGTGGGCCGAGCCTGGGATGCCATCACAGACCCCCTGGTGGGCCTCTGCATCAGCAAATCCCCCTGGACCTGCCTGGGTCGCCTTATGCCCTGGTGAGTAGAATATGCCCCTTCGAGGTGGCACAAGGCAGGACTTCCAGCATATCTGCTCCTTGGTCCTTCTCTCTGTCTTGTCACAGGCAGAAGGGTGAGGAGAAGGAAGGAGTTAAAAGCCCAAGGGTGTTGAAACCCCATCCGAGGCATCAGCTACCCTGAGCACGGGCACTGGCATGCTCAGCCAGTTCATTTCCAGGACAGCCAAAGTGCTAGGCTGGGCAGCTCAGGCCTCATTCCTCCCCAGGGTCCACTCATTCCCCTTGGTGAAGCTGGAATTCTGAATTCTCCCACTCTATCACTTCCTGCAGTGGCCGAGGTAGTACTTAAGAGTGGTTAAGCAGTTGTACTCTGGAGCCAGCCTGCCTGGGCTTATTTTATTATTTTTATCTTTCTTTCTCTTTCTTTCTTTCTATCTTTCTTTCTTTTTTTTTTTTTTAGAGACAGGGTCTCGCTCTGTCACCCAGGCTGGAGTGCAGTGGTGTGATCATAACTCACTGCAGCCTAGAACTCCTGGGCTCAAGTGATCTTCCCACCTCAGCCTCTCGAGTAGCTGCGACTACAGGCACGTGCCACCACACCTGGCTAATCTTTTAAAATTATTATTTGTAGAGACAGCGTCTCACTATATTGCCTAGGCTGGCCTTGAACTCCTGGGCTCAAGGTGTCCTCCCGCCTCAGCCTCCCAAAGTGTTAGGATTACAGGTGTGAGCCACCATGCCCGGCCCCTGTCTGGGTTGAAATCCCAATTTCCCTACTTAGAGCTGAGTCACTTCACATCTCTGAGTCTCAAGTTTCTTCATCTAAAATGGGGATAATAGTTATACCTATCTCACACTCACAGAGTTGTGGTGGATTAATTTTTTTTTTTGACGTTCTTAGAACAGTGCCTGACTTAATTCTACTTCATAAGGTTGATGTAATTTTGAGACTTAAATAAGTTGATACTAAAATACCAAGCAGTGTCTGGGACACTAAGTGCTATGATGACCACTTCAGGGAAGCTCAGCAGGAGAGCTGGCATGTGGTCCCTAGTACAGGCCACACCAGGGGAACTGCAGAATCCTGGGCTGGGAATTAGACTTCAGGCCCAGCCTGCTGCATCTCTACCTCCATGTGGGACCCTCCAACAGCACAGTGATAAATAATTTGGCACCCCTTCAGGGTGGCTCCTGGCAGAGCAGGGGATGGGGTAATACCCGGAATGGGGTAGCAAACCCATAACCTTTGGCACCTTGGATGACGTAAATTACCTTCTCCCTTGGTACAAAGCCTGTGCTACTCAGCTTCAGGGGCAAAGTAGGCGGAGGTGGTGCCACGGATCGGATCAGACGGCAGGGGAGACGCACAGGATAGGCTGTCAGGCGGGGGCTCTGGTTCCCTCCAGGACATCCTGCTTCAGGGTGTGGGGGGGCATACCCCTTTCATCTCCAGCCCATCCAGGCTTAAGTGGGCGCCTTCCTGCCCCAGGGGCGCCCATACCTGGCCTCCGGCCTTCAAAGCTCTTCCCGCAACCCCTTCCCCCACTACAGCTTCCTTTCCCACGAGGCCCCCCACCCACCCCAATCCTGCCAGCCCCTGGCTAAGGCCCAGGTTGGAGCCTTTGATCCAGTCTTCAGGGCCGGGGGCAGGACAGCCTGCCTTACCTGTGCAGGCTGCTCAGGGCTCCCCCGGCGCCAGCCCGTGAGACTTGGCCCTGTGCCCGCCTCCCTGGCAGCCAGTAGAAGGGGAGGCTCTGCTGCCACGTCGCCTCATGAGGCCCAGCCAATGGGAGGCAGCCGCTCCCAGGGATGGTGGCTGCAGGCCGGGTTACTCCCAGTTACACTGGGTTCCTCAGCAGCAGCTGCTCAGCTGCTTATGAGCAGAGGATGGAGTGTTTGACAAAGGCTGATGAGGAGCTCTTGTTCCCTGAGGAGACAGAGTCAAGAGAGGTGGAGGTGGGCAGGCCTTCCCTGTGGCATGTAGGAACTGAGCAACTTCCTGGGCAGGCGTGGCAGCCAGTTTGGGGAAGTTGCTGGGGGCCCTTCAGGCTGGTTTCTGATCTAGCAGGTGCCTGTGTGCACATGCTTCTGTGGCTGGTGGTGCCTGTGTATGCCTGCACGCGGGATGGCTCGTGGGCTGAAGGCTGGTGTGCATATGACCTCCCTGTCCAAACTTTTTTTCCTTTTTGTGGTGAATGGGGTCTGGCTATGTTGCTCAGGCTGGTCTCAAACTCCTGGGCTGGAGCTATTCTCCTGCCTCTGCCTCCCTAAGTGCTGGGATTAAAGGCATGAACATCACCATGCCTGGCCAGACCTCTCCATCCATACCACCTGACCCCTCCTCAGGCCAGGCCTGGAGACCTGGAACCCCCTTTCCTTTCAGTGTAGGAAGAAACTGGGTCTGTCAGGGTTTGTGAACCCTGTAGCTCTCTCTCCTCCTGGGCCTCAGGGCAACCCCTGCTTTAAGCCTACATTTAAATCCTCTTCTTGAAACCAGGAAGACTTTTCTTCCCGCCCCCGCCCCCCCCCCCCCCCCCCCGCTTTTTTTGTTTGTTTGTTTGAGACAGAGTCTCGCTCTGTCGCCCAGACTGGAGTGCACTGGCGTGATCTCAGTTCACAGCAAGCTCCACCTCCTGGGTTCACGCCATTCTCCTGCCTCAGCCTCCTGAGTAGCTGGGACTACAGGCGCCCGCCACCATTCCCAGCTAATTTTTGTATTTTTAGTAGAGACGAGGTTTCACCGTGTTAGCCAAGATGGTCTCGATCTCCTGACCTTGTGATCTGCCCGCCTCGGCCTCCCAAAGTGCTGGGATTACAGGCGTGAGCCACTGCACCTGGCCCTTTTCCTTTTTTCTGATTAAAAACAAAAAACAAAAAAACACATATATAGAGATGGGGTCTTGTTATGTTGCCCAGGCTGTTCTTAAACTCCCAGCCTCAAGCAATACTCCTGCCTCGGCCTCCCAAAGTGCTGGGATTACAGGCGTGAGCCACCATTCCTGGCCAAACCAGAAAGACTTTGATAGTCACTTTGCCTGGAGTTCTCAAGGCCAGTGTGTGAGAGACCAGATGTCAAGCAGGGTCCCATGGGGAGGCTGCAACAGCTGGACCTGAGGTCTCCTTCCCAGCCCAGGGCTTTCTACAGCTCCCCTGGTGTGGCCTGCATTAGTTACGCATGCCAACTCTCCTGCTGAGCTTCCCTGATGTGATCATTATAGCACTTAGTGTCCCAAACACTGTTTGACATTTTAGTATCAACCAAGTCTCAAAGTTACTTCAATCCTGTGAACTAGAGCCAAGGCACCTCCAGTGGCCTTTCAGAAGTTCCATTTCCACTCCCGCCTCATCTCCTAATTCTATCTCCCCGTTCTCTTTACTCGAGCCCTCCTGGCCTTGCCCTTCCTTAGGCCTGATACGCACCTATCTGAAGACCTTTGCACTGACTATTCCCTTTGCCCGGTCCACTCTTGCCTCAGATGTCTAAAAGGCCAACTCCCTCCTCTCATTCAGGCCTTTGGCATGGATGCCACCTTCTCAGTAAGGCCTACCCTGTCCACCCATTTGTGAATTGCACCCTTATTCTAACCTTCTGGAGCCAGCTTTATTTCTTTTCTTCACAGCACTCATCTCCCAACATGTTATATAACCCTTTTGTAAAACTACGGTAAAGTATATGTAACATAAAATTTACCATAACCTTTAAAAAATGTTTACGAGCTTCTTCTCCGAGAAAACACCAAATGGCGGATGACACTGGTGCAGCGGGGGGGCCTGGAGGCCCTGGTGGCCCTGGGATGGGGAACTCTGGTGCCTTCCGCGGAGGTTTCGGCAGTGGCATCCGGGGCCGGGGTCATGGCCGTGGACGGGGCCCGGGCCGAAGCTGCGGAGCTTGCTGAGGCAAGGCCGAGGATAAGGAGTGGATGCCTGTCACCAAGCTGGGCCGCTTGGTGAAGGACATGAAGATCAAGTCCCTGCAGGAGATCTATCTCTTCTCTCTGCCCATTAAGGGATCTGAGATCATTGACTTTTTCCTGGGGGCCTCTCTCAAGGATGAGGTTTTGAAGATTATGCCAGTGCAGAAGCAGACCCGTGCCGGCCAGCGCACCAGGTTCAAGGCGTTTGTTGCTATCGGAGACTACAATGGCCATGTCGGTCTGGGTGTTAAGTGCTCCAAGGAGGTGGCCACCGCCATCCGTGGGGCCATCATCCTGGCCAAGCTCTCCATTGTCCCCGTGCGCAGAGGCTACTGGGGGAACAAGATCAGCAAGCCCCACACCGTCCCTTGCAAGGTGACAGGCCGCTGCGGCTCTGTGCTGGTGCGTCTCATCCCTGCACCCAGGAGCACTGGCATCGTCTCCACACCTGTGCCCAAGAAGCTGCTCATGATGGCTGGTATCGATGACTGCTACACCTCAGCCCGGGGCTGCACTGCCACCCTGGGCAGCTTTGCCAAGGGCACCTTTGATGCCATCTCTAAGACCTACAGCTACCTGACCCCCGACCTCTGGAAGGAGACTGTATTCACCAAGTCTCCCGATCAGGAATTCACTGACCACCTCATCAAGACCCACCAGGCTCCAGCTGTGGCTACAACATAGGGTTTTTATACAAGAGAAGTAAAGTGAATTAAGCCTGTTAAAAAAAAAATGTTTACGAGACAGAGTCTTGCTATGTTGCACAGGCTGGACTCAAACTCCTGGGGAAAAGCAATCCTCTTGCCTCAGTTTCCCAAGTAGCTGGGATAACAGGCATGTGCCACTGCCATTACAGCCATTTTTAAGTGTACAGTTCAGTGGCATTAAATACATTCACTTTGGTTTTTTTGTTTTTGTTTTTGGTACAGTAGGGATACAAACCTGTCGGTTCTCTAATATTTCTTTTTTGGGCAGTGCAGTTTTAACATTCCACATTAAGGATGTAATAATCAAGGAGTTTGTTTGTTTGTTTGAGACAGGGCCTCACTCCGTCACCAGGCTGGAGTGCAGTGGTGCGATCTCGGCTCACTGCAACCTCTGCCTCCCGGGTTCAAGTGATTCTCCCGCTTCAGCCTCCCGAGGAGCTGGGACTACAGGTGTGCGCCACCATGCCTGGTTAATTTTTGTATTTTTAGTAGAGACGGAGGTTTCGCCATGTTGGGCAGGCTGGTCTTGAACTCCTGACCTCAGGTGATCCACTTGACTCAGTCTCCCAAAGTGCTGGGATTACAGGCATGAGCCACTGCGCCTAGCCTAAGTACATTCACTTTGTCGCCACCATCACCACCATCCATCCATTACATCCTTCCAAAGCGAAATTATGCAATATTTATCTTTTTGTGTCTTGCTGATTTTCCTTGGCTTAATGTCTACAAGGTTCATCTATGTTGTAGCATGTGTCAGAATTTTATTCCTTATGAAGGTTGAATGGTATATATAACTTTTAAATTATGTCAACTTTTCTGTTTGCCAACTAGTATGTAAGTTCCACAAGGGCAATGATTTTTTATCTGTTCTCTAGTTATCCTAAGTAATTAGAATAGCGCCCAGCCCATAGCTGGAACTTATGAGGAAATGAGGAAACGAGCTTCAGATAATTTAAATAACTTCCCAAGACTAAGTTTTATAGTTAGTTGGTGGAGCTAGAATGGAATCCCTGAAGAGTGGCTCAAAGGCCTTTCTCTTTACCATGGCCTGTGCTGCCTTGCTATACTGATGCCATGAAGTTAGTCCATCCTGAGGTCTAACCCCTTTTGATGGTGTGGAACTCACATGGGGAAGGCGGACATTTGCCCACCTGGGCCTTCAACTCCTTCACTTGGAGCTGGCCTCTCCCCATCATGCCAGCTTCCCTGTGTGTGAATGGGTGTGTGTGTGTGTGTGAATGGGGTGTGTGAAGTGTGTATGTGAATGGGGGTGTGTGTGAATGGGGTGTGTGTGTGTGAATGATGTGTGTGTGAATGAGGTGTGTGTGAATGGGGTGTGTGTGTGTGTGAATGAGGTGTGTGTGTGAATGGGGTGTGTGTGTGAATGGGGTGTGTGTGTGCGGTTGATGACTATCCGTGTGAGAACACGGGAGTTGGGGCTGCTCCTTCTCTTTGCCTCCTTGCCCAGGCACCTGAGGTCTTGGACTCCTGTCCTAACTCTCAGCCCATTAGAGGCTGCTGCCTCTGGACTAGACTCAGGCTCTGACCTCACACTCCATGCCTAGGATTTCAGTCTGGGGTCCCAGTTCCCATCTGCCATTCCGGGCTTGGTCATCAGCCTCTTCCCAGAGGCCCAGGATGGGTGGATTTGGCAGGAGTATGGGGAAGGAAGGAAGAGCTTAGCTTCCTTCCCTGTGGGGACCCTGTGAGGCACAGCAGACTGGGCTGGGCCTGGTCCTGGGCTCCAGCCTCCAGCCTCCACTCACACCCTCCTCTTCCTCAGGATCATCTTCTCCACGCCCCTGGCCGTCATTGCCTACTTCCTCATCTGGTTCGTGCCCGACTTCCCACACGGCCAGACCTATTGGTACCTGCTTTTCTATTGCCTCTTTGAAACAATGGTCACGGTGAGTGTGGGTACCTCCCTTGGGTGTCTCTAGGGGCCGGGAGGAGGGCGGTCCTTGGGGCCCCCAGGGTTGGTACTGGAAGCTACATCAGTGTGTCCACCCGCCTGACCAGCCAATGACCTGTCTTCTATGCCAGTGTTTCCATGTTCCCTACTCGGCTCTCACCATGTTCATCAGCACCGAGCAGACTGAGCGGGATTCTGCCACCGCCTATCGTGAGTCTCCCCAGCCCACCTGACCCCACCCTCCAGGGACCCTCCAGCCATACTTCTTCCCTTGCGGGTCCAGCTCTTTGCTCTGCTCTAGAGTGTGGGTGTGAAACCATCTTAAAAATAACTCAATCCCCTTATTGCTCAGATGAGACCTGGAGAGGTGCATATGCGTTCAAACCAAGGTGTCACCTACCCCACTACCTCTACCCACCCTGCCTGGAGCTACCGCTGGGCTCCCACCCATTTGACCTTCCTCCCTGGGCCCACAATCCATGAGGCCCCTCCAAAACACCTCCTTTTCTCCTGCCAGGGATGACTGTGGAAGTGCTGGGCACAGTGCTGGGCACGGCGATCCAGGGACAAATCGTGGGCCAAGCAGACACGCCTTGTTTCCAGGACCTCAATAGCTCTACAGTAGCTTCACAAAGTGCCAACCATACACATGGCACCACCTCACACAGGGAAACGGTGAGGCCCTGGGCAGGGCAGGGATTTGGGGAGATAAGGAACAGTGAGGTGGTTTGTAGTCATCCTAAAGATAGTAACAGCTAGTGTTTATTAAATAAATGTTGGGCATTTGATATACATAACAATTAATGCACCCAATATACCTACTTTGCAGAAAAAGAAACTGAAGCTTAGAGAGGCTGAATAAGTTGCCCAGAGTCATAAAGTTAGTGAATTGCAGAGATTTGGGAAGATTTGAATTCTGGGCTGTCAGACTCTGCAGCCTGGTTTCTGTTTTTTTCCTTTTATTATTATTTGTAGAGACGGGGTCTTGCCAAGTTGCCCAGGCTGGTTTCAAACTCCTGGGATTACAGGTGTGAGGGCTGCACTCAACCAGCCTGGTTTCTGAGCATGTTGTGAATCTTAACTGTCCAGCCTTGGGAAGCAACAGCAGGCCCAGGATGATCCTCCCATTTCACACATGGAGACAGTACGCTCCCAGAGGGGAGGGGACTGGCCCAAGATCATTGAGTGGGGCTGCTGGAACTGGGGTGCTGGGATGAGCTCAAACTGACCATCCTTGTATGTCGCCTTCACCTCCTTATAGCAAAAGGCATACCTGCTGGCAGCGGGGGTCATTGTCTGTATCTATATAATCTGTGCTGTCATCCTGATCCTGGGCGTGCGGGAGCAGAGAGGTAAGGGGGTGCCTGGGAAGGGGTGCAGGCCTCAGCATGGACAGCTGTATCTTTCTGCCTGGCCCTCAGGCTTTGGGAGGGGTCTCTGCTCCTTCCTCACTGTCCGCTCTGGCCCCCAGAACCCTATGAAGCCCAGCAGTCTGAGCCAATCGCCTACTTCCGGGGCCTACGGCTGGTCATGAGCCACGGCCCATACATCAAACTTATTACTGGCTTCCTCTTCACCTCCTTGGCTTTCATGGTGAGTGGGTTCTGACATGCTCAGCCTGAGAAGGAGGTGTAATGGGAGCGGGGTGAGCAGAGGTCTCTGGGGCTTGGGGGATGTCTTGGGGAGGCTCAGCCCCAACATCACCTCCTTCCTTGCATTTCCTTCCCTACCTTGCTCCATGCCCAGCTGGTGGAGGGGAACTTTGTCTTGTTTTGCACCTACACCTTGGGCTTCCGCAATGAATTCCAGAATCTACTCCTGGCCATCATGGTGAGTGGGACCTGAGCAGGGGCGGGCAGCCTGGGCTGAGGTGACATAGGCTGTGGAATGGTTCTTGGAATAGGCAGAGGATGTTTCTCAGGCTGGCCCAAGGTCATGAAAGGATGAGGGAGGCTTCTCAGGGTATTTGGTTGGACCTTGCGAAGGTAGGACTGTGAAAGAAAGAGTTTGAGGTTAGATGTTTGAGTAGTGAGCACAGCAAAAGCAAGGGCGAGGACACCAGGAACTTGGCTCAGAGGTTTGAGAGGGCAGCAGACAAGGTGGGCCTGGACCAGCTCTGAGCTCCCCTGGGGAGCCGTCAAAGGTGCCTGTCATCTTCGTTGCTGCCCACATGATGTCATCTGGCTGCTCTTGGGCAGGGCTGGGAGCCACTTTGGGGTTCTGGGAAGGGCAGGAGGGGCTCTGTGGCTCTAAAGCACCTCCCTTTAACCCCCTTTGTCCATCCACAGCTCTCGGCCACTTTAACCATTCCCATCTGGCAGTGGTTCTTGACCCGGTTTGGCAAGAAGACAGCTGTATATGTTGGGATCTCAGTGAGTGGGGTTGAAGAGCAGAGCCTGGGTTGAGTTGGGATGTCTGGTGGGAACCTCCCAGCTGATTCATCTTCCTGCACCCCCTTCCCTAGTCAGCAGTGCCATTTCTCATCTTGGTGGCCCTCATGGAGAGTAACCTCATCATTACATATGCGGTAGCTGTGGCAGCTGGCATCAGTGTGGCAGCTGCCTTCTTACTACCCTGGTAGGTATATACAGGCCCCCCTCCTCGGGTATCTCCAGCCCCTAGTCCCCAGTTTTGAAGCTCCTTAGGGAGAGTTCTATGCAGTGTTCTCCCACAGGCCATTCTGTGGGTCCAGGTTAGGAGTGGGGGAGGTCTGTCCTGTACAGTTGTACAGGTAGTGAGCTTTGCAAGAACACCTAGTCAGAGTGAAAAATGGGGGCTGTAATCTGGCCTGGGCTCCACTTGCCACGCTGAGCACCTCCAGGCAGGGTTACTTCCTCTTAGAGCAAGAGGCCTTTTCTTATTCATGTGAAGGTCCCATATCCTCACTGAGCTGTGTACCCATGGTAC
The DNA here is from genome assembly GCF_000001405.40 of Homo sapiens. Classification (NCBI taxonomy): domain Eukaryota; kingdom Metazoa; phylum Chordata; class Mammalia; order Primates; family Hominidae; genus Homo; species Homo sapiens. Next base: position 39,968,247 of record NC_000001.11, read on the forward strand.
TGCAAGCTTCCAGAGGGCCACCTCTTCTCATTAACACAGAGGCCCGTTAGGTGGGTCAGTCCTCATGGCTGTCACTACTCTGCGCAGGTCCATGCTGCCTGATGTCATTGACGACTTCCATCTGAAGCAGCCCCACTTCCATGGAACCGAGCCCATCTTCTTCTCCTTCTATGTCTTCTTCACCAAGTTTGCCTCTGGAGTGTCACTGGGCATTTCTACCCTCAGTCTGGAGTGAGTGGGGTGGGGACCTGGGGCAGGACTGGGCAGGGCCAGGCCCCAGGTGCCCCATCTTCACCGTTCTCCTACCCCCTGGGTCCCATAGCTTTGCAGGGTACCAGACCCGTGGCTGCTCGCAGCCGGAACGTGTCAAGTTTACACTGAACATGCTCGTGACCATGGCTCCCATAGTTCTCATCCTGCTGGGCCTGCTGCTCTTCAAAATGTACCCCATTGATGAGGAGAGGCGGCGGCAGAATAAGAAGGCCCTGCAGGCACTGAGGTGAGTGGGGAGGGGACAGGATGCTGGAGGAGGGGACGTCACTGTGTCTAAACCCTCAATTTGTGTCTCCTGTGGCCAAGTCCAGACTCACCCCCCACACATCTTCTCTGGACAGCTGTAACACTTAAGTACGCACCAGGCACTGTGTTAAGTGGTCTTACCTTTATTCAACAAATACATACTGGCTGCCTACTATGTGCTAGGCATTGACTGCTCTAGTGAACAAGACAAAAATCTCTGTCCTTAAGGAGCCTGTTATAGGACGTGTGTATCCATCACCTCCCATACCCCTCCAACAACCCTAAGTATCAGGTTCTTAGGGTTCCCCCTCTGCAGGTGAAGAAGTTGAGGTTTCAGCAGGAAGAGTACCTGGCCCAGCTGAAAGGGGCGGAGCTGGGGTTTGAGCCTCAGCATTCCGGCTCCAGAGACTGCACTCTTCATCAGCCTCCTGGCATATAGGACCTCGAGTGTGGCCTGACCCTGCATCTGGGGAAACCAGTGGGCAGGCTGGAGTGAGTCATGCCAGCCCGTCAGCCAGCCCAGGCGAGAGTGTAGATCTAGGGTTTGCAGTACCCTGTGTGCAGCAAGGACAGTAAACAGACCAACCAACAGTTGAAAGTGGGAGTGAGCAAACTCTGTGTCCCGCGGTTCACTTTAGTCCGACAGCAGGGCCAAGATCACGTGAGGAAGGAGGCAGGTGGGGCTGAGGAGGGGTAAGGATGGATGCTTCCTCCAACCCATCTCCTCTCTCTCTTGCAGGGACGAGGCCAGCAGCTCTGGCTGCTCAGAAACAGACTCCACAGAGCTGGCTAGCATCCTCTAGGGCCCGCCACGTTGCCCGAAGCCACCATGCAGAAGGCCACAGAAGGGATCAGGACCTGTCTGCCGGCTTGCTGAGCAGCTGGACTGCAGGTGCTAGGAAGGGAACTGAAGACTCAAGGAGGTGGCCCAGGACACTTGCTGTGCTCACTGTGGGGCCGGCTGCTCTGTGGCCTCCTGCCTCCCCTCTGCCTGCCTGTGGGGCCAAGCCCTGGGGCTGCCACTGTGAATATGCCAAGGACTGATCGGGCCTAGCCCGGAACACTAATGTAGAAACCTTTTTTTTTACAGAGCCTAATTAATAACTTAATGACTGTGTACATAGCAATGTGTGTGTATGTATATGTCTGTGAGCTATTAATGTTATTAATTTTCATAAAAGCTGGAAAGCAGCTGCCTGTTTCTGTCTGTGTCCTCAGCCACTCACTGAGCCCTTCTGCCTTAAGACTCCGTTAGAGAACACACTGAGCCCCAGGTGCTACTGGGTGGGGGCGAACATGTCTGGAGTTGTGGCTGGAGTGCAGTGGCGCAATCTCGGCTCAGGCAATCCTTCCTTCTGCTTCACCCTCTCGAGTAGCTGGGACTACAGGCATGCACCACCACGCCTGGCTGATTTTTAAATTTTTTTGTAGAGATGGAGGTTTCACTATGTTGCCCAGGCCAATCCTTCTCACTGGACTCAAGCAATCCTCCTGCATTAGCCTCCCAAAGTAGTGGGATTACAGGTGTGAACCACTACACCTGGCCTCTTGCTAAGTCAAGACTGTTCTTATTTGAAAGATAAGAACACCCTAGTGTAGAGAGGGATTTAGCTAAAGTCACGCAGCCTTTAGTGACCTAACTGGAATTTTATCCCAACTCTGTAAGACTCCAATACCGTAATCGCCACTGTCTACTTCCTTGTGTCTGAGAATGACCAGGGGACCGGCAGACAGATGCTTGCTCTGGGTGTGCCTGTACACTGTGCTTCCTGCCTGGTGCATGCCTGAGCCTGCAGGGCTGGTGGGGCTGGAGGCCTGTGGGGTCCCTGGAGACTGGTGGTTCTTTCTCCACAACTGTTACTGATGGTATTGAAAGGTGAGAATGTACCTGCTGGATGTGTGTATCAGATGAGGGAGGATTTTACCACAGACGCACTGGTGACAAAAAAAAACCAAACACCTCCGGTAGGGAACAGGGTGGTGGGGAAGGCCTAGTTGGGAGCACTTGGCTAACTTCCATGGTATGAATAACTCCCACCATAGCCAATTTCAAGTTATCCATGGTTGTTCATTTGAACATTTCCTAAACATTTAGTAGTTGGCTTTTACAAGCTGGTAGGAGCTTGCCTAACACACCACTGGGTCTCACACTTAGGCCAAGCCCCCAAAATCACAAGAAGGCAAAGCTGGCAGGATCAGGAGCTACTAGTCAAATCTCCTGATTTTATAAATAGATAAATGAGGCCCAGACAAGAGAGGCTCTTAGGCTATTCTGGCTTGGTTCTTACCTTGAGTGTGGGGCTCCGTTTTGGGTGGGAGGGAGGTCCACCATTTTTACTGATGAAGTTCTGCCAGGTTACTTTGATAAATTACATTAAGCGTTACTAACAGGCATGGTTACATGTGTGTAATAAGTATGAATTCAGTTAGTCTTCAGATAGTTGTCAGAACTTCCCTATGAGGAAGGTATTATTGTCATCCTCACGTTAAGAGATAAGGAAACTGACGCAGGGAAAAGTTAAGTAACCTGCTCAAGGTCATTGGACAGTCACTGGAAGAGCTGATACTTGAATCGAGGTTGGCTATAGTGCCTGGGCTCTTAACCACTACTTAAGGCTGTTAGGTGAACCAATGGTTTTGTCAACACCAAGGCAAGTCACACACTGTCTTTGTATCAGCCATCTCATGTCAGGCTGTCTGGGCAAGGCAGGAGCCTAGAGTCTGTTATGGCCTCTGGAGCTGGCCTGCTCAGAGACTCTGAGATAATGTTTATAGAAGCCCACTTATACCTCCTCTCTCCCTCCACTCTAACCAGTAACCACCAAGTCCTGTCTTTAAAAAAAAAAAAAAATTAAAGTTTTCAGCTGGGCGCAGTGGCTCACGCCTGTAATCCCAGCACTTTGGGAGGCCGAGGCGGGCAGATCACCTGAGGTCAGGAGTTCGAGACCAGCCTGGCCAACATGGTGAAACCCCGTCTCTACTAAAAATACAAAAATTAGCCAGGTGTGGTGGTGCATGCCTGTAATCTCAGCTACTCAGGAGGCGGAGGCAGGAGAATCGCTTGAACCCAGGAGGCAGCAGTTGCAGTGAGCTGAGATCGCGCCATTGCACTCCAGCCTGGGGGACAGAGAGAACCAGTCTCAAAACAGAAACAAACCAAAAACCAACAAACAAAAACAAAACTAGCCAGGCGTGGTAGCACATGCCTGTAATCCCAGCTACTTGGGAGGCTGAGGGCAGGAGAATGGCTTGAACCTGGGAGGCGGAGGTTGCAAAGAGCTGAGACCATGCCATTGCACTCCAGCCTGGGCAACAGAGCAAGACTCTGCCTGAAAAAAAAAAAAAAAAAAAATTAAAGTTTTCCAAACCACTCAAGCTTGTTTCTTTCTTAGCCCCACAATTACTTCTCAGGCATTATGCTCTCTTACCTGGGTGAATAGACAAGCATCCTGTCTTGTCTCCTTGACTTTAATTTGATCTCCTCACCTTCTTTCTGCAAACTATCCAAGATAACTCAGTAGCTCTCCTGTTTAGAAACATTTCTGTAAACTGGGTGTAGTGGCTCTGCCTGTAATCCCAGCTACTGGGGAGGCTGAGGTGTGAGGATTACGAGGCCAGGAGTTCAAGACCAGCCTGGGCAACATAATAAGACCCCGATTCTATAAAACAAAAAACAATTAGCCAGGTGTGGTGGCTTGCACCTTGTAGTTCCAGCTACCCAGGCAGCTGAAGCAGGAGGGTCTCTTGAGCCCAGGAATCTGAGGCTGCAGTGACCTATGATTGTGCCACTGCACTCCAGCCTGGGGAACAGAGGGACACCCTGTCTCAAACAAAACAAAAAGTTTCCTAGAAATCCTTCTGTGAGTTCCTGTCTGAGTACCCTACTGACCTCCCCAGGCCCAGATCTAGATGCAGCTCTTTTTGCAGGCCACCTGCGTGACCCTGGTCTTGCAGCTCCTGCTGCAGCTCTACCTGGCAGACACCCATCCAATGTGTCTTGACTCCAGCAAGCCCCTCTGAAGCAGTCCCTACCCCTCTGCCTTTGGGACATCTCAGAGGGATCGTCTCTTTCATCGTGGTCTCCCACACTGAGCCGAGGGCCAGGCATGGTGGGGTGCGGCAGGCACGTGGAGCTGAGTGAATGGGAGCTGTGACCAGAGCAGGCTTTGGCTGGGCATCAGACCCAACTCCCACTGACCCACTGTGACACCTCTCTCCAGGTCACAATTTCCCCAAACTTCCTATGGGGATTTAGACTTTTCATTTTTTCTTTCTTTTTCTTTTTTTTTTTTTTTTTGAGACGGAGTCTCGCTCTGTGGCCCAGGCTGGAGTGCAGTGGCGCCATCTCGGCTCACTGCAAGCTCCGCCTCCCGGGTTCACGCCATTCTCCTGCCTCCGCCTCCGGAGTAGCTGGGACTACAGGCGCCCGCCACGCGCCCGGCTAATTTATTGTATTTTTAGTAGAGACGGGGTTTCACCGTGTTAGCCAGGATGGTCTCGATCTCCTGACCTCGTGATCCGCCCGCCTCGGCCTCCCAAAGTGCTGGGATTACAGGCGTGAGCCACCGCGCCCGGCCAGGGGATTTACACTTGAACACCCTTGCTTCTCTCCAGTTTCACACTCACAGAAAATTGCTCTCCTCTTCCAAGATCCCCTGTTGAATTCTTGGGGACTTCTTTCGGGGTGGGACGGGTGAAGAGGGGAAGCAATGTCTGTTGGGTCATTGGCTACTCTAGGTCCCTTCTGGACAGATCATACCTACTTATTCTTGGGAGAAGAGCCATATTGACTTCCTCTATGCTTGGATCCAGCATTACTACAACAAACCCTGTCTCTCCCTCTTCACTCGGCCCTGCTGCCCTGTCTTGCCAACCTCACAGCCCATCCACACCTCTGGTAAGGACCAGGTGCAGCTTTGGCGCCACCTGCTGGAAGAAAGGAGCAGCACCTCCACGTTTCAAAGAGGAAATTCCAGATCTGACATTGTTTTGGAATATCGATTCCATTGATCCGAACAGATATTTACAATGAGTCTACTATATGCCACACACCAACTAGGCTCTGAGGACAAAGTGGTGAACAAAATAGAGCTTACATTCTCAGTGGAGATCAATGACAAATAAATAATTTCAGATCGTAATAAGCATCATGAAAGAAGCGAGGTGATGTGATGGAGGAAACTGGTACGGAACTACTTTAAGTCAAGTGCTCAGGAAAGAATGTCCTGAGAAAGTAACATTTGGCTGGACACAGTGGCTCATGCCTGTAATCCTAGCACTTTGGGAGGCTGAGGTGGAAGGATCACTTGAGCTCAGGAGTTCGAGACCAGCCTAGGCAATAGAGTGAGACCTCATCTCTACTAAAGATAAAAAATTAAAAAAATTTAAAAAAAGAAAGAAAAAGAAAGTGATCCTCATGAAGGATGAGAATTAGCTAAATGTGAAGAGAGCTTAGAGGGAAAGCATTGCAAGTAGAGGAGACAACGCAGACCCCAAGGCCCCAAAGAGCTTGGAATATCGGAAGGACAGAAAGGAGACCAGTGTGGCCAGAGTGTAGTGAATGAGGCCAGGCACAATTGCTCAAGCCTGTAATCCCAGCACTTTGGGAGGCCGAGGCAGGTGGATTACCTGAGGTCAGGAGTTCGAGACCAGCCTGACCAACATGGTGAAACTCCATCCTACAAAAAATACAAAATTAGCCAGGCGTGGTGGTGCATGCTTGTAATCCCAGCTACTTGGGCAGGAGAATTGCTTGAACCTGGGAGGCGGAGGTTGCGGCGAGCCGAGATCGTGCCATTGCACCCCAGCCTGGGCAACAAGAGTGAAATTCTGTTTCAAAGAAAAAAAGAGAGTATCTCAGGGAGAAGGAACAGCATGTGCTAAAGCCCAGAGGCCAGGGAGATCATGGTGGAGTCAAGGAACAGAAAGGCCAGTGTGCCTGGAGCACAAAGATTGAGGGAATGGGATGCAAGATGAGGCTGAGGATGAAGGCAGAGGCAGATGGTCCACAACATGGCTTCGTGGGTTGTGTTAAGCATTTTGGTCCTTATCCTAAGAGCAGAGGGAGGCCATTGAAGAATTTTAAGCAGGGAAGCCATATGATAGATGAAGAGTTTGGAAAGACCTATCAGCTGCTCTGAGGAGAAAGAATTGAAGAAGGTGAGAAGGGAAGCTGGAAGACGAATGAAGAGGCTTCTCATGTAATGTTCCAAGGATGAGTGGTATTGATGAGTACAAGACGAGTGGAGGCAGTGGAGATAGAAAAGGACTGATTTGGCAGCTGGTAGGACTGGATATAATTGAGATGGAGAGGGAGAGGGGGAGAGAGTATGAAAGTGATGTCTATATTTCTTTTTCTTTTCTTCTTTTCTTTTCTTTTCTGAGCTGGAGTCTCACTCTGTCGCCAGGCTGGAGTGCAGTGGCACAATCTTGGCCCACTGCAACCTCCGCCTCCTGGGTTCAAGTGATTCTCCTGCCTCAGCCTCCCAAGTAGCTGGGATTACAAGCGAGTGCCACTACGCTCAGCTAATTTTTGTATTTTTAGTAGAGACGAGGTTTCACCATCTTGGCCAAGATGGTCTTGATCTCTTGACCTTGTAATCCACCCGCCTTGGCCTCCCAAAGTGCTGGGATTACAGGCATGAACCACTGCACCTGGCCTATATTTCTTTTTTGTTTGTTCGTTTTTAAGAGAACATCTCACTGTCGCCCAGGCAGGAGTGCAGTGGCACGATCATGGCTCACTGCAGCCTCCACCTCCCAAGCTTCAGCGATCCTCCTGTCTCATTTTTTGATTTTTTGTAGAGATAAGGTCTTGCTATGTGGCGAAGCCTGGTCTCGAACTCCTGGGCTCAAGCGATCCTTCCTCCTCAGCCTCCCAAAATGTTGGGATTACAGGTGTGAGCCATGGAGCCCGGCAATGCCTAGATTTCTATCTTGGGAAACAATGAGTAGGACTTCTAAACACAGCAAACATGAGCAAGTTTGGAGGCCAAAAAAATTCATTTGCCACTTGTTTGCAACATTTTCATATAAATAGGGAAGAAATCACACTTAGGAATTCCACTGTCAGGGACAAGCCTACAAACTATCACCACTACTACTATACAACATTTCTTTTTTTTTTTTTTGAGATGGAGTTTCGCTCTTGTTGCCCAGGCTGGAGGGCAGTGGCGAGCGATCTCTGCTCACTGCAACCTACACCTCCTGGGTTCAAACGAGTCTCCTGCCTCAGCCTCCCAAGTAGCTGGGATTATAGGCATGCGCCACCATGCCTGGCTAATTTTGTAGTTTTAATAGAGACGGGGTTTCTCCATGTTGGTCAGGCTGGTCTTGAACTCCTGACCTCAGGTGATCTGCTCACCTTGGCCTCCCAAAGTGCTGGGATTACAAGTATGAGCCACCACGCCCAGCCACTATACATTTCATTGGCCAATATAAACAAGCAATATAAATTGCATTAGATAATGTAATTAGACAAGAAAAAGAAATAAAAATTGGAAAGATATATGTAAAATGTTTAATTTTATTTTATTTATTTTTGTTTTTATACATTTTTTAAAAATAGGGTTTCACCATGTTGCCCAGGTTGGCCTTGAACTCCTGGACTCAAGGGATCCACCTGCCTTTAGCCTCCCCAAATGGGATTACAAGAGTAAGCCACTGCACCCGGCCTGGTAAAATTATCTTTATTTGTCAATGACATGTTTGTATTCCAAGAGAACCCAAGTGAATCAACTGAAAAACTACTATAAACGATGAGAAGTCTCAGTAAGGAAAAAGGGTATAAAATTATTACACAAAAATCAATCCCCTTCATATATACAAACTGCATTAAGCTAAATTGCATTGTTCAATGTAATAACCACACCACATTGCCTATTTAATTTTAAATTTAAAACGAATTGTTGGGAATAATGTTCAAAATCCTAAGGAAATTGAACACTCAAACACAGGATTCTTAGCAAAGCAATTTTACTTCTGCGCAGAGGGGTGCTTCTCCTTGGCCAGTCGCCATGAGAGCACACCTGAACAATGGAGCACAAGAGCCTTTATTCCTGACGCAAGTCCTGCCCCTGTACCCTTTTCCCATTGGCTGGGATCGGGTCGTACACTCTAAACTAATCCTGGTTGGCTAAACATTTGAACTTTTTTTACATAAGGTGGGCATGTAAGGGAGAGAGGGGAAAGGGAGAGGGGTATCTGCAATAAGCGAGAGAGCTAGTCTTCTTTCCAAATAAGGAAAGGAATGTGAGCTGGTACTGATAACGCCTGGTACTGTGGCGTGTCTGGGCATGTAACAAAAGCAGAAAGGAAGAAAAAAAAAGAAAAAGAAAAAAGGGGTGGGTAGGGGGGTACTATAAATTAAAGAATAAAGGATTGATCAGGCTATTTGAAGAGAAACCTCATCATATCCCACATAATTGAAATCAAATAAATTTAAAAATCAATTCCTCAATCACGCTAATCACATTTTAAGGTCTCATTACCACATGTGACTGTTGGTTACTGTATTATAGAATATGCTGTATCAGAACATTTCAATCATTGCAGAAAGTTCTATTGTTCAGTGTTGACTTAGAAGATACAGTGAAAGAGGTGACCTCATTTATGAGAACAACAAAATGCTTCTGAATAAGAATGAAATAATTCTTTGTCAAACCACATAACTTAGTTTTTGGTCATGGGCCACCTGCATGGACCTCCCTGTATTTCAGGACATAGCTAAAGTATTATCTCTTTGGGAGTCTTTCTTGATGCTTCCAACCTGAGTCAAAGATTCCTCCAGGATCTCCTAGAGCAGAACACAGTTAACCTTCATTATTCACAGATTCCATATTTATGAATTTGTCTACTTGCTAACATTTATTTGTGACCCCCATATTTTTTTCATTGCTAGTGTATAGAAATACAATTAATTTTTTTATTATGAACTTTTTTTTTTTTTTTTTTGAGATGGAGTCTTGCTCTGTCACCCAGGCTGGAGTGCAGTGGCGTGATCTCAGCTCACTGCAGCCTCCACCTGCCGGGTTCAAGCGATTCTTCTGCCTCAGTCTCCCGAGTAGCTGGGATTACAGGCACCTGCCACCATGCCTGGATAATTTTTGTGTTTTTAGTAGAGACGGGGTTTCACTGTATTGGCCAGGCTGGTCTTGAACTCCTGACCTCAAGTTATCCACCCACCTCAGCCTCCCAAAGTGCTGGGACTATAGGCATGAGCCACCATGCCTGGCCTGAACTTTTATTTTAATTTATTTTATTTTATTTTATTTATTTCAGTAGGTTTTTGGGGAACAGATGGTGTTTGATTGCATGAATAATTTCTTTAGTGGTGATTTCTGAGATTTTTGTGCACCCATCATCCAAGCAGTGTACACAGTATCCAATGTGTAGCTTTTATCCCTCACTCCTCTCCCACCCTTTCCCATGAGTCTCCAAAGTCCATTGGATTATTCTTATGCCTTTGTGTACTCATAGCTTAACTCCCAACTCCCATATTAATACTCACGGTCATTCATGGATATGCACAGAGTGGCAAAAATTTCAAGTTGTCTAATGTGCATGTTCCCAGCTGAGGCTGAGCAAAGTGATGCCCTTCTTTTTTTTCACTTGGTGTTGTTTATTTAGTGCCATGTTTTTTCATTTTCATACTTTTTCTTGCCCCAAACAGAGTGCTGAAGTGTTGTCTAGTGTTTCTAAGCACAAGAAGGCTGTCGCTGTGGTTTGAATGTGTCCCCCAAATTTCACATGTTGGAAATTTAATCTCCAAATTTGTATGTTGATTGGAGATGGGGCCTTTAGGAGGTAATTGGGATTAGATAAGATAATCAGGATGGGACCTCTATGATGGGACTGGTGGTTTTACAAGGAGGGGAAGAGCGACCTGACCTAACACTTTTGCATGTGTTGTCCTCCACCATGTTATGATGTAGCAAGAAGGCCCTCACTAGATGCTGACACCATGCTCCTGGACTTCGCAGCCTCTAGAACTGTAAGAAAGAAATTTCTTTTCTTGATAAATTATCCAGTCTCAGGTATTCTGTTATTGCAACAGAAAATAGACTAAGACAGCCGTGATGTGCCTTACAGAGAAAATACATATGTTAGACAAGCTTCATTCAGGCATGAGTTGTAATGAGTTCAATGTCAATGAATCAACAATACCAATTAAATAAGGTGTCTTTAAATAGAAGCACATGTAAAACATGGTTATGTATTGATCATTTAATAAAAGTGTTGTGATCAGACCAGGTGCGATGGCTCATGCCTGTAATCCCAGCACTTTGGGAGGCCAAGGCGGGCAGATCAATTGAGGTCACAGGCTTGAGACTAGCCCGGCCAACATGGCGAAACCCCATATCTACTAAAAATACAAAATTTAAGCCAGGCGCGGTGGCATGCACCTGTAATAACAACTACTCAGGAGGCTGAGGCAGGAGTATCGCTTGAACCTGGGAGGTGGAGGTTGCAGTAAGCCAAGATTGCATCACTGTGGTAGGAGTTATTAAGAAGTTATTTTAGGCCGGGTGCGATGGCTCACGCCTGTAATCCCAGCATTTTGGGAGGCCGAGGTAGGCGGATCACCTGAGGTCGGGAGTTTGAGACCAGCCTGACCCACATGGAGAAACCCCATCTCTACTAAAAATACAAAATTAGCCAGACTTGGTGGCACATGCCTGTAATCCCAGCTACTTGGGAAGGCTGAGGCAGGAGAATCGCTTGAACCTGGGAGGTGGAGGTTGCGGTGAGCCAAGATAGTGCTATAGCACTCCAGCCTGGGCAAGAGCAAAACTCTGTCTCAAAAAAAAAAAAAAAAAAGCTATTTTAGGCAGATAGAGTGGAAAAGGGGTCCTGGGAGAGTTTTCATTTTCAAAGCAGCTCCAAAAACATTTCTTGTCTAGCATGAAAGCCCTGGCTCTTAGACCTGGGCAGCAACCTTTCATACGCAAATGCAGGCCATTAGAAGTTGGGTCCACCCAAACATGGGGATTCCTGCCCTCTTCTTCTTGCCCTTGCCCCATATATGCCTGGCAAAATAGCCACCCCCACATATCTCCATGTGTGTAGAACATCATGGTGCCCTGTATTTGCATATTAAAAGGCTAGGGTGGGAGGGCCAGTTTTTTTTGTGGGCTACATGAATGACATGCCTGGTCAAACTAATCCCCTGAGCCCTATGCAAATCAAACACCGCCTCCTCCAGCCTCTTCATATACCTTGTTAGTATCCATGGCACGTGAGATCTCCTCTCTTGGCTTTGGAGCCCCCCTCCCTCCGTCTCTGTACAAGAGAGCTTCTGCCTTCTTTCTTCTCCCTTCCTTCTTGCCTATTAAACCCTCCGTTCCTTAAAACCACTCCATGTGTGTCCGTGTCATTTTATCTAAACTGGCATGAGGACCAAGAGCCCTGGTGTTTTTTCACTCATCGGAGCCATATCATCACTGTACTCTAGCCTGGGCAACAGAGCGAGACTCCATCTCAAAAAAAAAAAAAAAGTATTATGATCAGAGGCTCTCAGGAACCTAATTTTGTATTTCCCATTTCCCCTAGGAACAATGGTCTAGTATTTGCTAATTCAGTGTTCATGGTGACTGTATGGAATATAATACAAGTCATAAGAACCAACTGTACATGTCTATGTCTCTTCTAGTCTTTGAGTTCCTAGGGCAGGACCCACCTTGGATCACAAGTCTTTGTATATCCAGGATCTAACACAATGCCTAGCACAAAGTGGAGTCATAAATATGTTGAAAAGAATGGAGGCAGGGAAGAGAGGAGAAGAAAGTGACAGGAGGTAGCAGTCAGAGAAGGTTTAGGACTGGGTGTGTTGGATAAGATCTAGAGCCTACCTTTTTCCCTCCAGGGCAGCTGGGCAGGGTTGCGTGGGGCTTATATCTCCAAGGCAATCAAGGAAGTCCCTGATTGCTGTGGCTTAAGGCTCTTTCTGGGGTGAGGCCCAAGCCCTAAAGAGGCCCAGCCCTGCCTGCTCACCATCCAGGAAATTGCCCTTTGTCTGGTAGAAATCCTGTTAAATTAGCCTGGGTTGAGTGGACTGGATTCCTGCCCCAAGGTGATCCAAGGGGGCCTGGGTGGCGTAGGAGGAAGCTGGGATGTCCTAGGGCTACTGAGGGTCAGAGAAATAGGAAAGGGCAGGACTGTTTGCCCTTACTGTGTTTCATAAGAGATGGGGAATGAGTCCTAAAGTCTCTCTTTCTCCTGTCTGCCACTACAGTCACCGCAGTCACTCTCCCAGTACCTTCCCCTTCAGTGACTCCCATCTGGCCCAGGTGGCCATCCGTGTGGCCTCAAAGGATGTCAGTACCAGAGAAGGCCCAAGAACTACCCAGCCTAGACTCCAGGCTCAGAGAGGACAAGGAAGTTGCACAAGGTCACACAGCCAGCCACAGGCAGAAGGAGAGAATCTGTCTCACTCCTAGCTCAGAGTTATTTTTGTTTTCCAACCAATTTTTTTTTTTTTTTGAGACAGAGTCTCACTCTGTTGCCCAGGCTGGAGTGCAATGGTACGATCTCGGCTCACTGCAACCTCCGCCTCCTGGGTTCAAGCAATTCTCCTGCCTCAGCCTCCCAAGTAGCTGGGATGTGCGCCATCACGCCCGGCTAATTTTTGTATTTTTCGTAGAGACGGGGTTTCGTCATTGTTGGTCAGACTGGTTTTGAACTCCTGACCTCAGGTGATCTGCCTGTCTCGGCCTCCCAAAGTGCTGGGATTATAGGTGTGAGGCACCGCGCCTGGCCATTTTTTCCCACCAAATTTATCAGTTCCTTCTTTTCTTTCTTTCTTTATTTCCTTTCTCTCGTTCTTTCTCCCTTTCTCCCTTTCTTCTTCCTTTCTTCCTTTTTCTTTTCTTTCTCTCTTTTTTTTTTTCAAGGTCTCACTCTGTCCCCTAAGCTGGAGTACAGTAGTGTGACCATGGCTCACTGCAACCTCGAAATCCTGTGCTCAACAAATCCTCCTGCCTCAGCATCCTGAGTAGCTGGGACTAGAGGCGTGCCACCTTGCCCAGCTAATTATTTTATTTTTTGTAGAGACAGGGTCTCCCTATGTTGTCCAAGTTGGTCTTAACTGCTGAGCTCAAGTGACCCTCCCTCCTTGGCCTCCCAAAGTACTGAGATTACAGATGTGAACCACCTCCTGGCCTGTCCGTTTCTTAAGAACCAAGACTTTTGTCCTGTGTCCTTCCCTCCCTTTTCACTGCCATCAGGGCTCAGACTCCAGAGCTAGTCCTCCAGCAATCTATGGCTTTCAGCAGATGGGTTTGGCCATTTCTGTTAACACAAAGGGACAACTCATAGTGTGGGAGGGGCTGTTCTACTCCTTGCTGTTCCTTAAAGGAGTAGCAGAGGCAGAGGACGAGACCTAGGCTGTCTAATCCAACCCCACCTGATGCGTGGATGCCTGTGGCTGCCTTCTGCTTGCTCATGCCTTTGGCAGCCAGCTCATTTTGGCTCAAGGCAGCCTGTTTCATTTGTGGAGAAGGGCATAAAAAAAGGTTTCCTTCATCTTGAAAGCTATCTCCTTGTGGCTTGTCCCCACAGATTCTAGATCCTCTCTTTGGCATCTGCACAATACAACCCTTCTCTTTGTCCCATGGAAGACCTGCATAAATTTGAAGACAGATCTTGTCCCTAGAAATGAGATCAAGGCCTGTCATTCTTCTAGTTATACTTGTTTTAGTAGTCTATAAAGACCAAGCATTTATTTTGCTTTTGTAATTAAAAATAAACAAAAAACTCCTTACTTTTCAATGTTTTATTGAGATATAATTTACATTCAGGAGGCTGGGCGCGGTGGCTCACGTCTGTAATCCCAGCACTTTGGGGAGGCCAAGGCGGCTGGATCACCTGAGGTCAGGAGTTCGAGACCAGCCTGGCTAACATGGTAAAACCCCGTCTCTACTAAAAATACAAAAATTAGCCGGGTATGGTGGTGCATGCCTGTAATCCCAGCAACTCGGGAGGCTGAGGCAGGAGAATTGTTTGAACCTGGGAGGCGGAGGTTGCAGTGAGCGGAGATCGCACCACTGTACTCCAGCCTGACAACAGAGTGAGACTCCGTCTCAAAAAAAAAAAAAAAAAAAGAAATCTTTACTTACCCCAATATCAAAAAAATTATCTTATGTTTTTATTTAGAAGTTGTTTTATTGTTGTTTTATACTTTTTTTATTTAGGTCTATGATCCACTCAAATTAATTTTTGTGTATAGTGTGAGTTAAGGGTCAGAGTTTATTTTTCTCTGTACTTATCCAATTATTCCAGCACCTTTTATTAAAAGGACGTCCCTCCCCTACTTGATTACAGTGGCATAAATCAAAAGAACCTATATGTGTAGGTCCATTTTTGGACTCTATTTTTTTTTTTTTTTTTTTTTTGAGACAGAGTCTTGCTCTGTCGCCTAAGCTGTAGTGCAATGGTGCGATCTCGGCTCAATGCAACCTCCATCTCCCGGGTTCAAGCAATTCTCCTGCCTCAGCCTCCCCAGTAGCCGGGATTACAGGCACACGCCACCACACCCGGCTAATTTTTGTATTTTTAGTAGAGGCGGAGTTTCACCATATTGGTCAGGCTGGTCTCAAACTCCTGACTTCAGGTGATCCACCTGCCTCGGCGTCCCAAAGTGCTGGGATTACAGGCATGAGCCACCGTGGCTGGCCCTGGACTCTTTATCCTGTTCAAGTGATCTACTCAGCTATTCTTACTCCAAGAGTCCCCTGTCTTAATTACTATAGATTTATATAGTAAATGTTGAAATTTGGTAGTGTAAGTCTTTCAACTTCAAGGTTTTGTTTTGTTTTGTTTTTGAGATGGAGTTTCACTCTCTCCCAGGCTGAAGTGCAATGGCGCGATCTTGGCTTATTGCAACCTCCACCTCCCAAGTTCAAGCGATTCTCCTGCCTCAGCCTCCCAAGTAGTTGGGACTACAGATGCCCGCCATCATGCCCAGCTAATTTTTTTGTACTTTAAGTAGATAGGGGGTTTCAGCATATTGGCTAGGTTGGTCTTGAACTCCTGACCTCAGGTGATCTGCCTGCCTTGGCCTCCCAAAGTGCTGGGATTACAGGTATGAGTCACCATGCCTGGCCAAACTTCAAGGTTTTTGGATTGTCCATATGTATTTTGGAATCAGCTTGTCAATGTATGCGTGTGCACACACACACACACACACATACACACACAGAATGTGCTGGGAGTTTGATGGAATTACACTGAATCTATGAACTAATTGGAAAAAACTGGCATCTTAACAATATTGAGTCTTCTAATTTATGAACATGAAATATCTGTCCATTTATTTAGGTCGTGTTTAATTTATGTCAAGAATGTCTTATAGAAACAGGCATGGTGGTGCATGCCCGTAGTCCCAGCTACTTGGGAGGCTGAGGCAGGAAGATCACCTGAGCCAGGGAGTTTGAGACCAGCCTGGCCAAAATAGTGAGACACTGTCTCTTAAAAAAGAGAGAGGGCCGGACGCGGTGGCTCACACCTGTAATCCCAGCACTTTGGGAGGCCAAGGCGGGTGGATCACAAGGTCAGGAGTTCGAGACCAGCCTGGCCAAGAAGGTGAAACCCCATATCTACTAAAAATACAAAAAATTAGCCGGGTGCAGTGGCAGGCGCCTGTAATCCCAGCTACTCGGGAGGCTGAGGCAGGAGAATCGCTTGAACTCGGAGGGCGGAGGTTGCAGTGAGCTGAGATCGCGCCACTGCACTCCAGCCTGAAAACAGAATGAGACTCTGTCTCAAAAAAAAAAAAAAAAGAGAGAGAGAGAATGTTTCAGGTTGAGGTCTTTTTTTTTTTCTTTGAACATTTATTATGATTCTTTTTACATTTTTTGTAGAGGTGGGGTCTTGCTATGTTGCCCAGGCTGGTCTCCAACTCCTGGGCTCAAGCAATTCTCCCACCTCAGACTCCCAAAGTGCTGGGATTATAGGCATGAGCCACCACTCCTGGCCACAGGTTAAAATCTCAAACATCTTTCAATAGATTTATTCCTAAGTATTTGATATTTTTGATACTGATGTAAATGATATTTTTTGTAAATTTCATTTTCTAATTTTTTTGTTGCTATTATAAAGAAATACATTTGTATGTTGATCTCATATCCAGTAGTCTTGCTAAATTCACATATTAATTATATGAAACCTCTACATTTTTAATTTTGAAAACATTTGCATTGATCTTAAAGTTCAAGCTAGTATTTTGATTATTTTAAAACTTCCTAGGCCGATGGGCGCAGTGGCTGATGACTGTAATTCCAGCACTTTGGGAGGCCAAGGCAAGAGGACTGCTTGAACTCGGGAGTCTGAGACCAGCTTGGGCAACATGGTGAAACTCTGTCTCCACAAAAATACAAAAATTAGCCAGGCATGGTGGTGCATTCCTATGGTCCCAGCTACTCGGGAGGCTGATGCGGGAGGATTGCTTGAGCTCATGATTGCACCACTGCACTCCCGCCTGGGTGACAGAGAAAGACCCTGTTTCAGAAAAACAAAAACATCCTATTCTTTGACCGTCACCTTTTATCTTTCTGGCTCACTCTCTCTAATACTCTGAATCCAATAATTTGTCAACGTCTTCATGACATCCAACCCATTGACCCTATCACCTTTTCATTGCCCTTTAACTTATCATCTTACACATCTTAGATTCCACAGTCTCATTAGTATTATTTTCTCGTTCCCTTTCCCCGCCACAGATCTTGCCTGGATTTACTCGTGTTTAAATCCAAAGCTCAGGCTCAATCTGATTGCTTCAGTCTATTCAGGCTGCTATAACAAAATGCCAAAGACCAGGTGGCTTAAACGACAAGTATTTACTTTTCATAGTCCTGGAGGCTGGGAAGTCCAGGATCAAATGCTGGCAGATTTTGTTCCCAGTGAGGACCCTCTGCCTTGCATGCAGATGGCCACCTTCTCTCTGTGTCCACACATGCTAGAGAGAGAGCATGCTCTGGGCTGTCTTACTCTTCTTATAAGGACACTAATACCATCATAGGGAAGCTACCCTCATAATTTCATCTAAACCTAACTACCTCCAAAAAGCCCTGCCTCTAAATACCATTATAATGATGATTAGGGCTTCAACATATGAATTTGGGGGGTTCTCAACCCAGTCCATACCAATGGTTGAGAAAAATACATGATATTCACTAGTTTCACTCTAAATGGGCCAGTAATGCTGCTCATTTCCCTAATCGTTTGTTCTCCCACTCTCTTAACCAACTATTTCACTCTTACTTCCTCAAGCCCCCAAAGTCTCCTCCCTATTCTCACTCTCAACTGATGATTTTGCTTCTTATTTCATTAGAAAAGCAATCAGAAAAGAACCTCTACCACTCTCCCACCACATCTACCTACCCCTAGCATCTGTGCCCACATGTTCTGTTTTCCTGCTTTTAATAATGAGAGAACTGCCCTGTTTTCATCTAAGGCCAAACCTTCCACCGGTGCACCAGATCCCATTTCCTCTCCCCTATCCAAGCACTTTCCTTCCACAATTATTTATTTATTTATTTATTTATTTATTTATTTATTTATTTATTTTTTCGAGACAGAGTCTTGCTTTGTGGCCCAGGCTGGAGTGCAGTGGTGCAATCTCAGCTCACTGCAAACTCCGCCTTCTGGGTTCAAGCGATTCTCCTGCCTCAGCCTCCCAAGTAGCTAAGATTACAGGCGTGCACCACCACGCCTGGCTAATTTTTGTATTTTTAGTAGATACAGGGTTTCACCATGTTGGCCAGGCTGGTCTTGAACTCCTGACTTCGTGATCCACCTGCCTCGGCCTCCCAAAGTGCTGAGATTACAGGTGTGAGCCATCGTGCCAGGCCAATTATTTTATCTCTCTCAAATCTTCCATCTTTCCCTCTCTACTGATGCACTCTTGGGAACATATATGCTATGATATTTCCTGTCTTAAAAACCAAACCAATCTACACCCTTCCCTTGACAGCACACTCTTTTCCAGATACCACCCCATTTCTATAATCCACTTTAAGAGCAAAATATCCCAAAAGGTTGACTCTATCCTGTCCCCATTTCTTTCTTTCTTTCCTTCTTTCTCTCTCTCTCTTTCTCTTTCTTTCTTGACAGGGTTTGGCTCTGTCACCCAGGCTGGAGTGCAATTGCATGATGTGGGCTTACTGCAACCTCTGCCTCCCAGTCTCAAGTGATCCTCCTGCCTCAGCCTCCCAAGTACCTGGGACTACAGGCGTGCGCCACCATGCCTGGCTAATTTTTGTATTTCTGGTAGAGACAGGGTTTTGCCATATTGCCCAGGCTGGTCTCAAACTCCTGGACTCAAGAAATCCTCCCACCTTGGCCTCCCAAAGTTCTGGGATTACAGGCATGAGCCACTGTGCCCGGCCCTGTCTCCACTTTTTCTACTCCATTCTCCCTTCAGCCCATTCCAATCCACTTACCCTAACCACACGGAGTGCTGTAAAAGGGAGCAGAGAAATGGGGCAGTATCCATAGAGGTTGTATCTGAGAGATTGAACTCAAACACAATGAGGTTTGGCCCCCACCATTACATTAAAACTGCTCTGTCGGCTGGGTGTGGTGGCTCACACCTGTAATCCCAGCAATTTGGGAGGCCAAGGCGGGTGGATTGCTTGAGGTCAGGAGTTCCAGACAAGCCTGGCCAACATGGCGAAACCCCATCTCTACTAAAAATACAAAAAATTAGCTGGGTGTGGTGGCACGTGCCTGTAATCCCAGTTACTCAGGAGGCTGAGGCAGGAAAATCGTTTGAACCTGGGAGGCAGAGGTTGCAGTGAGCCGAGATTGCATCACTGCACTTCAGCCTGGGTGACAGAGTGTGATTCTGTCTCAAAGAAAAAAGACATGGACCGTTTTCTTGCATATCCACAAGGCCATGATTATACCTAATAGAATGTGAAATTGTTTTTTGGTGTTATTTAATACACAGTCTATAGTTATACTTTCCCTAATTCTCAGGTATGTCTTATTACAGTGGGTTTATTCAAATTTGGATCCAAAAAAGGTCTACATATCGCATTTTGTTGTGCCCTTAAAATCTTTTTAATCGCCAGCAGTTCTCCTCCCCACCCTTTGTTTTTTATGCCATTGACTTATTGCAGAGACCAGCTCAATTGTCCTGTAGAATGTTCCACATTCTGGACTTACTCTCTTTTTATAACGAAGCTTTTGTAACTTGGCCCTTTCCTGTCCTGAAATGAAATTCAGAGATAATGTAACTACTGTGTTTGTTAGAGCCTGGCAGGAAACAGATGGAATACTTAAGCCAAGTCCAATTGAGGCCAGTTTAATGAAGGGATTATTGCCAAAGATGTGGGCAAAGTAAAGAGAACCAACAAGGAACTGTGGAGCACTGGAGAGAGTATCTGCCACCCTTAGGCCTGAGGGGCCAACATGAGGGAATGGTATCTCGCCTTGGCTGAACCCAGCGGGAAGCCACTGGGCAAGAAAGCTGGCTGATGCCATCTGTAACAGTCAGTCTTCTGGGGCAGGAAGCAAGGTATGGAAGAGCAGAGTGGATCTGGAGGGGCAAATGGAGAATACCCCCTCACAATTATCTGCATACATAATTTCCTTTTTTTTTTTTTTTGGAACAGAGTTTTGCTCTGTTGCCCAGGCTGGAGTGCAATGGTGCGATCTTGGCTCATTTCAACCTCTGCCTCCAGGGTTCAAGTGATTCTCCTGCCTCAGCCTCCCGAGTAGCTGGGATTACAGACACACGCCATGATGCCTGGCTAATTTTTGTATTTTTAGTAGAGAAGAGGTTTCACCATGTTGGCCTAGCTGGTCTTGAACTCCAGACCTCAGGTGATCCACCTGCCTCAGCCTCCCAAAGTGCTAGGATTACAGACATGAGCCACCACACCCGGTCTACATACATAATTTCAAACAAATGAATTTAATTTCCTAAACGTAATACAAAGAAAAATAAGAGGAAATGAATGCATACAAATATTATATGCTTGAACATGTAAAAATTACACACAACTTTATCAGAAGCCCAGTGTAAACATCAGATGCTTGTGGTCATTCCTAGAATCAGTGGGCCTGTCAAAGTTGCTACCGGCAGACCAATCCGGGAGAACTGGACTGGCAGCTCCAGCAAGCAGTGTGTTGTTGATTTTCTGAACAAAACAAAGCACACTCTTTCATCAATTACATGGAAGTGGTGTTCCTGGGAAACCCAGTGTATATGAAAACCATACAGAAAATACTTTGGTTCATGTGGAAAACAGAGTTAGATTCTAGGATGAGATAAATAATAAACATCTTTTTCACCAAATGAATGTCTGACAGGACAATTGAGAGTCTTATGGGATGTGAGTCAACTTCTGTAGTGCAGGGTTGTTCTGTGTATTGCAGGATGTTTAGCAGCCCTGGCCCCACCCACTGAACCCCCCTGTAGAGCTCCTTACCCTAATCATCATGACATCCTCCCCCATCAATGTTGTGCCACGTTTCCAGAATTTTCTCTAATGAGTAGGTCATACCAGTGGAGAATCATTGGTCTAGGTGATCTCCTCTGGTCCTGCGGATTTATTAATACATTCACTGTCTTCAAAACTATTTATTCAGGCTTATCCTCTCTGCTGAATATGCACATTTATACGTGATGTTTCGATTTACACCATTAACTGGCATCTCAATATTTATTTATTTATTTTTATTTTGTGTATTTATTTATGTTTTGAGATGGAGTCTTGCTCTGTCGCCCAGGCTGGAGTACAGTGGTGTGATCTCGGCTCACTGCAACCTCTGCCTCCCAGGTTCAATCAAGTGACTCTCCTGCCTCAGCCTCCCGAGTAGCTGGGATTACAGGCATGCGCCATCACGCCTGGCTAATTTTTGTATTTTTAGTAGAGACAGGATTTCACCATGTTGGTCAGGCTGGTCTCGAACTCCTGACCTCATGATCCGCCCGCCTTGGCCTCCCAAAGTGCTGGGATTACAGACGTGAGCCACCGCACCCAGCCTCAAAATTTACATGTCAAAACCAAAACCTTGAATCTATTCCCCAACAGATACACCCCCATCCTTCTCTTCTCCCAGATTTATTTTAGCTTAGTATGTGGCAATTTAATTCTTCTACTTTGTTCAGGCCAACAATATTAGACTAATTCCTGAGACCTCTCTTTTTCTCATGCCCCATATCTGATCTATCAGTCAATTTAGTTGGCTCTACTTTCAAAATGCGTTCCAATTTGACCACTTTTTATAATCACTGCCATCATTATCACTACCACCCTGGTCCCAGCTATTGTCATCTCTCCCCAAATGGTTACAACAGCCTCCAAAATGGTCTCTATGCTTCGACTCTGGTCTCTACTTTCTATTTGCAACATGCCAGCCAGTGTGACTTTTTTTTTTTTTTTAAAAAGACTGGATCTCGGCCAGGCAGGGTGGCTCACGCCTGTAATCCCAGCACTTTGGGAGGCTGAGCAGGGGTGGATCACGTGAGGTAAGGAGTTCGAGAACAGCCTGGCCAACATGGTGAAACCCCATCTCTACTAAAAATACAAAAAATTAGTCAGGTGTGGTGGCAAGCGCCTGTAATCTCAGCTACTTGAGGGGCTGAGGCAAGGAGAATTGCTTGAACCTGGGAGGCAGAGGTTGCAGTGAGCCCAAGATCACGCCACTGCACTCCAGCCTGGGTGACAGAGCGAGACTCTGTCTCAAAAACAAACAAAAATACCACAGACTGGGTGGTTTAAACAACAGAAATTTATTTCCTCACAGTTCTGGAAACTGGAGGTCTAGGATCCAGGTGTCAGCAGGTTTGGTTTGCTCCCGAGGCCTCTCCTCTTGGTCTCAACTTCCTCACCTCAAGTGATCCGCCCTCTTTGGCCTCCCAAAGTGCTGTGACTACAGGTGTGAGTCACTGCACCAAGCCCAAATTTCCTCTCATAAGGACACCAGTTAGATTGGGTTAGGGCCCATCATAATGGGCTCATTTTAACGTAATTACCTCTTTAAACATCCTGTCTCCAAATATAGTCTTAATCTGAGGAACTGGGGAACTGGGGGTTAGGATTTCAACATAGAAATTTTGAGGGAATGCAGTTCAGCCATAACCACCTTTATTTATATAAGGAATAGGTGTTCACGGGTCAAACCAAGGGAAGGGCTGCTTATTCTCACGGCCCAATAACGAGATGCAGATGAATTGGGAAAGGAGGGAGTTTATTTCTGTAACTGGGTACAGGGAGAAGGCCTGGAAAATATCAACAGACGAACTCAAAATTACAGAGTTTCCAGAGCTTATGCACCTTCTAAGCTATATGTCTACGTGTAAGTGTGCATTCATCTAAAGACGTGAGTGATTAACTTCTCCTGTAACTGAGATCTGAGTCCTGAAGACCTTCCTCTGGAGCCTCAGTAAATTTATTTAATCTAAATGGCTCCCGGTGCTGGGGTGATTACCCTTATCTTGTCTCCTGCTAAATCATGGAGGTTTGGGGAGTTCCTTCAGACTCTCAGTAAACTTATTCGTGGAGGTCTGGGGAGTTTCTTCAGACCCCTAATGAAACTTATTTAATCCTAAATAAGTCCTGTTAAGAATTGCTTCATTGGCCGGGTGGTGGCTCACACCTGTAATCCCAGCACTTTGGGAGGCTGAGATGGGCAGATCACGAGGTCAGGAGATCGAGACCATCCTGGCTAACACGGTGAAACCCCGTCTCTACTAAAAATACAAAAAATTAGCCAGGCATGGTGGCGGGCGCCTGTAGTCCCAGCTACTCGGGAGGCTGAGGCAGGAGAATGGCATGAACCCGGGAGGCAGAGCATGCAGTGAGCTGAGATCATGCCACTGCACTCCAGCCTGGGAGACAGAGCGAGAGTCCGTCTCAGAAAAAAAAAAAAGAATTGCTTAATTATCTTGTCATGCTTCAAGGCTCAGGAAAGTCCTGGGCAAAACTCTTGGTGAGCTTTTGTTACATTCCAGCCTTTGTATAAGGACACTGCCTCTATCAGCTTTTAATATGTAACTCAACCCCTCAGTCAGTGCTGAAACATTTGTTATGGAGGCCTGGGTTAGTGAGACCTGGTCTGCCATGTAGGTGCCTCGTATTAACTAGAGTCGTTAATATTGTTGTTTGAAAGTTAAACATAGATAAAAGAGTGTATATGAATTTCACCGACTAGCCAAAGGTATAGACCAGGGATGTCCTATCTTTTGCCTTCCCTGGGCCATACTGGCAGAAGAAGAATTATCTTGGACCACATGTAAAATATACTAACACTAATGATAGCTGATGAGCTAAAAAAAAACAAACTCATAATGTTTTAAGAAAGTTTACAAATTTGTGTTGGGGCACATTCAAAGCCATCCTGGGCTGCATGTGGCCCGTGGGCCACGGGATGGACAAGCTTGGTGTATACCATACCAGATTGTTGGCATCTCTGCCTCATTCTCACTTCCTCCTGTGCTTTCTCCTATGTTTTGGGAGCTAGAAGCCTCGGAACTATATTTCTTAGCCTCCCTAGACAGGATTCTAGCCTGTATGCTGCAAATGAGAGGTGCTTATGTGAAATTTGGATGGCAGAAGGACAGGAGAGGCCATTATAATTCTATTGGTGGTGAGTAGGCCTAGGGCTTCAGCAGATAGAGGATGAGAGATTGGGGTGCAGCTTCCAGACATCCTCCTGTGAATCACCCACTTTGATGCCTTTGGCAGATGAGATCACTTTGTGGTGGTTTCTTGTGATTTCTGTATTTCCTCATTTCCTAAATATTAGCAGATATATATTTTTTTGCTACAGGATTCTTTGCAAAATACTTCTCAAAATCGAATATTATCACTACTAAGCCTTCTTCCTCTTCATCAATTACATAGGTGTGGAAGCCCCACTGGACAGGCCAAGTTGGAATAGCCTGGTTCCCCAACCAGAAGTAGAGGCATGGAGCAGTTTTCTTTTCTTTCTTTTCTTTTTTTTTTTTTTTTAGACAGAGTATTTGCTCATATTGCCCAGGCTGGAGTGCAATGGCGCGATCTTGGCTCACCACAACCTCTGCCTCCCGGGTTCAAGCGATTCTCCTTCCTCAGCCTCCTGAGTAGCTGGGATTACAGGCATGTGACACCACGCCCAGCTAATTTTGTATTTTTAGTAGAGACAGGGTTTCTCCATGTTGGTCAGGCTGGTCTTGAACTCCCGACCTCAGGTGATCTGCCCGCCTTGGCCTCCCAAAGTGCTGGTATTATAGGTGTGAGCCACCGCACCTGGCCCGGAGCAGTTTTCATAACACCCTCTGGGCTTAGGTTTTCACACTCTTCCCAAGGAAACTGCAACAGGTGGTTGGTTGCAGGACATACAGGGTGACGGAACAAGCATTGAACTTAGGATCAGGAGACCTTAGTTCCAGGACCTACTATGTAATTGCTACATCAAGAGCAACACCTTTGACTTGTTGGGTCTTGGCCATGTGACCTGATACAGAAATACAGACTTTTACAACTATGTATATTTTCCTCTTTTCTTTTCTTTCTTTCTTTTTTTTTTTTTTTCCGAGATGGAGTTTTGCTTTTGTTGCCCAGGCTGGAGTGCCGTGGCACAATCTCGGCTCTCTGCAACCTCCGCCTCCCGGGTTCAAGTGATTCTCCTGCCTCAGCCTCCCAAGTAGCTGGGATTACAGGCATGCAC
Organism: Homo sapiens; assembly: GCF_000001405.40. Lineage (NCBI taxonomy): Eukaryota > Metazoa > Chordata > Mammalia > Primates > Hominidae > Homo > Homo sapiens. The sequence goes on from NC_000001.11 coordinate 39,993,423, forward strand.
CACAACACCCAGCTAATTTTTTATTTTTAGTAGAGATAGGGTTTCTCTCCATGTTGGCCAGGCTGGTCTTGAACTCCTGACCTCAGGTGATCTGCCTGCCTTGGCCTCCTAAAGTGTTGGGATTACAGGTGTGAGCCACTGTGCCCGGCCTATTTTCCTCTTTTCTTTGTTATGTATATGTTTGCATATATTAACCAAAATTTTGCCTCTCCTTTTCTTCACTACCTTATACAGGAATTATTGGTAGTGGTTAACTTTGTGACATATGAAATAGCAAGGAGGAGAAAACAAATGTGGATAATAGATAACATTTACATACTGCCTTCTATGTTTGAGTCATTATTCTGAGACAGATCCACTCATTTAACCATCATAAAAACTGTATGAGAAAGCTACTATTCAGTATTATATTCCTGTCTTTTTTTTTTTTTTCTGAGATGGAGTCTTGCTCTGTCACCCAGGCTCGAGTGCAATGGTGCGATCTTGGCTCACTGCAACCTCCGCCTCTCAGTTCAAGCAATTCTCCTGTCTCAGCCTCCTGAGTAGCTGGGATTACAGGCACGCGCCACCACACCTGGCTAATTTTTGTATTTTTAGTAGAGACGGGGTTTCACCATGTTAGTCAGGCTGGTCTCGAACTCCTGACCTCATGATCCGCCTGCCTCAGCCCCCTCCAAAGTGCTGGGATTACAGGCATGAGCCACTGCATCCGGCCTATATTCCTGTTTTATAGTTGGGGAAACAGATACTGATAAACTTACCCTGCTCACCCAAGCAGTCTATGTCCTCATTGGGGCTTTTAATTGTTAATCTAGCCAGGCATGGTGGCTCACGCCTGTAATCTCAGCACTTTGGGAGGCCAAGGCAGGTGGGTCATTTGAGGTCAGGAGTTCGAGACTAGCCTAGCCAACATGGTGAAACCCCATCTCTACTAAAAATACAAAAACTTAGCTGGGCGTGGTGGCACGCACCTGTAATCCCAGCTACTCGGAGGCTGAGATAGGAGAATAGCTTGAACCCGTGGGAAGGAGGTTTCAGTGAACCGAGATCATGGCACTGCACTCCAGCCTGGGTGACAAAGTGAGACTCCGTCTCAAAAAAAAAAAATCATTAATCTATATGGCCTCTTGTTACATGAAAACATGTGATAAATTGGTATTGACTTATAGTTTGGAAATGACTGATTTGGGATGTATTGCTCTCTATTCCAAGTTCTGTGACTCCCCAAATGAAGTAGAAACCCAGTGGGACCGGGAACTAAAGATATCAGGAATCCCGTTGTATTTCCTCCTCTCATAAGTGGCTCTTCCTCTGTCTGCACACCACCGCTCAGCTGCTCGTTCCACATGGCAGGTAGAAGAGGCCAGCCCACAGCTCCCAAGTATGTATCTCCTCCGTTCAACCTTCCCAGATTGAATTGGATACTCCTGATTCTAATTACAGATTTGTGTGTGTGTGTGTGTGTGTGTGTGTGTGTGTGTGAGAGAGAGAGAGAGAGAGAGACATCACAAGAGTGAGAGTGATATTGCTGGTCCAATCCCTGTGGCAGAGTCATCAAACACACACTTGGTATGTAGGACTGCCCACCTGGGAGTGAAGCGGGCAGACACCTCAGGAGGTGGGTGTTTTGGGTATTTTAACTCTGTTTGATCGTAGAAGTATTTAGGTCCTATACCATTGTTTTCACCCGCTGAGGGACAGTAATATGTCTCTCCTGAAGGGAAAACATCTTTCTACTCCAGGCTCGGTGGCTAGCTCAGCTATAGCAGAAATGCTCTACCATACTAGCAGCCTGAAGTCCTGGGATTAACTTACAGTTCACAAGGTACCGGCTGTGTGACTTCAGGCAATTTATATAACCTCCCTGAGTCTCTGTGTACTGATTTCGGAAGAATCAGAAAATGCAAACAATTGCAACTAGAAAAAGAAAACCACACTCTTGGCTGGGCACAGTGGCTCATGACTGTAATCCCAGCACTTTGGGAGGCCGAGGTGGGTGGATCATGAGGTCAGGAGTTCGAGACCAGCCTGGCCAACATAGTGAAACCCCCGTCTCTACTAAAAATACAAAAATTAGCCGGGCATGGTGGTGTGAGCCTATATTCCCAGCTACTCAGGAGGCTGAGTCAGGAGAATCACTTGAACCCGGGAGGCAGAGGCTGTGGTGAGCCGAGATCGTGCCACTGCACCCCAGCCTGGGCAACAGAGTGAGACTCTGTCTCAAAAATTAAATAAATAAATAAATACAATAAAAAGAAAACCTCACTCTGTGTCCCCTTCTTTCTCCCTTTCTCTAGGCTCCTTTTTATGTAATACACACAAGCACAGACTGCAGGAGTCTAGGTTTAGTTTCAAAGCTTTGGCAGTGCCTTTATGTCTTTGTGTAGAAAAGGGAGAAGCCATTTAAGAGGTACCTGACTCTTCAATAGGCTTGCTTATTATCCCCAGCAGGCCTAAGGGAGCACAGTTTTGAAAAGCCAAGGATCAAAAAAAATAAATACAACTTGTTCTGTGTTGCAAAGAGAAGTCCTAACTCCATGGCGAGGGAGGCAGCTTTGCAAATTACAAGGGTAGAGGGAGTGAGGTCACTAGGGCAGGAACAATTTGTAAAACCCAAGTGTGGAGAACTGTGTAAACCTCCAGGGGAAGGTAGGTGAGGAGGTGTTATAAAGGACTGGTGTGGGAGGGGTAAGTTCCCCTTCCTGTTCTGACAGCTGGAGGCAGCAGGGCTACCTCTACCCCACAGGGCCCCTTGGTGCAAGTTATAAACAGGTGCCCCCTCTCTGAGTGGCGCAGCTCACAGTTTGATGAGAGGAGTGTTGGCCAGGCACCATGAGCACTGCATGACTCCCAAGGCTATGCTCCATGGCCTGAGTGGCAGGCCTCATTGCAAATCAGTGGGCTGCAGAGGAACATCTGCCAACAGGCATAGATCCAAAGGGAGATGGAACAAGGGCAATGCCCAGGACTCTCCCCATCTCCAGACATGCCTTGTAGAATGAGAAGAGGAGAGACCAAGCACACAGGTTTTATGTGTAGCCCAGCTCTCTACCCTCTGAGATTACTTAAAATTGCCTCTAACCTCCAATCCCAGACCCCATGAAGGAAACCCACAGACTCTTCAAGGATCCCATGAACTCCCATGGATTCCATTCTCACATGATCCCTCTTCTTTTGGGATTCCACACATATGATCTCATTGCTTTCTCCAAGTTGTACAAATACTACTCATACTAAGCATTCATATGGGTAGCATGTATTATGAAAGATTTGGAGGTGGAGTACAGGGAGATGATGAAGGAAGTGTTTAAATTGAAGTGATGTACACTTAAACTTTGCATAAGGATCAACTCCAATCTTAATTTTTTTTTCAGTTGTCCTACTATTCTAAGGGTTTCTCACTAACCTTTAACTCTGTATCTTTTAAAATGTTCCTGGCTTCATTCTCTCCCCTTCCCATTTCCTCTTTCCTCTAGAACTGCCCTCTGTACCCCAAAGTGGTTTTCCTCTATTATGCTGAGCAATTTTGCTCTCTCCAGTTCTGAACCTCCAACTTGAATATTTGAATCCATCATGTAGGGTCTTATATTTAATGGAATCCATCCTCTGTAATACATATGATACAGCTATAAAAACCTAAGGAAAAAAACGTTGGCTTTATTCAACCATGCAACTTGCCTGGGAACCTCCTCAGTTATGTGATTTTTTTTTTCTTTTTCTTTTGAGATGGAGTCTCGCTCTGTCACCCAGGCTGGAGTGCAGTGGTGCAATCTTGGCTCACTGCAGCCTCTGCCTCTTGGGTTCAAGAGATTCTCCTGCCTCAGCCTCCCAAGTAGCTGGGATTACAGGTGCACGCCACCACAGCCAGCTAATTTTTGTATTTTTACCAGAGACGGGGTTTCACCATGTTGGCTAGGCTGGTCTTGAACTCCTGACCTCTCAGGTGATCCGCTTGCCTCGGCCTCCCAAAGTGCTGGGATTACAGGTGTGAGCCATGGTGCCCAGCCAGTTATGTGATAATTAATAAGTAGGAGGGAAGCACAGAATATTAGGTAAAATTAGAAGCAGAGTGACTTTTAGCCAGACTGGAAACTTGAGTTATCACATGGACTTCCACACTGCTGGGAAATATATAATGTTCTGTGTACCTGTTTAATCATTAATATATTGATATTTTATTAACTTGATCTCTAAGTAGAAACTTTACAAGCTGGGCGCAATGGCTCACACCTGTAATCCCAGCACTTTGGGAGGCCAAGGTCGGTGGATCACGAGATCAGGAGTTCAAGACCGGCCTGGCCAAGATGGTGAAACCTTGTCTCTACTAAAAATACAAAAAAAAAAAAAAATTAGCCGGGCGTGGTGGCAGGCGCCTGTAATCCCGAGGCTGAGGCAGGAGAATCGCTTGAACTCAGAGGGCGGAGGTTGCAGTGAGCCGAGATTGCGCCACTGCACTCCAGCCTGGGCAACAGAGTGAGACTCTGTCTCAAAAAAAAAAAAAAAAAAAAAAGAAAGAAAGAAACTTTACAAAATCTTCAGTTTGCCAGTCCCTGAAGTATGGAGGAGATGAAGTTGAGTTTTGTGGATCTGAAGATTATATCGTTTTGGCAGGTGCTTTTTTATGGTTAGTCTTAAACATAAAAAAAATTACTGAAGGCATACTTCAGTAAATCTTTAAGGTCCTGCTTTAGAGATGATGAAGGGGAGGCTATTGTTAGCACCTGGGAGGTACTAATGCTGGTTAAGTCGCTTTGTACAATTTTGCCTAAGACTGGAACTACTTAAGTAACTACAAATCCTGGGATTACAGGCACGTGCCACCATACCTGGCTAATTTTTGTATTTTTAGTACAGACGGGGTTTCACCATGTTGGCCAGGATGGTCTTGAGCTTCTGACCTCAGGTGATATGTCTGCCTCGGCCTCCCAAATTGCTGGGATTACAGGCGTGAGCCACTGTACCTAGCCAGTTTTTTGTTTGTTTGTTTTGAGATGCAGTCTTGCTCTGTCGCCCAGGCTGGAGCGCAGTGGCACAATCTCAGCTCACTGCTGCAACCTCCACCTCCCGGGCTCAAGCGATTCTCCTTCCTGCCTCAGCCTCCCAAGTAGCTGGGATTACAGGTGCCTGCCACCATGCCTGGGTAATTTTTTGTATTTTTAGTAGAGATGGGGTTTTGTCATGTTGGCCAGTCTTGTCTCAAACTCCTGACCTCAAGTGATCTGCCCACCTTGGCCTCTCAAAGTGCTGGGATTATAGGCATGACACTGTGCCCAGCCACTTCTAGTTAAGTTCAATAAGCCAAGTTCAGTTTAATAAGCTGCGTTCCAAGAAGTTGAAATGCGTCATGCCCAGATTTCAGTGGTTCACAGCCCATATCTTCAGTGGCAGAGAGACAAGACCAAGTGGAACTATCTATTGCAAACTGGTGTCCGTGTTGTTCTGTGAAGAAGGGATGATCAAGTGAATATGCAGTTTCACCATCAAGATATTTAGGAACATCTTTCCCAATGGGGTTTCACTGATATCCATGCAGCCAGCAATCTGTCAGAATTCTTAGGAAGGACTCAGAGCAGTGTTTGCTGTGTTAAGAGTATGAATCCTCTCCCTCTCCCTCTCCCTCTCCCTCTCCCTCTCCCCCTCCCCCTCCCCCTCCCCTTTCCACGGTCTCCCTCTCATGCGGAGCCGAAGCTGGACTGTACTGCTGCCATCTCGGCTCACTGCAACCTCCCTGCCTGATTCTCCTGCCTCAGCCTGCCGAGTGCCTGCGATTGCAGGCACGCGCCGCCACGCCTGACTGGTCTTGGTGGAGACGGGGTTTCGCTGTGTTGGCCGGGCCGGTCTCCAGCCCCTAACCGAGAGTGATCCGCCAGCCTTGGCCTCCCGAGGTGCCGGGATTGCAGACGGAGTCTCGTTCACTCAGTGCTCAATGGTGCCCAGGCTGGAGTGCAGTGTTGTGATCTCCGCTCGCTACAACCTCCACCTCCCAGCCGCCTGCCTTGGCCTCCCAGGGTGCCGAGATTGCAGCCTCTGCCCGGCCGCCACCCCGTCTGGGAAGTGAGGAGTGTCTCTGCCTGGCCGCCCATCGTCTGGGATGTGAGGAGCCCCTCTGCCTGGCTGCCCAGTCTGGAAAGTGAGGAGCGTCTGCGCCCGGCCGCCATCCCATCTAGGAAGTGAGGAGCGCCTCTTCCCAGCCGCCATCACATCTAGGAAGTGAGGAGCGTCTCTGCCCGGCCGCCCATCGTCTGAGATGTGGGGAGCGCCTCTGCCCCGCCGCCCCATCTGGGATGTGAGGAGCGCCTCTGCCCGGCCGAGACCCCGTCTGGGAGGTGAGGAGCGTCTCTGCCCGGCCGCCCCGTCTGAGAAGTGAGGAGACCCTCTGCCTGGCAACCACCCCGTCTGAGAAGTGAGGAGCCCCTCCGCCCGGCAGCTGCCCCGTCTGAGAAGTGAGGAGCCTCTCCGCCCGGCAGCCACCCCATCTGGGAAGTGAGGAGCGTCTCCGCCCGGCAGCCGCCCCATCCGGGAGGGAGGTGGGGGGTCAGCCCCCCCACCCGGCCAGCCGTGCCGTCCGGGAGGGAGGTGGGGGGGTCAGCCCCCCGCCCGGCCAGCCGCCCCGTCCGGGAGGTGAGGGGCGCCTCTGCCCGGCCGCCCCTACTGGGAAGTGAGGAGCCCCTCAGCCCGGCCACCACCCCGTCTGGGAGGTGTGCCCAACAGCTCATTGAGAACGGGCCAGGATGACAATGGCGGCTTTGTGGAATAGAAAGGCGGGAAAGGTGGGGAAAAGATGGAGAAATCGGATGGTTGCCGTGTCTGTGTAGAAAGAAGTAGACATGGGAGACTTTTCATTTTGTTCTGCACTAAGAAAAATTCTTCTGCCTTGGGATCCTGTTGATCTGTGACCTTACCCCAACCCTGTGCTCTCTGAAACATGTGCTGTGTCCACTCAGGGTTAAATGGATTAAGGGCGGTGCAAGATGTGCTTTGTTAAACAGATGCTTGAAGGCAGCATGCTCGTTAAGAGTCATCACCAATCCCTAATCTCAAGTAATCAGGGACACAAACACTGCGGAAGGCCGCAGGGTCCTCTGCCTAGGAAAACAAAGGTTCACTTGTTTATCTGCTGACCTTCCCTCCACTATTGTCCCATGACCCTGCCAAATCCCCCTCTGTGAGAAACACCCAAGAATTATCAATAAAAAAATAAATTAAAAAAAAAAAAAAAAAAAGAGTATGAATGCTGAGGCCGGGTGCAGTGGCTCACGCTTGTAATCCCAGCACTTTGGGAGGCTGAGGTGGGCAGAACACCTGAGGTTGGGAGTTTGAGACCAGTCTGGCCAACATGGTGAAAACCCGTCTCTACTAAAAACACAAAAATTAGCCAGGTGTGGTGGTGCATGCCTGTAATCCCAGCTACTTGGGAGGCTGAGGCATGAGAATTGCTTGAACCTGGTAGGCAGAGGTTGCGGTGAGCTGAAATGGCGCCACCGCACTCCAGCCTGGGCAACAGAGTGAGACTCTGTCTCAAAAAAAAAAAAAGTATATGGATGCTGATGACATGAGATGGTTAGGACAGAAGATTTCTCATCCCGTAAGCAACCTGATAACCTCGTACCAGCCAAATGGAAGGCCACAGGAGCTTTGCATTTGCTGCTCCCTTCCCCTAGTTCTTCATGTCTCCTATTCCTGGTAATTGTCATAAAACCTAGGAAGAGGAACTGAAAGCTTGCTTTCAAACAGGTGGAGTCCTTTAAGAAAAAGAATACAACCGGGCACGGTGGCTCACGCCTGTAATCCCAGCACTTTGGGAGGCCGAGGCAGGTGGATCATCTGAGGTCAGGAGTTCGAGACCAGCCTGGCCAACATGGTGAAACCCCATCTCTACTAAAAAATACAAAAATTAGCCAGGCGTGTTGGCAGGCGCCTTAATCCCAGCTACTTGGGAGGCAGAGACAGGAGAATCATTTGAACTCGGGAGGCAGAGGTTGCAGTGAGCCAAGATAAAGCCATTGCACTCAAACCTGGGGGACAAGAGCAAGACTTCTCTCAAAAAAGAAGAGAAAAGAAAAAGAATACAAAAGTATGAATACAAAATTAGGTACAAGTTCTTGGAAAAGTGTTTTGCAAGTAAGGGTTCTTAAATTTTAAGCTTCCTTAGCTTCATGGTAAATATGCCTCTAAGCCTGCCTGAGATTTGGGAAACTTCTTTCTGCCTGCTTTATTTCTGGCCATCAGTCCTTCTGGAAGGCAATGTGGAAAAGGACCAAATTCCACCATATTAATTACTGCTGAATGGGTAGCATAACATCAGAGCAGGAAGCCTGGATCATCACAGAAACCAGCCTTTCACTAGCTCATTAAAGGTCAACTTTGAAATGAGAGAAACAAGTAGAAATAGCAAGAATCTATCCGGAAAACATCCGGGTTATTATGACTATTTTCTCAGCATTATGCTGATTGTTCAGAGGTTGTTTGTACTGTATTATGAAGTGTGGAAAAGAGCCAAGATGATTAGGCCAACCTCTGTTATTTATAAGTTCCCTTGGCAGTAAGATCTCCCTCCTTTTTTTAAAAAAAAAAATTAATTTGCTAGGGATGGAATATCACACCATTTTTAATGAGATGGCCCCTGGCTTGCTATAGTATAGCCAGGGATGACACAGAAGCTATGTTTTCCAGCTATCTTTTTTTTTTTTTGAGATGGAGTCTCGCTCTGTCACCCAGGCTAGATTGCAGTGGCTGATTTTGGCTCACTGCAACCTCGGCCTCCAGGGTTTAAGCAATTCTTCTGTCTCAGCCTCCTGAGTAGCTGGGATTACAGGCGCTGGCCATCACACCCAACTAAATTTCATATTTTTAGTAGAGACAAGGTTTTGCCATGTTGGCCAGGCTGGAAGCTGTCTTTTAAATTGACCTGTGACTATATATCTGATGTGATCTGATTTGTATTTTGAAAAGTTCCCCTAGCTGTTGTGTGGAGAGCTGATAGTGGGGACAAGAGTAAAAGCAGGCAAATGAGTTAAGGGGGTATTGCAGTGGTGTAGGCAGGAGATGATGTGGGTTTAGCGTTGGTAGGTGGGACTTCTGATAAGTGGTTGGATCCTGGATATCTTTTGAAGGGAGAGACAACAGGACTGCTAAAGAATTGAACGTGAGGTGGGTGGGGTGGGGGTTGAGAGATGGGAGGAAAAGAGGATTGAAGGTTGCTTCCTAGAGTTTGGCCTGACCTAGTAGATGAAATTACAGAAAAAAGGAAGATGGCTGGGCGCAGTGGCTCATGCCTGTGATCCCAGCCCTTTGGGAGGCCGAGACGGGAGGATCACTTGAGGTCAGGAGTTCGAGACCAGCCTGGCTAACATGGTAAAACCCCATCTCTACTAAAAATACAAAAAATTAGCTGAGTGTGGTGGCACACGGCTGTAATCCTAGCTACTCGGGAGGCTGAGGTAGGAGAATCGCTTGAACCCAGGAGGTGGAGGTTGCAGTGAGCCAAGATTGTGCCATTTCACTCTAGCCTGGGCGACAAGAGCAAAACTCCATCTCAAAAAAAAAAAAAAAAAAGAGAAAGAATAAAGAAAAATGGAAGATGAGGGTAAACACATGTTTGAAAAAGACAATTGAGAATTCTTTTTTTTTAAAGTGAAATAGTTTACTAAATTGATTGAGTCTAATTCAAGAATTCTTTTTTGATCATGAAATTGACCAGGTCTATGACTCCACAGTCTAAGGGATACCTATTCTAAACAATGTAAATTTTCAAGTCAATCACTAAAATAGTCATCAATTAAATACTAAGCTCTATAAATGCCAATGCAAATGATATATTCACAGAAATAAATTTTATTTCTATTACCCTGACATAGAGAAAGCCATGTCGAGTCAGTGTTATAACTAGGTCAGCATAACCAAATTCCACTTCCTCTGGAGACTTTCAAGGCTTAAAAATAACATATAAGAAGAAGTAAAACTCAAATAACCACTGTATTTGTGGGCCAAGCAATAATATGTAAAATGCAACTCTTGAGGTTTCATTATCAACAGTAGACAATTCTGAATGATAATCTTAAATGGGCAAGTCTGATATATCTTCATTAATCAATTAATTTCTTTATTTTTGTAACTATCTCATATGCAAGCAAAAAATGCACTCAACTCCTTCCAAAAGGAGACAATTCATGTCCGGTTATGGCATTCATCCCTTCCCTGGTTACATTCATTCATTCAACACACATGTAATGAATGCCTACTATGTACCAGCCACAGTGCTAGTTTATGGGAACACAATTATGAGCAAGACAATCTATGAAGCTCGTAGTCTAGTTGGAGAGACAGAAAAGTAAACACACAGAACATTCAATTCAACATCTGCTGACTATATAATCTGAAGATGTTCTTGTAATAAATATTTAGAAATGCTGGCCAGACTGGGCACAGTGGCTCACGTCTGTAATCCCAACACCTGGGGAGGCCAAGGCGGGTGGATCGCCTGAGGTCACGAGTTTGAGACCAGCCTGGCCAATATGGCGAAACCCCTTCTCTACTAAAAATACAAAAATTAGCCGGATGTGGTGGCAGGTGCCTGTAATCTCAGCTACTTGGGAGGCTGAGGCAGGAGAGTTGGTTGAACCTGGGAGGTGGAGGTTGTGGTGAGCTGAGATGGCGCCACTGCACTCCAGCCTGGGCTACAAGAGTGAGACTCCACCTCAAAAAAAAAAAAAAAAAAAAAAAAAAGAAAGAAAGAAAGAAAAAGAAATGCTGGCCAAAATTTAAAGAAATGTAGAATGAAGTTGGAAGAAAAAAAACATCTCCAGGGTCCAGAGTGAAGAAAGAGCTGAAACCAGACAGATAAATAGTTTACTAAAGTGATAGAAACTGATCAACTTAGAGCAGAAGATGTAGCTATGCTGGGGAAGGGCTATAATTCCAACAATCTAAAATATTCTAGGATATACCTAATATGGGAGGGGACTACACAAAGGCATGGATCAAGAGGTGAGAGTCATTTGGTGCTACCTTGAAGGCTGAGTTCCACAACCTACCTGGCAAAGCGCTAAACCAACTGATGTGCTGGCCAATCAATGGCAAGACAATGTGATTGGGTGGGGGATGAGAGAAGTCATAAGTACCATGATCAGTTCCATGAATGAGGACTGTAGCTTCTACCAGTATTCCTTCCTTGCTGTGTCATGGATATTTTTTCTCCTTTATTGAGGTATAACTTACTTATAGTAATATGCAGAAAGTCAGATATATTTTTAAAGTAATTTTCTTTCTCTTTTCTCTTAGAATCGTGTGGTATGGGTTGATGATGGTTAAATTTGTAATTTAGTACACAAATTGTAAACTATAGAGAGGGGTCATGATGGAACTAGGAAAGAAATAAATGAACATGGGTTGTCTCCTTTTAGAAGGAGTTGAGTGTATCTTTTGTTTGCATCTGAGATAATTATGTTAGGCAGAGGCATTTAAAAAATTGTATATGGCATTTTAAAAAGTGGGAAGACGTTGCTTGGCAACCCATGGTTGGAATGCAGAGGACATCTGTTGTTTTTCTCTATCAGCATTCTACCTCTTTCTCTGGAGAACACCCCCTCCCCCACTACACACTGGTTTGGTGGGGCTGTCAATCATTGTTCAATGCCCTTCCTTAGTCAGGGGATGATACTCAATCCCAGCTAGATCAACTGGAAGTGATTTCTCTGGAAGAAAATTTTAGTGGGAGACAGGAAGACAGAAAACTTGAAGCTGATTCATTTTCGGGCAGTATCCTGAAGGGATTTCCTATGAGTTTCTGTTACCTGCATGTCCAGAACTGCCTTGATTCCTGTATATCTTGATACTTGGCTGTTCGCACGGTTCTTTTTTTTTTTTCCAAATTGTCTTTTGACTCTGTGAATTTTCACATTTTCTTTCAATAAATTCCTTTATGTTCTTTTTTAAGTTAATCAGAGTTGGCTTCTGTTGCTTGTGGCCAAATAATTTTAATTAGTACTTAATCTCTTGGCATTAGCTCAATTAAGAGGGTCCCATTGCAAAGAGGACCCAAAAATGAGATAATATTTAGTGATTCAGTATTTTCAACAAATGCATATTGCAATTTTCTCCTCAGGCATAACTCCACAGTATCTGAATTGGAAAAGGTTTTAGAAAGGGTACCAGTAATTCCTGACACATTGTATTCAGGACCACTATCTGAGGTATGGCCTCACAGGTTTTGCACTACAAAAAACTCCTGGAAGTGAAACTTACACAGGTTATGGTGTGAATGGTGCTATTGGTACTGTGCAGTGAAGTGTCCTGTTACATTCAGTCCCTATTGCTGAATTTGGCTTTTTGTGCTAGCCTCATGCAGCTTCCTCCTCTTGAATTTTCTCTCAAACCCACAGTTGAGTTCCCTGCAATCAGTCAGGGCTGTACCAGCCCATCAGATCAATTTGTATGTGTCTGAATCAGATGGTGGACAGAGATCAAGACTTTGTTTCTCAAGAAGTTCCTAGAAAATCAGTGGATATACTGAATGTAGAAAATCAGTGGATACACTGAATGTTTGTGTACTTCCCAAATTCATATGTTGAAACGGTAACCCACAGTGGCGGTATATGGAGATGAGGCCTCTAAGGAAGTAACTAAGGTTAAATGAAGTCATAAGTATGGGGCCCTATCTGATAGGATTAGTGTCCTTATAAGAGACACTAGAGGACTACCTCCACCCCTATTCATTCATGCATCGAGGAATGGCCATGTAAGAACATAAAGGTGGTTGTCTGCAAGCCAGAAAATGAGCCCCTACCAGGAACAAAATTGGTTGGCACCTTGATCTCAGGGTTTCAAGCCTCTAGAACTATAGGACAATACCTTTCTGTTGTTTAAGCCGTTCATTCTGCATTATTTTCTTATGGCAGCTTAAGCAGGCTAGACAGATTTAAATAGATATGTAGAGGTGGAGAGAAGGGTATTATTGGATTCACTCATCAAAAGCACTGACTCTGAAGTTATGTTCAATCTAGCCATCTTGCTACATAAAGAAGTGGAAATTAATTGATTGGGCATTTGTCGAGGGAAGGATAGACAGATGAATAAAAGATATGGGACAGGAAAGAACTGAATTTTGCTGTATTTTATGTTTTCTTTAACATATAATCCATTAATATCTTGTTATTGAAGCAAGGTAATTATTACACCACCAGCACCACACACACATACATAAACACATGAGCGTTAAAGTCATTAGGAAAATGCAAATTAAAACCACAATGAAATGTCACCCCACACCCACTAGGATGGCTACAATTTAAAAAAAAAAAAACAGACAATAACAAGTGTTGGAGAGATTGTGGAGAAATTGAAACCCCCATACGTTGATGGTAGGGATGTAAAATGGTGCAGCCACTGTGGAAAATAGTTGGCACTTCCTCAAAATGTTAAACATAGAATTTCCATAAGGCCCATACGACCCAGTCATTCTTTATTATTATTTTATTATTCTTATTTTTTTGAGACAGAATTTCCCTCTGTCGCCCAGGCTGGAGCGCAGTGATGTGATCTCGGCTCACTGCAACCTCTGCCACCCAGAGGTTCAAGCAATTCTCATGCCTCAGCCCCCCATGTAGCCAGGATTTCAGGCAAGCACCACTATGCCCAGCTAATTTTAGTATTTTTAGTAGAGATGGGGTTTTGCATGTTGGCCAGGCTGGTCTTGAACGCTTGAGCTCAAGTGATCCGCCCACCTCGGCCCCCCAAAGGGTGGGATTACAGACATGAGCCACTGCCCCGGCCGTGACCCAGTCATTTTACTCCCAGGTGTATACTCAAGAAAATTGAAAACAAATGTTCATACAAAAGCTTATATACCATATTTGCAAACTATTCATCCAACAAGGGATTAATATCCAGAATATACGAGGAACTCAAACAACTCAACCATAAAAAATAAATAATCCCATTAAAAAGTGGGCTAAGGATATAAATAGATATTTCAAAAGAAGACATACAAATGACCAACAGGTATTTGAAATAAATGCTCAGCATCACTAAACATCAAGGAAATGCAAATCAAAACCACAATGAGATATCATTGTACCCAAAAAGGAACGATTGTCATCATGATTATGATTATTATTGTTATTCTAAGAGACAGGCTCTTGCTCCATTGCCCAGGCTAGAGTGCAATGGAATGACCATAGCTCACTGTAGCCTTTAACTCCTGAGTTCAAGCAATCCTCCCACCTCAGCCGCCCCAGTAGCTAGGACTACAGGCATGCACTACCACACCTGGCCAATATTTTAAAAATTTTTCTAGAGATGGGATCTTGCTATGTTGCCCAGCTGCTCTCCAACTTTTGGCCTCAAGTGATCCTCCTGCCTCAGCCTCCCAGAGCACTGGGATTACAGGCTTGAGCCACCTCACCCGGCTGAGACTCCATCTCTACAAAAACATTAAAAATTAGCCAGGTGTGCATATATACACCATGGAATACTATGCAGCCATAAAAAGGATGAGTTCATGTCCTTTGTAGGGATATGGATGAAGCTGGAAACCATCATTCTCAGCAAACTATCACAAGGACAAAAATCCAAACACCTCATGTTCTCACTCATAGGTGGGAATTGAACAATGAGAACACCTGGACACAGGAAGGGGAACATCACACACTGGGGCCTGTCGTGGGGTGGGGTGAGGGGGGAGGGATAGCATTAGGAGATATACCTAATGTAAATGACGAGTTAATGGGTGCAGCACACCAACATGGCACATGTATACATATGTAACAAACCTGCACATTGTGCACATGTACCCTAGAACTTAAAGTATAATAATAATAAAAAAAATTAGCCAGGTGTGGTGGCTCATGCCTGTAGTCCTAGCTACTTGGGAGGCTAAGGTGGGAGAATCACTTGAGCCAGGGAGGTCAAGGCTGCTGTGAGCTATGATTGTGCCACTGCACTTCAGCCTGGGTGACAGAGCGAGACCCTATCTCAAAAAATAAAATAAAATAAAAAGTAATAGCCATTCTCAGGCATGGTGGCTCACATCTGCAATCCCATGCTTTGAGCTATGATTGTGCCACTGCACTTCAGCCTGGGTGACAGAGCGAGACCCTATCTCAAAAAATAAAATAAAATAAAAAGTAATAGCCATTCTCAGGCATGGTGGCTCACATCTGCAATCCCATGCTTTGGGGGTCCGAAGCAGGAGGATTGCTTGAGGCCAAAAGTTGGAGAGCAGCTGGGCAACATAGCAAGATCCCATCTCTAGAAAAAAATTTTAAAATATTGGCCAGGTGTGGTGGTGCATGCCTGTAGTCCTAACTACTGCGGCGGCTGAGGTGGGAGGATTGCTTGAACTACAGTGAGCTATGGTCATGCCATTGTATTCTAGCCTGGGCAATGGAGCAAGAGCCTGTCTCTTAGAATAACAATAATAATCATAATCATGATGACAATCATTCCTTTTTGGATACAATGATATCTCATTGTGGTTTTGATTTGCATTTCCTTGATGTTTAGTGATGCTGAGCATTTATTTCATATACCTGTTGGTCATTTGTATGTCTTCTTTTGAAATAACTATTTATATCCTTAGCCCACTTTTTAATGGGATTATTTATTTTTTATGGTTGAGTTGTTTGAGTTCCTCGTATATTCTGGATATTAATCCCTTGTTGGATGAATAGTTTGCAAATATGGTATATAAGCTTTTGTATGAACATTTGTTTTCAATTTTCTTGAGTATACACCTGGGAGTAAAATGACTGGGTCACGGCCGGGGCAGTGGCTCATGTCTGTAATCCCACCCTTTGGGGGGCCGAGGTGGGCGGATCACTTGAGCTCAAGCATTCGAGACCAGCCTGGCCAACATGGCAAAACCCCATCTCTACTAAAAATACTAAAATTAGCTGGGCATGGTGGTGCTTGCCTGAAATCCTGGCTACGTGGGGGGCTGAGGCATGAAAATTGCTTGAACCTCTGGGTGGCAGAGGTTGCAGTGAGCCAAGACTGCACCACTGCACTCCAGCCTGGGTGACAGAGGGAAACTCTGTCTCAAAAAAATAAGAATAATAAAATAATAATAAAGAATGACTGGATCATATGGGCCTTATGGAAATTCTATGTTTAACTTTTTGAGGAAGTACCAAACTATTTTCCACAGTGGCTGCACCATTTTACATCCCTACCATCAACGTATGGGGGTTTCAATTTCTCCACAATCTCTCCAACACTTGTTATTGTCTGTTTTTTTTTTTTTAAATTGTAGCCATCCTAGTGGGTGTGGGGTGACATTTCATTGTGGTTTTAATTTGCATTTCCCTAATGACTTTAACGCTCGTGTGTTTATGTATGTGTGTGTGGTGCTGGTGGTGTAATAATTACCTTGCTTCAATAACAGGATATTAATGGATTATATGTTAAAGAAAACATAAAATACAGCAAAAGTCAGTTCTTTCCTGTCCCATATCTTTTATTCATCTGTCTATCCTTCCCTCAACAAATGCCCAATCAATTAATTTCCACTTCTTTATGTAACCAATATTTTTAAAATTTTTGTAGAGATGGGATCTTACTATGTTGCCCAGCTTCTCTTCAACTTTTGGCCTCAAGCGATCCTCCTGCCTCAACCTCCCAAAGCACTGGGATTACAGATGTGAGCCACCATGCCTGAGAATGGCTATTATTTTTTTTTTAATTACAAAAAAAAAGGTTTTTTTTGAAACAGAGTCTCCCTCTGTCTCCCAGGCTGGAGTGCAAAGGTGCAATCTCGGCTCACTGCAGTCTCCACCTCCTGGGCAATTGTCTTGCCTCAGCCTCCTGAGTAGCTGGGATTACAGGCGTGTGCCACCACACCTGGCTAATTTTTTGTATTTTTTAGTAGAGATGGGGTTTCACCATGTTGGTCATGCTGGTCTTGAACTCCTGACCTCATGATCCACCTGACCTCGTGATCCGCCTGCCTCGGCCTCCCAACATGCTGGGATTACAGGCGTGAGCCACCGTGCCCGGCTTTTTTATTTTATTTTATTTTTTGAGATAGGGTCTCGCTCTGTCACCCAGGCTGAAGTGCAGTGGCACAATCATGGCTCACAGCAGCCTTGACCTCCCTAGCTCAAGTGATTCTCCCACCTTAGCCTCCCAAATAGCTGAGACTACAGGTATGAGTCACCACACCTGGCTAATTTTTAATGTTTTTGTAGAGATGGAGTCTTGGCTGGGTGTGGTGGTTCACTCCTGTAATCCCAGCACTTTGGGAGGCCGAAGTGGGCAGATCACCTGAGGTCAGGTGTTCAAGACCAGCCTGGCCAACATGGTGAAACCCCATCTCTACTGAAAATACAAAAAATTAGCCGAGTGTTGTGGCACGTACCTGTAATCCCAGCTACTTGGGAGGCCAAGGCAGGAGAATTGCTTGAACCTGAGAGACGGAAGTTGCAGTAAATTGAGATCACACCATTGCACACCAGGCTGGATGACAGAGTGAGACTCTGTCTCAAAACAACAACAAGAAAAGAGATGGAGTGGCACTGTGTCACCCAGGCTGGTCTCAAAATCCTGGGCTCAGGTGATTCTCTCACCTCAGCCTCCAAATATGCTGGGATTATAGACATTATCCACCTCGTCTGACCCATAATGACTACTATAAAAAGATAAAAGCAACAGATGCTGGCCAAAATAAAGAGAAAAGGGATCTCTTATACACCGTTGGTGGGAATGTAAATTAGTACCACAGTTAATGAAAACAGTATGGAAATTTCTCAAAAAGCTAAAAATATAACTACCATATAATCCAGCAATCACACTACTGGGTATTTATCCAAAGGAAAAGAAATCAGTATATCAAAGGGATACCTGCACTTGCATACTTATTGCAGGACTACTCACAATAGCCAAGATACAGAATCAACCTAGGTGTCCATCAATGGACTAACGGATAAAAAAAATGGCATATATACAAAATGGAATACTATACGGCCATAAAAAAGAATAAAATTGTGTCATTTGCAGGAACATGGGTGGAACTGGAGGTTATTATGTTAAATGAAAGAGACCAGGCATGGAAAGATAGATGCCACATGCTCTCGCTCATATGTGGGAGCTAAAAAATTGGTCTCATAGAGATAGAGAATAGAATGATAGATACTAGAGGCTGGGAGGAGTATGTGGGTGGGAAGGGGGAATAAAGAGATATTGATTAGTGGGTACAAACACACAGTTAGATAGAACAAATAAGTCCCAATATTTAATAGCAGAGTAGGGTGACTGTAGTTAGCAACACTGTATAGTGTATCTCAAAGTAGTTAGAAGAGAGGACTTGAAATGTTATCAACACATAGAAATGATAAATGATAAAAGTCAAAGTGATACATGCCTCCAATACCTTGCCTTGATCATTACATGTTCTTTTTTTTTTTTTTTTTTTTTTTTTGAGATGGAGTCTTGCTCTGTCGCCCAGGCTGGAATGCAGTGTCACGATCTTGGTTCATTGCAACCTCCACCTCCCGGTTGCAAGCGATTCTCCTGCCTCAGCCTCCCCAGTAGCTGGGACTACAGGCGCGTGCCACCACGCCCGGCTAATCAAAACATGTTCTATTTATGTAACAAATACATGTACCCCATAAATACATAAAATATTTTGTATCAATAAAAAGCAAACGATCTTTTTTTTTTTAAATTTTATTTGAGATGGAGTCTGGCTCTGTCGCCCAGGCTGGAGTGCAGTGGCGAGATCTCGGCTCACTGCAAGCTCCGCCTCCCAAGTTCACGCCATTCTCCAGCCTCAGCCTCTCGAGTAGCTGGGACTACAGGCGCCCGCCACCACGCCCGACTCATTTTTTGCATTTTTAGTAGAGACGAGGTTTCACTGTGTTAGTCAGGATGGTCTCGATCTCCTGGCCTCGTCATCCACCCGCCTTGGCCTCCCAAAGTGCTGGGATTACAGGCCTGAGCCACCGCGCCTGGCCTACGATCATTTAAAAAAAAAAAAAAAAAGTCTTGTTAAGAATGTTCAGGTCCCGTGTAGTGGCTCACGCCTGTAATCCCAGCACTTTGACAGGCCGAGGAGGGCGGATCACCTGAGGTCAGGAGTTCAAGACAAGCCCGGCCAACATGGTGAAACCCCGTCTCTACTAAAAATTCAAAAATTAGCCAGGTATGGTGGTATGTGCCTGTAATCCCAGCTACTTGGGAGACTGAGGCAGGAGAATTGCTGGAACCTGGGAGAGGGAGGTTGCAGTGAGCCAAGATTGTGCCACTGCACTGCAGCCTGGGCAACAGCGAGATTCCATCTCAAAAAAAAAAAAAAAAAAAAAGAATGTTCATAGCAGGTTGGGTGCAGTGGCTCACCCCTGTAATTCTAGCACTTTAGGAGGCAGAGGTATGCAGATAACATAGGCCCAGGAGTTCAAACCAGCCTGGCCAACATGGCGAAACCCTGTCTCTACTAAAACTACAAAAATTAGCCAGGCGTGCTGGTGCAAGCCTTTAATCTCAGTTACTCAGGAGGCTGAGGCATGAGAATCACATGAGCCTGGGAGGTGGAGGTTACAGTGAGCCAAGATTGCACCACTGCACTCCAGCCTGGGCAGCAAAGCAAGACTCTGTCTCAAAGAAAATTAAAAATTACGTTAAAAAAAGTTCATAGCAGCATTATTCATAAAACAACCCAAATGTCTATCAACTGATAAATGGATAAACAAAATGTGGTATATTCACAAATAAAATATTATACAGCCAAAAAGAGAGTACTGATATATGCTGCACCATGGACGAACCTTGAAGACATTATGCTTAGTGAAAGAAGCCAAACATGAAAGGCCACCTTTTAATGATTCCACTTGTATGAAATGTACAGAGTAGGCTAACTCATAGAGACAGAAAGTAGATCAGTGCTTGTGGGGTGAGAGGAACAGGGAATGACTGCTAATGGGTATGGAGCTTCTTTTTGGGGTAATGAAAAATTTCTGGAATTTGATAGTGGTGATATTTGCACAACCTTGTAAATATACTAAAAACCACTGAATTGTACGCTGAAAAGGGTGAATTTTATAGTATGTGAGTTATATTTCAATTAAAAAACCCAGAAATGATAGCAAACTGATTTCTATATTTATAGACCTTGGGCAACAAGCGTTTTGGTAACACCACCCAGCTTTGCATTTTCCACCAAAATGTTAAGCAAAAGAATTACTCAGAGGACAAGGAGAAAAAGCTGGCTATAAATTTTGAAACATAATTTTTAAAAATCTATATTGCATACAATGCTGATTATAAATATGCAATGTAAAGCTCTGCAAAATGCAAACAGTATCTAAATGTAAAATGTAGAAAGTTGCAGTTTCCTATAACCCTATTGTAGGGATTAATGTAATGCTAGCAGTTTAACAGATCAATCCTAACATCTCAAATGCCTAATAAGATAAGATTTTATCTTTTACCAGTGAAATCTAAAACAGAATTTTGCCCCTATCAACATGAAAGAATCAAAAGGATCAGCACCCATTTTTAAAGAGTTTATTCAGGCTGGGCACAGTGGCTCACACCAGTAATTCCAGCACTTTGGCAGACCAAGAAGGAGAATTGCTTAAAGCCAGGAGTTCAAGACTAGACTGGGCATCAAAGTGAGACTCTGTTTCTATTAAAAAAATTTTTTTAAGGCGTTTATTCCGTGAAAATGGGGTCAGTGAAATGGGGTCCGTGCTCTGATGTCAAAAGTTAAGGTCTTGTTTATAAAGGAAGAAAACAAAGAAATTTAACAGGATTATTTCTTATACAAAGCTGGTTTATGAATTAAAACAATTCAATTAGTTAATTTGTTTTCTTTTCCTTGTGGCTTGGTTTCATTTATTTTCTAATTTAAAAGAGTATATAATGTAACAGTCATGAAGGCTTTGTGTGAGAGAGGTAGGAAGGAAGTTAATCTGCAATGAAGATCAGCAGTGAAGTGGGACTAAAGGGAAGTACCCTTTAGTCATTTACAACATTTTACAAAATTATGTAGATAAGGAAGGAGGCTAATCTATAATCAGAGAAAAAATGTTTACAGTTTCCTAGGTTACAGCTGCCTGTCACATGACTCAAGTCTCATAAACACATTTCTTTAAAGCTCAAAATAATTTAATGTTCCAACAGCTTAGATTTTTTTCTTTTTTTTTTTTTTTTTGAGGCAGAGTCTTGCTCTCTTGCCCAGGCTAGCATGCAGTGGTGCAGTCTTGGCTCACTGCAACTTCCGCCTCCTGGGCTTAAGTGTTTCTCGTGCCCTAGCCTCCCAAGTAGCTGGGGCCACAGGCGTATGCCACCATGCCCGGCTAATTTTTTGTATTTTTAGTAGCGACGGGGTTTCACCCTGTTGGCCAGGCTGGTCTCGAACTCCTGACCTCAAATGATCCACCTGCCTTGGTTTCCCAAAGTGCTGGGGTTACAGGCGTGAGCCACTGCACCTGGCCCAATAGCTTAGATTTTGAATTACTTATTTTCACACCACTGATCAGTAAATTGCTCTTCTCCAAGCAATGATTCAGAGACCCAAGGTCATTCTATCTTCTGTCTTCATCTTGAACACACGACATTCAGAGTTGCCACAGAAGGAGAAAGAGCATGGAGAACTGTCCACGATTCCATTGGCCAGATCTCAGGCACACGGCCATAGTTATCTGCAAGAGAGACTGAGAAATGTAAGCTGATGAGTGGCCAGGCGGAAGAGGAAACAGATTTGTTGAACTTTTGGCCAGTCTCTGCCACACATTTCTCACCAACAACTCTGTCAATAGTTTATAGCAAAGTCCTCCACCTTTTTTTGGTATGCATATACTAATATATAATAACATTTTTAGGGAATCATGCTATGTATATTGGATACTATGGACTGGGTAGGCTGATTCAGATATGACCTGCGCTTATTTAGTCATCATCCATATACATTCAGAATTTAGAGTATACTGATTCAAACCTTGGTAACCTCAAGCGGGCATTACACATTGTTATTCAGATGTTTCTCATACTGACTCAGATGCTACTCAGCACGCTCTTACATGTAAGCCTGTGGGGATGGCCAGTCCCAAGTCCGAAGAATTGAGGAGGGTTTCATAGCTCTGCTGAGGTTTATCTCCCTATGAAGTTGCTTTCTTTACTCCTTCAAAAAAAATTCGTATTATCTGGCTTTTTATATTATATGTTGTTTTAATTTTAACCTCAGATGTGGTTAATTGTTCTCTGCATTTCATGGCACATTACTGTCATTGGTCCATGCAATTCTTCTTCCACTTCTCCCCCTGTCTCATATATGTGTATATATGAGAATTGGGCTATGGAATGAAGGGAATATATATATATACACACACACACATGCACATACAGAAAATAACTGAAACCAAGCCATGAGGAAAAGAAAACAAATTAATTGTTTTAATTCACAAACCAGCTTTGTATGAAAAATAAACCTGTTAAATTTCTTATGTGTATGTGTGTATATATGTACACACACACACGCGTGCACACGTGCACGCACAAACACACACACATATTCCCTTTCATTCCATAGCCCACTTCCTTTCTCTCCCGATAGACAACCACTATAATGTGTTTAATATGTATCTTGGTATTTGTGTCTTGCAAAACATATTTTACGTGCAAATATTTTAAATTTAATATTTAATAAATATTTAAATTTAATAAATAAAGTGACTTGTGTTTATTATGTATTCTGTTATCACTTTTTAAAATCAGCACTGTTTTTAAGTTCAAGATCTATCCATGTTGTTAAGTGTACATCTAATTCATTGGTTCCAATTGCTGTATAGTACTTCATGGTGTACCTTCAACACATTTTATAGATTTATTCTCTAAGTGATGAAAATCCAAATTGTTTCCACAATTATTGCTCCTCCAAAACACAAATGATGCTTCAATGAAGATTCTAGTTCTTTTCTTTCTTTCTTTCTTTCTTTTTTTTTTAGATGGAATTTTGCTCTTTTCTGCCCAGGCTGGAGTGCAATGGCATGATCTTGGCTCACTGCAACCTCTGCCTCCTGGGTTCAAGTGATTCTCCTGTCTTAGCCTCCCGAATAGCTGGGATTACATGTGCATGCCACCAAGCCTGGCTAATTTTGTACTTTTAGTAGAGATGGGGTTTCACCATGTTGGCCAGGCTCGTCTCAAACTCCTGACCTCAGGTCATCCATCTGCCTCAGCCTCCCAAAGTGCTGGGATTACAGGATTCTAGTTCATGAACTTTTATGGACTTGGGTAGGAATTTCATTGAGATACTGACTCGGAAGCCGATTTGCTTGATCATTAAGTATACAGACACACTATTTGACTATGTACCACCATGCTGCCCTCTAAAGTGGTTGCACCAGTCTTCATGTCCACCATGGAGTTCCTCTTTCCCCAACAAATATCACTGTCATATCTCTAATTTTTGCTATCAGATTAGATTATTAATTTACATTTTTCTGATTGTAATTGCATTTAAGCATCTCATCACTTGCTTACTATCCTTCTGCATTTCCTCTCCTGTGTATTGCCTACTCATAAATCTTTCCATTTTTTTTCTTTTTTGTAATTGGGGTTGCTCTATTTTTCTGCTCTATTATTGGGGTTGATATGCAGGACTTCCTTTTCTTTCCTAGGTCAGGGACCAGGAAGCTATGGCCCCCTAGATCAAATCTGGCCTGCCTCCAGTTTCTATAAATCAAGTTGTATTACAGCACAATCACACCCAGCCGGGCTCAGTGGTTCATGCCTGTAATCCCAGCACTTTGGGAGGCTGAGGCAGGAGACTCACTTGAACCCAGGAGGTGGAGGTTGCAGTAAGCTGAGATCACACCACTGCACTCTAGCCTGGGTGACAGAGTGAGACTCTGTCTCAAAAAAAAAAAAACAAAAAGAAAACACAAAAATTAGCTGAGCATGGTGGTGTGCACCTGTAATCCCAGCTACTGGGGAGGCTGAGGCAAGAGAATCACTTGAACCTGGGATGAAGAGGTTGCAGTGAGCCGAGATCGCACCACTGCACTCCAGCCTGGGTGACGTGGCAAGGCTCTGTCTCAAAAAAAAAAAAAGAAATGAAAAAAAAGAACATATTCACACCCATTCACTTACTTATTGCCTATGGCTGCCTTCCTGCTACAACAGTAAAGTGGAGTAGCTGTGTCAGAGACTATCTGGACCACAAAGCCAGCCTGAAATATTTACTGGGTTTTTTTATTCTTTATTTTTCTATTTACTGTTTGTTTCTTTACAGAAAAAGTTTGCTAAATTCTGCTCTAGATAATAATCCTTTATTGATATTATAAATGGCAAGTATCTTTCGCCAGTTCATCATCTATCTTTTAACTTTGTTCACATAGTCCTTCAATGAACCAAAAATCTTAATTTCCTTTTTTTGATTTTCAGTTAACCAGCAGTTTTATCTTGATTTCTATATAATCAAATTCATTAATTTTTTACCTTGAGTTATACTTTTTTAAGTTTTAAAAAAGTTTATTCCCTGTCCCTAGGTTATAAAAATATCTTCCTACTTTTTTCTATTAAATTCATAATTTTACCTTTTATGTTTAGGTCTTTAAGCCATTTGGAGTTCACTTATATAGGTGGTGTTAGATAGGGATCTGGTATTATTTTTCTCCATATAGTGATCCTATTTATCAAACGCTTTCTTATTATACAATCCAATCAGCCTTTTTGCCAGTTTTCAATGTATTGCCTTACAGTTCCAAATCTACCCTTCATTGCCTGCTCAGCAAAAATCAAGATGGACCCTTTAAATATTTCTCCTTTGCCAGGGGCATGATACAAAGCTTTGTCAGTAAGACCGTGCTAAAGGGACACAGAGGAAAATGAGTTTCTCCTCTTCTATCTTTCCATCTCGTCAGGATTTTGCAGTATGTGGGATTGCAGGATTTTGCAGTTTCTGTGGCACTGAGCTAGTACCACATGGCTTCTCTAGACCTGCCTCCTACAGCACATAGCAGCCAGCATCGCTCAGTGTCCTCCAACTCCCCCTGGCTTCCTCTTGGGTAGATTTCTAGCAAATTTCACTGATATGACACCTTAGCAACTTCTCCACCATCCAGTGAAGAGGTACTCCCTCTGCAACACGTTTTGGAGCACAGCCCTGAGAGTGGGGGAGGGGGGACTCTTCTTTGGGCATTCTATTTTGTTATAGTTAATAGTCCTTTGTAGCCATGTGTGGTAGCTCACGCCTGTAATCCTAGCACTTTGGGAGGCCGAGGTGGGCAGATCACCTGAGGTCAGGAGTTTGAGACCAGCCTGGCCAACATGGTGAAATCTTGTCTCTACTAAAAATACTAAAATTAGCTGGGGGTGGTGGCGCATACCTGTAATCCCAACTATATGGGAGGCTGAGGCAGGAAAATCATTGGAGCCTGGGAGGTGGAGGCTGCAGTGAGCCAAAATCGCTCCACTACACTCCAGCCTGAGTGGCAGAGCAAGACTCCATCTCAAAAAAAAAAAAAAAAAAAAGTTCTTTGTATTAAACTTTCCTGTTCAAACTTTTTTTTTTTTTTGAGACGGAGTTTCACTCTTTTGTCCAGGCTGGAGTGCAGTGGCGTGATCTCAGCTCACTGCAACCTCTGCCTTTCAGTTTCAAGCAATTCTCCTGCCTTGGCCTCCTGAGTAGCTGGGATTACAGGCGCCTGCCACCATGCCCAGCTAATTTTTGTATTTTTAGTAAAGATGGGGTTTTACTCTGTTGGCCAGGCTGGTCTCAAACTCCTGAAATTGTGATCTGCCCACCTCAGCCTCCCAAAGTGCTGGGATTACAGGCGTGAGCCACCACGCCCGGCCCTTCCTGTTCAAATTACTGTATGGTTTCTGTCTCCTGGTTGCACCTTAACTGACATATTTTCCTGGTTGGACTCTGAGTCATATTCTCATTGATTTGTAGTATACTTTAACTGTATATTAAATTCCCATATTTCTACATGGGTCTATGTCTGAGATCTCTATTTTGTTCTATTGGCCTACTGGCCTAATTTAATCTTTAATGAGATAATAAGTGCAAAATATCTACCCATTACCTAGCACATAGTAGTTACTCATTGAATGGTAGTGATAATTAACATGATAGAGACTACTTATTTTTGCCCTCACAAAGTACCCATCTAGGACCAATAATCTGGCTTTTGTTTAATTTTGTGGGGTTGGAGAAGGGAGGCAGATTCAGTAGGGAGAGATGACGTTCTTGGTTCAATCAACTTATGAATGAATGAAAATCCAGAAATTGCTGGATTTTTCTGGCTTTAAGCCACTGCTTTAGCCATCACCCATAATTCACATTCATGTAGGCATTTACTTCTACAATGATTCTAATAGATCTATTCTATAATTTTTGAATTTTCTTGGGCATAATTAGAAATCATAAACCTATACAATGCAGTCTCATAGAGAAACTCTAGCAAATGCTCCAAGTGTACACAGTACTATTTTTTTTTTACATTTTTGTTCCAAAAGAGAAGTTTCTGTCATAGATTAACCATAAATTATAAAACAAAATCTAAACAAGTAGTAAAACATCTCCCATTATTTTATTTTATTTTATTTTATTTTATTTTATTTTATTTTTTGAGATGAAGTCTGGCTCTGTCGCCCAGGCTGGAGTGCAGTGGCACAATCTCAGCTCACTGCAACCTCCACCTCCCGGTTCAAGTGATTCTTCTGCCTCAGCCTCCTGAGTAGCTGGGATTACAGGCACCTGCCACCATTCCCAGCTAATTTTTTTGTAATTTTAGTAGAGATGGGGTTTCACCATGATGGCCAGGCTGGTCTTGAACTCCTGACCTCAAGTGATCCGCCTGCCTCAGCCTCCCAAAGTGCTGGGATTACAGGAATGAGCCATCACATCCAGCCTGTCTCCCATTCTTAGATGGGAAGATTTAATATGTCCAGTCTACTGAAATTAATACATTTAATACAATCCTAGTTATAAACGTGGTAACTTTTGTGAAGTGGATAAAATAATCTCTAAATTGATGATGTAGATTGTCACCAGCTATAAACATCACCAATTTCTCCCCTCTGATGTGGAGTTACCCTTCTTGCATACGGGCTGGACTTAGTGAATGCTAACTTGCTTAATCAATAGAATGCAGAGAGCCTATGCAACACAGTGAGACTCCAACTCTATAAAAAATGTTTGTTTTTTTTAATTAGCCACACATAGTAGTGCACCCCTGTAGTCCCAGCTGCTTGGGAGGCTGAGGTGGAAGACCACTTGAGCCCAGGAGGTGGAGGCTGCAGTGAGTCATGATCGTGCTACTGCATTTCAGCCTGGGCAGCAGAGAAAGACCCTGCTTCAAAAAAAAAAAAAATACAGAGGAAGAGTCATTCTGAAACGTCCAAGTTTAGATAACAAGAAACATTGTAACTTCCAGCTGGATCTCTTGAAATGTTTGCTCTTGAGACACTCCTCAGAAACCCACACACTAGAATGTGAGAATCCTAAGCCACATGGACAGGCTGCCTGTTGGCACTCTGATTGACAGTCCTAACTAAGCTCCCAGCAGAGAACCAGCATCAACTTCGAGTTATGTGAATGAGCCATTCTGGATATCCAGCCCAGTGAAGCTTTCAGATGGCTCCAGCCCCAGCCACCTTCAAATGCTAATCACATGAGACCCCAAGTGAGGACTGCTCAGCTGACTTCAGTCAACCCACTGAGCATGAGAGATAATAAATCATTGTTTTAAGTCACGAAGTTGGGTATAGATTGTTATTATAATAGTATTAGGTTGGTGCAAAAGTTATTGCGGGTTTTGCCGTTAAAAGTAATGACAAAAACCTGCCGATGCTGTGGCTCACACCTGTAATCCCAGCATTTTGGGAGGCCAAGACGGGTGGATCACCTGAGGTCAGGAGTTCAAGACCAGCCTGGCCAACATGGTGAAACCCTGTCTCTACTAAAAATATAAAAATTAGCTGGGCATGGTTGGGGGGCATGTGTAATTCCAGTTACTTGGGAGGCTGAGGCAGGAGAATTGCTTGAACCCTGGAGGTGGAGGTTGCAGTGGGCCGAGATTACACCACTGCACTCCAACCTGGGCCAAAGAACGAGACTCTGTCTCAAAAATAATAATAATAATAATAAACTAATGACAAAACCCACAATTACTTTTGCACCAAGGTAATAATAGGTAACTGGAATAGAAATTGATACAAGTAGTGTTATGCTGCTGTGACAAAAACCTAAAACATGGGACAGTGACCTAGGACCAGGTAGTTGTTGGAAGCTGAAGGGCCTTAGGAGACTGTTAGTGAAGATTTGAAGGAAACTGTTATTGGAGGAAATTGTTATTGGAGGCTGGAGAAAAAGCAACTATTTTTATGTAGTAGCAAAATGTTTTGAAGAATGTCACCTGTGGTAAAACATAAAATAGAAAGTATACTTAATGTACTGGTGAATTTGGCTAAGGAGATTTCTAGGTGGAATGTTCAAAGTGCCGACTGGTGTCTTTTAGCAGTCAATGGTAAGGTACAAGAAGAGAAAGATAATCTAACAAGGAAATGATTCTGCTTTCTAGAAGAATTTAGAGGGTATATAAAGTGCTCAGGACAATCTTTTTAGCCATCAAAAGTTTTTCAAAGGGGCAGGGCACGGTGGCTCTCGCCTGTAATCCCAGCACTTTGGGGGACTAAGGCGGGGGGATTCACGTGGTCAGAAGATGGAGACCATCCTGGCTAATACGGTGAAAACCCATCTCTACTAAAAATACAAAAATTAGCCAGGCATGGTGGTATGTGCCTGTAATCTCAGCTACTCAGGAGGCTGAGGCAGGAGAATCGCTTGAACCCGGGAGGCAGAGGTTGCAGTGAGCTGAGATCCTGCCACTGCACTCCAGCCTGGGTGACAGAGCGAGACTCCATCTAAAAAATAAATAAATAAAAATTTAAAATAAAATAGAAGTTTTTCAAAGGAAGAACAGTATTTTTTTTTTTTTTTTTTTTTTTTTTTTGAGACGGAGTCTCGCTCTGTCGCCCAGGCCGGACTGCGGACTGCAGTGGCGCAATCTCGGCTCACTGCAAGCTCTGCTTCCCGGGTTCACGCCATTCTCCTGCCTCAGCCTCCCGAGTAGCTGGGACTACAGGCGCCCGCCACCGCGCCCGGCTAATTTTTTTTTGTATTTTTAGTAGAGACGGGGTTTCACCTTGTTAGCCAGGATGGTCTCAATCTCCTGACCTCATGATCCACCCGCCTCGGCCTCCCAAAGTGCTGGGATTACAGGCGTGAGCCACCGCGCCCGGCCTGGAAGAACAGTATTAAGATGAAGTCAAGAGTGCAGCTGTAAGACTTTTTAAGACTTTAGAAAGTTTTAAGTTTTAAGCATCTGTTAGATGTTCTCAAGTAAATGAGGGGCTACTAAGAATGTTAGAATGCTTCATAGACTCTTTTTCTACTCTTTTAAGAATCTTGGTCAGGTGTGGTGGCTCACGCCTGTAATCCCAGCACTTTGAGAGGCCGAGACAGGCGGATCACCTGAGGTCAGGAGTTCAGGACCAGCCTGGCCAATATAATGAAACCCTATCTCTACTAAAAATACAAAAATTAGCTGGGCATGGTGGCAGGAGCTAACTACATGGGGGTGCCTGTGATCCCAGCTACTTGGGAGGCTGAGGCAGAAGAATCACTTGAACCCGGGAGGAAGAGGTTGCAGTGAGCTGAGGTCGCGCTATTGCACTCCAGCCTAGGAGACAAGAGTAAGACTCCATCTCAAAAAAAAAAAAAAAGAATATTAAGGATGTTTCCTATAGCACACTGAATCTCAGACTATGGCAGAGAAGGACCTATCTTGAAAACATTTGTGACTTTGGCTTTCAAGAACTCAAATAAGATTCATAGGAAACTCATAATAATTTAAGAGAATTGCATATGTAGAAGCACCATCAGCTTCAACTAAAAAGAATAGTTTAAAATGAAAAAAAACCCTTGGAACTCAGAACTTCCTATGGGCAAGAAGCAGGCTTCAAAAGCTACACAGCAGCAAATATAAGACTTTTTTTCTGGAAACGGAATGATGATTCAAAGTGAAGAGCCAAGAGTCCAGAAGGCAGAACTCAGAACCACAGAGAATCACTCCCAAGGAGCAGGATTGGGTCCCAGTTAAGGACATGGAAATGTGCATTCTGAAATCTGGGATTTCAGAATTACTATGGAACACTGACTGTTATGTGCCTCCTGTTCATCCCTTTTGAATGGGAGCATTTATTGCAGTTTTCCTATCCTCATATGACTATTGGATGTTGTGTTTGTGTTACAGATGACTTGACTGTATTTCACAGGTCTTCATATCAAGAGGAACCCACACTCAAGGAAGTACGCCTGAAGAGCTTCATCTGCAGCTAGACCTCATTTAGGTAATGAGACTGTGAACTTCAAGCTGATACCATGTGGGATGAGACTTTGGGGGTCCTGGGAGGAGAGTGAGTATATTTTGCACATGGAATGGACGTGAATGGTGTTGGCCAGAGGGCAGGCTGCGGTAGACAGTCTTTAAATATGTATATCATCAGTGTCTGCTGTACTTGTAGTATGTCCTCTTTTTTACTTCTTTTTTTTTTGTACTTTTCTTCATCATTTCACCAGCGGTTTGTCTATTTTATTACTTTTCTCAAAGAACCAACATTTGGTTATGTCAATCTCTTTTATCACATATATTTGTTTTCTGCTTAGTTTCTCCTGTTGTTTTTTCTCCTCTCATTTTTATTATCTCATTACTTCTACTTTCTTTCCTTTTTTTTTTTTTTTGTTTTATTTATTTATTTAGAGATGGGGTCTTGCTCTGTTGCCAGGCTAGAGTGCAGTGACGTGATGACGGCTCGCTTCAGACTTGATCTCCTGGGCTCAAGTGATCCTCTTGCTTCAGTCTCCTAAGTAGCAAAGACTGAGACACCATGCCTGGCTAATTTTTAAATTTTTTTCTAGAGATTGGGGGTCTCGCTATGCTGCCCAGGCTGGTCTCGAACTCCTGGCCTCAAGCAGTTCTCCTGCCTTGGCCTCCAAAGTGGTGAGATTACAGGTGTGAGCCACTATGCCTGGCCACTTCTGCTTTCTTTGTTGATTTTTGTCTAACATCTTGACTTTAAAGCTTAGCTCTTTAAATTCCAGCCTATCTTTTTTTCTAATATAAGCACTTAAGGCTATGCATTTCTCCTTAAGTACATCCTATAAATTTCAATATAGCACTCTTAAAATCATTCAGTTCTAAGTATTTTCTGATACTTTCTTGTATGGTGTCTTCTTTGATCAGTTTAGCAGTAACTATATTTAAAGTTTTTCCAACATACAGGGTATTTTAAGGTGTTGCTGTTACTGTTCTTACTGTCCTCCAGTTATAATGAGACACCCAATGCGGTAAGTATACTGATTCTTTGGTGTTTGAGACTCGTTTTGTAACCTGGAGCATGGTCAATATTTATAAAAGCTCCATGGAAATTCTTGACAAAAATATATGTACTCTAATATTGGCTAACATTTTCTAAGTATAACCTATTAAGTCAAACCTGTTTTGTTTGTTTGTTTTGTTTTGTTTTAAACTGCTTCCCTGTCTTGGACCTGTCTGTCAGAATTCTATACTATCTGTGACATCTTTGGCAACAGTAACCCAATTTTTCCTTTCTTTATTAATGTGACATGAGATATTTGAAAATTCTATGATACATGTAGTATGTTTCATATTAAACTGAATTTGGGGGAGTTTTACACTTAATAGTTTGTCAATATTTTAGGATATTGGTACTTGATATCCTCTTTATATGAACAAATTGACTCTAAATTTTAAGCTGGAAAGCCATTGCAAAATCATGTAGAAAATAGGCTGGGTGCAGTGGCTCATGCCTGTAATCCCAGCACTTTGGGAGGCCAAGGCAGGTGGAACGCCTGAGGTGAGGAGTTCAAGACCAGCCTGGCTAGCATGGTGAAACCCCCATCGCTACTAAAAATACAAAAATTAGCTGGGTGTGGTGGTGCATGCCTATAATCCCAGCTCAGTCACTGTAGTTAAACTCCATTGGTTTGGTCTGTTAGGCTGAGTGCAGGAGCCTAGTCCAAATCAATGGCCTCCTGTAAATTTTAATTAATTAATTTATTTATTGAGATGGAGTCTCACTCTGTTGCCCAGGCTGGAGTGCAGTGGTGCAGTCTCAGCTCACTGCAACCTCTGTCCCCCAGGTTCAAGCAATTCTCGTGTCTCAGCCTCCTGAGTAGCTGGGATTACAGGTGCCTGCCACCACGCCCGGCTAATTTTTTTATTTTCAGTAGAGACAGGGTTTCATCATATTGGCCAGGGTGGTCTTGAACTCCTGACCTCAGGTGATCCACCTGTCTCAGCCTCCCAAAGTGCTGGGATTACAGGCGTGAGCCACCATGCCACACCTCAATGTCCTTCCAGCCTCAGTCAGCCAGGTGGTTTCAAAGCCAATTCCACATTTTAGGCTTTCATTATGGTAGCACCCATACCAAACTTTTTCTTAGAAACAGCTAAAAGCTGCATAAATTTGAGTCCTCTCACAAGTTCAAGGCAGATAGTTACTCAAGAGATTGAGGCTGAGGACGGGAGGCGGCTTGAGCCCAGGAGTTCGAGGTTACAATGAGATATAATTGAGCCACTGCACTCCAGCCTGGGTGACAGAGTAAGGCTCTGCCTCTAAAAAAAGAAAAGAAAAAAGTTCAAGTGGAAAATGGCAGTGAAAAGATAAGAAGCAGCAGGAGTAGACAGGGAGAATCTTCAGGCCATGGTGCAGGACTGACACCCGTGAGAGGAGAGAAGGAAAGAAGGAGGATTGGGTAGGAAGAGGCTCCGAGTGTTAGTGCAGCTCTGAAAAAACTCTTGGCCAGGCTGATTGCCCAGTGAAGGAGTCCCACATAAGGCAGAAATGGCCCAGCTGTAGTATGCCCTGGAGCTCGGTCATTGGCTGGGATGAATCCAGGGAAAGCGTGCCTTGGCAAGAATGCTGTGGCAAATCCCAGAGGTACGGCAGTTACCTCTACACCTCACAGCAGATTCTCTTTGTGAAGGTGGATGTAAGACATTGTGCACACAGTCCACCCCTTGGTCACATAGCCCATCCCTTGCACTGCCAAGATCCACCTGCCCCACATCATTGGAGAGAAGTTCCTCTACAGCTCTCACAGGCCTCTCTTCCTGAGGAGAAACCTGAATGAGTGAGGTTAGGGGGATGAACCATAGCCCCTATTGTTGCAGATGGTTGAGTTGTCTTTTTTTAAAAAAAAAAAAAATCAATTTATAAGACTGGGTGCAGTGGCTCACACCTGTAATCCTACCACTTTGAGAGGCTGAGGAGGGAGGATTGCTTGAGCCCAAGACCACCCGGGGCAACATAGTAAGACCTCATCTCTACAGATAATTTAAAAAATTAGCTGGGTAGGTGAGCCACTGTGCCTGACCATACATTTTATTTAACATATGAAATGCCCAGAATAGGCAAATCTATAGAGACAAGTAGATTAGTGATTGCCTATGGTTGGGCAGGGAGAGTTGTGGGGTGCTGTGTTCTGAATGTGTCCCCAAGATTCATATGTTGATACTGAATCACCAATGTAATAGTATTAAGAGGTGGGGCCTTTAGGAGATGACTAATAAGGGCCGAGCCCTCATGGATGGCATTAAGGCCCTTATAAAAGGGCTTGAGTTGGTGGGTTCCATCTCTTCTGCCATGTGAGAAGGTCCTCACCTGATGCCAAACACCAGTGCTTTGATCTTGGACTTCCAAGCCTCTAGAACTGTGAGAAATGTCTACTATTTATAAATTATTCAGTCTCATGTATTTTGTTGTAGCAGCACAAACAGACTAAGACAGAGGTGGCAGGGGTGAGGGGGGACAGAGTATGACCATTAATGGGTACCAGGTCCCTTTTTGGGGTGATAAAAATGTTCTAAGATTGATCATGGTAAAAGTTGTACAACTCTGTGAATATACTAAAAACATCGAATTGTATGTTTTAAATGGGAGACTTGTATGGTATGTGGATTATATCTCAATAAAGCTGATATATATGTGTGTGTATATATATATGTGTATATATATGTGTATATATATGTGTGTATATATATGTGTGTGTATATATATATATATATATACACACACACACACACACACATATCTATATCTAGGACCAGGACTTACTTGGCTTGGCTTGAAAATAAAACTGTTTTCACTGTCAGCCTCTCCAGATGGTAAATGATTCTAAAGTTAAGAAATGGCTCTGGGCAGAAGTAAAATCCAAGACACTGTCAGGAAAATATTATCTAAAAAAGAAGTTAAAGGTTAAGACCTTTATAGAATGCTTTATAGGATGCTTTATAGAATCCATCTGATAGAAAAAAAAGTCTCTCCAAAGATCTTAAGGACATTTTGGAGCAGTCTCTCAAGGGAAGGAAGTGCTTATCTCAAAGAGATTTATGAGAGTAGCTTTTGTTGGAGTGGATAATAAATTCATGCATAAGGAACCCACAAAGCTTCTAAGAGAATTGCTCTGGCAGAAGCATCTATCAGCTAGGACTAATGGGGACATAGACAGTACAAAATGGAAAGATGCCTTTTATAGGGAGGAATCAGGCTGAGAAGGCTACTCAGATACAAACTCAATTTTCTTATAGAAAAGGAAGGATGATTCAGAGTGTAACCAAGAGCCCAGATATTGGAGCTGAAACCACAATGAACAACTCTCCGGCAATTGGACTAAGCTCTAATCAACCTACATCAGTTGGATTTCAGAGTTGTCTCTGCTGTATGCCTCCCATTTTCCCTTGTTTTGAAGGGGAGCAACTCTAGAGCAACTCTAGCCATGGGAGCAACTGTAGAGCAACTCTAGCCTTTCCCACCATTGTATGTAGGATGTGTATAGGAGGCAAATAAGTTGCCTCGTTAATTCATATATTTGATATGTAGGAAACAAATGGCAGAGATAGATCAATTAGATAAATTGAGAGGCTCTTAAGATAGTCCAGGCAAGAGATGATGGTAGCTTGGAGTAGGTAGCAGTGAAGAAAATGAGTAAGTAGAGAGATTCAGAATATATTTTGAAGTTAGAGCCAATGGTCTTTGCTCATATATTGGAAACGGGACATAAGAGGAATAGAAGAGTCGAATCAAATTCAACTCTTCAATATTTAGCTTGAAGAGCTGGGTTAATAAGTTTCCCTTCAACTGCTTTTGTTTGTCCACTCTCAGAGGAAAATTTTTAAGCGTAACCTACACTGCTCTCCCCCTTTTCTCACCTCCCACTTCCCATTACACTTTATCTAGTCTCTGCCTACTACCAGTCTGCAAAAAATGCTTCTGAAAATATCGCCAAAGGCCACCATGTCTTAAAATCCAATGGATACTTTTTAATCCTTTTTATGTGATCACTCTATTTTATTTAGTACAGGTATCCACTGCCTTTTTGAAATGTTTCTTCCCTTGGCTTTTTTGGACCATGTAGTTTTCTGACTTTCTGCTAACTCTCTAATTGCTCCTTTTCAATCTTCTTTTCTGGCTTCTAACTCTTTGTATAGCTCTGTGCAGAGCTCTGGCTGACCCTTTTCTTGCCTCACTCTGTACTCTTTCAATCTTAGAACTCCACGGCCAAGTGCAGTGCCTCATGCCTGTAATCCCAGCACTTTGGGAGGCCAAGGTGGGCAGATCACTTGAGACCAGAAGTTCAAGACCAGCCTGGCCAACATGGTGAAACCCTGTCTCTACTAAAAATACAAAAATTAGGGCTAGGTGCGGTGGCTCATGCCTATAACCCCAGCACTTTGGGAGGCCGAGGTGGGCGGATCACCTGAGGTCAGGAGTTTGAGACCAGCCTGGCCAACATGGTGAAACCCCATCTTACTAAAAATACAAAAATTAGCTGGGCATGGTGGGCACCTGTAATCCTAGCTACTCAGGAGGCTGAGGCAGGAGAATCGCTTGAACCTGGGAGGTGGAGGTTGCAGTGAGCTGAGATCGCACCATTGCACTCCAGCCTGAACAACAGTGCAAGACTACATCACACACACACAAAAAAAAAGCTGGGCGTGGTGGCATGCACCTGTAATCCCAGCTACTGGGGGTGAGAGTGGGGCAGCTAAGGCATGAGAATTGCTTGAACCCTGGAAGCAGAGGTTGCAGTGATCCAAGATTGTGCCACTGAACTCCAGTCTGGGTGACAGAGCAAGCCTCTGTCTCAAAAAAAAAAAAAAAAAAATCTTGGAACTCTTAAGTCCACACCTTCTGGCCAGACTTGCCTTCTGAACTTCAGTCCTGCGTATTCAGGAAATCTCATAGACACCTTAAATTGAACATGTCTCATACAGAACTTATCACCTTTTACCATCAACTTCCTCATCCTCTAGTGCTCCCAGTGTCTGTAAGGAAATACTATCCACCCAGCTGCTCAAACCAGAGAACTAAAAGTCCACTTGACTACTCCCTCTCTCTCACATACACACACACACACCCATAAAAGATCAGTCACTAGCTTCCGTCATTTCCACCTCCTAGATCACTCACTCTCAAATCTGTCCACTCCTTTTTTCTTTTTTCTTTCTTTTTTTTTTTGAGACGGAGTTTCTTTCTTGTTGCCCAGGCTGGAGTGCAATGGACAATCTTGGCTCACCACAACCTCTGCCTCCCAAGTTCAAGCGATTCTCCTGCCTCAGCCTCCCGAGTAGCTGGGATGACAGGCATGCACCACCATGCCCAGCTAATTTTTGTATTTTTAGTAGAGACAGGGTTTCTCCTTGCGGATAAAGCTGGTCTCGATCTCCCGACCTCAGGTGATCCGCCCACCTTGGCCTCCCAAAGTGCTGGGATTACAGGCGTGAGCCACCGCGCCCGGCTAAATCTGTCCACTTCTTTTCATCCCTACTGCTGCCACTGCAGTCCAAGCCATCATCATCTCTTGCCTGGACTTCTTCAACAGCTAACTTCTCTGGCCTCCTTGCATTCACTTTGGCCCTTCTTCATGCTATGGCTAGAATGTTCTTGTTCAAACACAAATAGGACCGTGCATGTTCTCAGTTTAAAGTCCTTCAGTGACTTCCCTTGGAATAGATTTCAAAATCTTTAATATAACACACAGGTTGTGCATGATCTGGACCCTGCTATTTATTTTGCCTCAGTCTCATCTCATTTCCTTTTATTCTCTGTGCTCAACCACACTAATCTTTTCTCAATTCCTTGAACCTACCATGCTGTCTCTCACCTTTGGGACTTCATACTTTTCCTCTCTGCTCTATTCTGTTGTCTGGCTAATTCATACTCATCCATCAGATCTCATATTAAATAGCATTTCCTCAGGGCATCCTGCCCTAATCCTTCCAGATTAAATCAGCTCGCCCTGTTATGTGTTTCCTTATACTTCTGAACTTCTGTTTGGCAGCACTTTGCTTATGATTCTTGTAATTATTTAGTACAGTATCTGTTTGGTGTCTGTCTTTGTCACTAGATTGTTAGCTCCAAGATGACAGACTGTGCCTGTTTTATTCACCATTGTATCCACAGTTTTCAGCAGTGCCTGGCATGCAGTTAGATGCTTACTAAATATTTGCGGTCTTAGGGCACAGCGAGGGAAGACTTAAGTAGCACTGGACTTTGGCCACAGGCCAGAACTGTCTGTGACTACACCCACCCCCATGCTCCCCTAAGAAAACTTGTAAGAGTCAGGGGAAATGGAATTACTTTATGATTTCATGTACTGCCTATGGCAACATGATAACATATTCATTATAATTTTACTTATTAGAGTGAACAATTAGAAAAAAAATCCCTAGGGCTGGGCATGGTGGCTCACACCTGTAATCCCAGCACTTTGGGAGGCTGAGGCGAATGGCTCGCTTGAGGCCAAGAGTTCGAGAGCAGCCTGGCCAACATGGTGAAACCCCATCTCTATAAAACATACAAAAATTCGCCAGGCATGGTGGCATGTGCCTGTAATCCCAGCTGCTTGGGAAGCTGAGGCAGGAGAATCGTTTAAACCTGGGAGATGGAGGTTGTAGTGAGCCAAGATAGCACCACTGCACTCCAGCCTGGGTGAAAGAGCAAGACTCTGTCTCAATAATAATAATAATGTAGTGAATCCTTAATTTTCAAGTAAATACATTGCATGGGGCCCTGATACGTAAAATGCATTAAAATGAAGCCAGTCTAGTTAAATGGGGGATGGGACAGAACTTAATCTCTTGGGCCTCCCCAGCTTTTCCTTTCCCTTTCCTTTCCCCATTTTTCTTTCTTTCTTCCCCCACACCTTGAAGGCTTTCCAATCCCTATCTCTGTTCTCTCTTTTAAAGCCAGGGCATCATTTCTATCCCAAGTTTCCATGAGGTACTGCAAATACTTTGTTGTGTTGTTGCTGTTAAACTGGCTCAAGTTGGTTTTCTGTTACTTGTAATTTTATTTTGTTTTGTTTTGTTTTTGAGACAGGGTCTCACTCTGTCACCCAGGCTGGAGTGCAGTGGCATGATCTTGGCTTACTGCACTTCAACCTCCACCTCCCGGGTTCAAACAATTCCCCTCCCACCTCAGCCTCCCGAGTAGCTGGGACTACAGGTGCAAGCCACCATGCCTGGCTAATTTTTTGTATCTTTTGGTAGAGACAGGGTTTCACCTTGATGGCCAGGCTGGTCTCGAACTCCTGACCTCAAGTGATCCGCCAGCCTCAGCCTCCCAATGTGCTGGGATTACAGGCATGAGCCACCATGCCCAGCTTGTTACTTATAATTTAAAAAAAAAACCTTAAACAATACTGTTGCAGCTTATGATTCAGTTATGTAATAGAAAGAACACTGGCTCTGGACTCAGAAAACTCTGGTTTCAAATCTAGGTCCTGACTTTGAACAAGTTAATCATTTTCAACTTCAGTTTTCTAATCTGCAAAGGGGATAATCCTAGCTTTCACCATTAAAAGACAAAACACTAATATGTTAAAAGACCCATTATTGAGCAAGCTCTCAAGAAATGTTAAATAAGTAAGATTAAAGTCTTATTCAGAACCTCCCCTATCCGTCCAACTTGAAGGAATGAATAACTGAATTCAGTGCAGCCAAAATTAGCAAGGCTGCCATCTTGTGGTGACTCACTGGCACATTGTCCAATGTTATTGAGCGGAGTTGAAGCAAGATGTTCTAGAAACTAAAGCTACATAAAAGGATAGCAGACATACCAGAGAGGCATTGGAATAAAGATAATAACTAAGACTGGACTTTTAGGAACTGGCATATGCAGCAGAGAAGTCAGGGAAAGCGACAGAAAGAAGTGGCTGATGAAGGAGAAGCAAATAAATATATAATTGTGCAGTGTATCACTCCAGCCAGAGTTGACTTCCATACTGGAGTTGATAATTAACATGATCTTACTTCTTTTTTTTTTGAGATGGGGGTCTCACTATGTCACCCAGGCTGGGGTGCTGTAGTGTGATCTCGGCTCACTGCAACCTCTGCCTCCTGGGTTCAAGAGATTCTCCTGCCTCAGCCTCCCAAGTAGCTGGGATTACAGGCATGTGCTACCATGCCCAGCTAATTTTTGTATTTTTAGTAGAGATGGGGTTTTGCCATGTTGGCCTGGCTGGTCTCAAACTCCAGACCTCAGGTTATCCACCCACCTCGGGCTCCCAAAGTGCTAGGTTTACAGGAGTGAGCCACCTGTCCCAGCCAGATCTTACTTCTTTTTTCAAGACTTCAGAAGCCATTAACAAATCCAGCCGATACCATTATCCTTTTAATACCATTGCCCCCACGCCACAGCTCAACAGTGCTCCTTCTGGAGGCTCTAGGGGAAAATGTGGCCTTGGTCACATCACTGTGACCTCTGCTTTCATTGTAATATTGCTTCTTCTGAGCTTCGTCTGACTTCTGAGCTTTGTCTGACTTCTGAGCTTCTTGACTCTGACTTTCCTGTTTCCCTCTTTCCCTTACAAGGATCCATGTGATTACATTGGGCCTACCTGGATGGGCCTACCTGGATAATCTAGGATAATCTCCTCATCTCAAGATTCTTAATTTAACCACATTGCAAAGTCCCCTTTCCCATTTATGGTAAGATAGTCACAGGTCCCAAAGATTAGGATGTGCACACCTTTGGAGCACAATAGTTCTGCATACCACAGTGCATTTTTCTCAACTCTACATTCAGTGACATAACCTTGGTAGCTTGCAATTGATTGTAGTGAGAGTATTTACACCACAAAAGTTGCCAATTGCTACAAATCAGGGCTATCTCCCATGGACAGCCTGATGTTAAACTTAACCTGCACCGGTTATGATGGTTAGCTCAGGTAAATGGGTCTATTTTCAAGGTAAAAGAGAAATGTCACTATACAATAGCTTGTAGGATTATGCATATAACCCAAAGAATACTAGGGGTACCTCCTACTTCTTCTAAATCCGGTGCTAAAAATTAATGGAAAATTGTGAAAACATTATACAGGATGGACCACCAAGGTCTCCAATCCCACAAGAAAGAGGGTTTGGTCACCTATAGGAAACTCAGTTATAGCCCCAAACAGAAGCTATATGATTAAGTTCTAGTCAATGAAATGTAAGTGAAATTAATATTTCCCACTTCTAGATCAGGATGTTTAGGACAGTGGCATGCCTTCTTCATGCCTCTTTCTCTTTCCATCTCTATGACACTAGTGAACTGAGGTGCTGGCTGAAGACAAAGAAGATATAGAATGGGTAGTGGATATATGAAGTCAAAGATAACTAAGGCTTTGTGATCAGTTACAGAAAGTTTTTCGCCAAGCCAGTTAAGTATCTACATGTTGTATTGAATTTTCTTCTCCTTTCATTTCCCTTTCTCCCATGAATATATATAGGGTGTGGCACGTTATAGTGGTTAACTTTAAAGTTCAGTCCACATGGTGGCACACGCCTGTAATTCCAGCTACTCGGGAGGCTGAGGCAGGAGAATCGCTTGAAGCTGGGAGGCAGAGGTTACAGTGAGGTGAAATCAAGCCTTAGCACTCCAGCCTGTGTGACAGAGTGAGACTCCATCTCAATAAATAAATAAATAAATAAATAAATAAAGTTCAGTCCATACAGACTATTGAGGCAGGATTATTATGAACTGGAGAAAGAATGAACATGATTCAGAGATCCTGGACTTGTTGCTGGATGAAGTTACTGATGAGGATTTGAGATAATTTCTTTTTGGGGGGTAGAAGGTGAGTATAGTGAGTACAATTTAGGTTATAAAAGGGAGGGTTGTTTCAGTTTGGAGTTTTGTTTTGTTTTTTGAAGTGTAAGTAGAGAAAGAAGGGTGTATTTCGATGTCAGGCAGTCACAAGTGTTTATTATAGTGGACACCTATCATTCTTATTGTACACTCAGAATCTGTAACCCCTTTGTATGTTTGGACAATATCCCAAACATAAGAGACAGAGAGACAAGACAGTGAGCACGCACCTTACACTATCAAAGCTGGCAGTGCTCACTGTCACTTTCCGCGTGTAGCAGACTCAGCCAATTCCATTCTCTTTAATTTGGATTCCCTAACACAAGTAAGTTAGGGAAAGGAGAAAAGCTAACTTGGGTTTGTTAATGAGTGGTTACTGCTATGGATAACTGGGCTTAGGCCCTCTAGGGGCCCTCAAAAACACCGTGAAATGCATCTGTGTTCCTCTCAGGGGCAAACAAGCTGAAGTATTTGCTGTTAGATCTGGCTATGAGACAGGAAGCAGGGTATGCTTTGTGGGTTCCTTAGAAAATGTCAGCTTTCCCATTTCAAACGCTGCACATTCCCCTTCCTCTTTCCT
The DNA here is from genome assembly GCF_000001405.40 of Homo sapiens. Lineage (NCBI taxonomy): Eukaryota > Metazoa > Chordata > Mammalia > Primates > Hominidae > Homo > Homo sapiens. The sequence goes on from NC_000001.11 coordinate 40,035,163, forward strand.
TGTCCCTTAAACCTGATTTGATGGCACTAGGGCTGCAACAGCCAACTTGCAACCACAAGGGTAAGGTGAAGTGAATTGCAGAAATATCAGCTCTGACATTACTGAGCCAGTAAAACTGCCTACCTTCATTTTTCTTGTATGTGAGAAAAACTGACTTTAAAAAGGTGACTACAGTCAAGTTTTCTGTTATCTGTGGGCAAAAGCATTCACATTCGTAACTGATTTATTTGGTCTCATTTACAGCCAAGGGCACAGGCCCAATTTTGCTTTTGTGGGTTTTTTTATTTAAAATTTTTTTCCTTGAGATGAGGTCTCACTATGTTGCTTAGGCTGGTCTTGAACTCTTGGGCTCAAGTGTTCCTACCACCCCAGCCTCCCAGAATGCTGGGAATACAGGCATGAGCCACCACACCTGGCCTAACTTTGAGTCCAAAGGTCGCAATACAGGCCAGGTGCAGTGGCTCATGCCTGTAATCCCAGCACTTTGGGAGGCCAAGGCAGGAGGATTGCTTGAGGCCGGGAGTTCCTGACCAGCCTGGGCAACATAGCAAGATTCCAGCTCTACAAAAAATACAAAAAGTAGCTAGTCATGGTGGCATGTGCCTGTAGTCCCAGGTACTCCTCCGGAGGCTGAGGTGGGAGGATCACTTGAATCCAGGAGTTAAAGGCTGCAGTGAGTTATGATTATACCACTGCACTCCAGCCTGGCTAAGAGCAAGATTCTGTCTTAAAAAAAAAAAAAAAAAAGAAGGCCGGGTACGGTGGCTCACACCTGTAATCCCAGCACTTTGGGAGGCTCAGGCGGGCAGATCACATGGTCAGGAGTTTGAGACCAGCCTGACCAATGTTGTGAAACCCCCCTTCACTAAAAATACAAAAATTAGCCTGGCATGGTGGTGTGTGCCTATAATCCCAGCTACTCTGGAGGCTGGGGCAGGAGAATCGCTTGAACCTGGGAGGTGGAGGTTGCAGTGAGCTGAGATCATGCCACTGCACTCCAGTCTGGGTGATAGAGCAGGACTCTGTCTCAAAAAAAAAAAAAGAAAAAAAAAGTTAGCAATACAAAGAAGCAGGAACTGTGGGAAAACTTTCTGGGGATGGGGACAGTAGTAGTAGTTCTGGTGGCACCATCCAGTATGTTGACACTTTAGACCTTATTTTGCTTTCTGATGGCCTTTGCCAGGGAAACAGACAAGAGATTCTCTATACTTAATAATAATTGTTACTACTCATTGAGTGTTTACTGTGAGCCAAGTGTTTTATTAGTTTTCTGTCCTAATTCCTATCAACCATTTAAGACGGCTATTAATATATCCTCTGAGGTTAAATGAGGATAACTCCAAGATCACACAGTTGGCAGAGTTGGGATTCAGTTTCAGAGTGACCCCAAAGCCAGATCTTAATCATATTTCTATATTGCGGCTATTTCTTTTGCCAACTCCTAATTTTTGGGCCTGATCCCCTATCTGAGGCTGAAATCTGGGGCCATACCCTTGGAGGGGAAGAAAGATAGGGTCACATAGACTGTTGTCTGTCATTAGCCCGTTTGGCAGGGGGATATAGGCTCTGCCCAAACGTAGACAGGCTCTGAGCCAGGTTGCACAGATGCAGGCAGTCCTCTGAGTCAGGCTGGGAAAGGCTCCAGATGAACCGCCAGACTTCTGTGTCTGAAACCCTGAGAGATAAAGAGGAAACTTGGGTGGCTCCCTCAGAGACAAAGTGATTCTGCAGGTTCAGAATGTGCTGAAATCCAGGCCATAAGAAAGTGGCAATAATACATGAAGAGGGGGAATGTGTGAGAATCAATCAACTCTCTGCTGGCAATTCTTGCTTGTAAATTGATTAATTGAATTCTTTCTTCTCCTTCTCTTCCCAGGCTGGATTTTGAGGACTGAGGCTCAAAACCCCCAAACCCAGATCCAATCCTTTTTACACCTTCCATTTCCCCACATGCCAAGTCTCAGAGCCAACTTGGCCCCTCTCACCCTTTTCATTTAGTCAATTTTTACTATAAATACTTATTATCAATTTTGTGCCAGACAAACAAGGACTTATTGGGAGGAAGCAACTTACAGGAGAGGAAGCTATTAAAAGATAAGTGCACAAATAATGAATGAGGATTGTAATACCTGCCAGGAAGGAAAAGCAGTATTGAATGAGAATGTGTCTTAATTCATTCCTGCTGCTATAACAAAATACCTAGACTGGGTAATTTATAAATAATACAAATTTCTTTCTTTTTCTTTCTTTTTTTTCTGAGACGGAGTCTTGCTGTGTCACCCAGGCTGGAGTGCAGTGGCGTGATCTCAGCTCACTGCAACCTCCACCTCCTGGGTTCAAGTGATTCTCCTGCCTCAGCAGATTCGAGTAGCTGGGTTTACGGCCACGTAGCTGGGACTACAGGTGCCCACCACCATGCCTGGCTAATTTTTGTATTTTTAGTCGAGATGAGGTTTCGCCATGTTGGCCAGGCTGGTCTCGAACTCCTGACCTCAGGTGATCCGCCCACCTCGGCCTCCCAAAATGCTGGGATTACAGGTGTGAACCACCGCGCCTGGCCGATTCAGATTCTTATTAGATCTTTGTGCTTATCTTCTAGCAGTTCTCCCTGCCTCTTTTGTTGCCCACTGAAGGCCATGCCCTACACTGTAGCTAGATTTTTATTTCTAAAATACAGTATGACTAGTGCCTCCTCGCTTTCACATTAAGGTTTGACCTCTCTTGCCTAGCATAGTTTGCTCAACCTCCTTTTCTTCAGCCTTATCTCCTACTTTTCTCCTGCAGGAACCTCTCACCTCAGTCCAGCACAGATTCCCATCTCCACTACTGTTCATTCATGTTTGCTCTGCAAGGATCTATCTGTCCATCTCTGCCTAGGAAATGACTATTCTGAATTCAAGGCACTCACTGAACATGTGCTAGATGAGAACTCACCATGGATGAAGCACTGGGTACTGGACAAGGGGCAAGATCAGCGAGGAGGAAAAAGCTGGAAGACAGAAGGCAGCGTATCTTCTGATGACCACTCCAAATGGAAATATCATTTCCAAAATAGACTGTAAGCTCCATGAGAGCAGTAACAGGGTCTGACTTGTCCACTGCTGGATCCCTAGTTGTGCTTGGTACAAAGTAGCATAGCAATTATTGAACTCTTCCAATAATTGCTACTATGTAGCTCAATAGTTTTTTTTCAGTGCATAAATACATGTGACAGATATTCTTTTATTTATTTTTTTGAGACAGAGTCTCACTCTGTCGCCAGGCTAGAGTAGAGAAGCACGATCTCAGCTTACTGCAACCTCTGCCTCCCGGGTTCAAGCGATTCTCCTGCCTCAGCCTCCCAAATAGCTGGGACTACAGGCGCATGCCACCACGCCCAGCTAATTTTTGTATTTTTTAGTAGAGACGGGGTTTCACCATATTGGCCAGGCTGGTCTTGATCTCTTGACCTCGTTATCTGCCCGCCTCGGCCTCCCAAAATGCTGGGATTACAGGTGTGAGCCACCGCGCCCAGCCCTTCATGTGACGGATATTCTTAAACTATCTTCCCATCTCCTACTGGAGTTACAAATGCATGGATCTAGACTTCTTAAAAGACTGGACATTCCTTAGGGCAGGGGTTGTAACTTAAGTCGTGTGTGCATTCTTTATAATGAAGCATTTTACAAAGTGGTTTCACATACATTACTGCTTCCGTTTCTCATTACAGCCCCATTAATATTCCCCACCTGATGAGGAAACTTTCTTCATTCTCCTTCCTGCTTCCTCTTCTCTCTCCTCTTCCTCTAGAATGCGTGTATGGTCTATGTTCCTTCTGTCTCTAATCCAGAAAGAGATTTAGAATAACTAAATGCAGAGTCAAAGATTATGTCCAAATAAAGTTAGAGTTTGTGTGTGTGTGAGACAGTGTTTTTAGTTAAATGTCAATATTTAAAATATACTATGACTTTTATACCATATTTTTTCATGTTGTCATGTTCTTTTAAACATGCTGGGAGCCATAAAGTTAGGAAGAGGCCCAGTAACCCGTCCAAAGTAACCTGACCAAAGTCTGACCCCTAGTAGAGGGCCTATGCCAGCACTGGAACCCAGTGTCTCCAGATCCAGAGGCATTCACCACCTCAAATCTGCCTCAAATGTCTGCAGTATGGTCTATCACAGGGGCTAATTAAGCTCATGGGATTTAGAGTCAGACAGATGTGTTTCCTTCAAAGTTTCAACAGTTACTTTCTGACCTTGGCAAGTTATTCAGCTTCCTCATTTGAAAACTAGAGGGCATAATGGTACCTACCACCGAGAGTTGCTATTAGGAGTAAATGAAAATACGCTTGAAGAACTCAGCATGGGCCTGGCAAGTAGTCAGCGTGCAGTAAATGGTAGCTGTTATTTTAAGAACTTTATTTGTTGAATGATTGACTCTGGCACATAACGCCTGCATTCAACTTGAAACACGGAGCTGTCACAGTCGTTCAGCTGAAGGGGCGGGAACTGTGGCACTTGCCAATTTTTTCTAGAAATAAATCTTTGTGGGAGGATAATGACCGGTTGGAGAGTGTGAGTCTTGAGGGAACAAAGATCGGATCTCCCGGCCCAAGGAGTACGGAAGCGAAGCCTCCCCTGCGCGCGGCAGCCACCGTGCGTAACCTCCCCTGAACCGAGTAGCAGCCGCCTGAGCCCACCCAGCCCTGGGCGAGGCTGCCTCAGAAGCCGGATTTCAGCAGAGTGGGTGCAGGATCTGCTTTAATTCTGCTCATCTTATTCTCGGGGACCACACCCTGCGCGCCGGGAGGAAGGGCTCCAAAACCACAGGGCGGAGGCTTCCGCGCGGCCCCAGACTTGACCATCTATGGTCACAGAACACACCGACCAAACAGGAAGTGGGGTGAGAGCGGAGGGTTCCCTACCTTCCCAGCCCCGCGACTGCCAGCCGGGCTGGGGCTGACCCACCGCGCCCTCACTGACCCCCACGCCCTGCGCCCAGTCTCCGCAAGTCCTCCCACAACAATGTCCAGACTAATTGCCTTCCCACGTCACAAACGGGGAAACCGAGGTATGCACGCCCAGAGACAGGCGGAGCGTGGCCTCGATCACCACCGAGAGCTGACGGCCGCCCGGATTCCCGCCCTCAGAGAATCCTGGCCCCCAGTCGTTCCAAGACCCTTTACGGACTGCAGCTTAAAGGAACCGGCCTCTGCCATTGAGACCAAACTGACAGAGGAACTGGTCACTCTTCTGTTCTTTCCAGAGAGGAGCTTAGCCAGGGACTTCTGCCCTTCCTGGGCCCGGGCCTCGGGGGCGATTCCGGGTAGGTAAAGCGGAACGAGGGCGTGGCCTCTCTTGTGAGCCCGCCCTCCCCGTGTCGCTCCCGCCTTGAGGGCGGGGCTCTTTCCCAAGTGCCCTCTGTGAGAGCCGGGCCGCTCTCTCCGGGGCGTGGCGAAGAGGGGCGGAGTCACGAGCGGGGCGGTGAGACTTCCTGCCCAGTCGCGGGCCAGCCTAGCGCTTCAGCCGGCGGCTCATTTCCGGTGGGGGCGCCGCGCCCAGTGAGGGCCCGGAAGTGGGTCGCGCGGAGATTGCTGGGCGGTTCTTGCCGGAAGCGGAGAGCGGCTGATCGCAGTCCGGAGGTGAGGCGGAACTCTGAGGTGAGGGTGTGCAGCTTGGTAGGGATTGGGGTCCCTTCCGGGGCCCATCGGCCCCTGGTGGTGTTAATGGCCCTTCTGGCCTACGCGCGTGTCATGAACCCTGCCGAGAGGGCCGGGGCTGAGGCCCTCAGGCCGACCCGGACTCTTGGGCGCGGTCTCTTGAGGTGGGGCCGGGGTGAGCAGCTGAGTCCGGGTGCCCCGGGGAGGCCCCTCTGCCCGATTTCGCAGCGCTGCCCATCAGCTTCAGCGGAGGCCTGATTCCTGAGGTGCTCTGACTGGAAGGAACCTCCGAGATCGGAGAGTCTTCCCTGTCTCCTGTTGATGCTCCCATTGCACTGATAGGTAAATTGATCCCTAGAGAAGAGGCTAGTCTGAGATATATAGCGAGTGAGGAAAAGAATCGGAATCATGATCCTGGTGCCTTAGATAACCAGCCCCAGTTCTTCCCGTGTTGCTCGGAACCTCTCTAACTTGGGATGGTCTTCCGGTCGGTGTTGCCCCGCAGGCTGCTGCAGGTTAAAGGCCAGCGCTGCGTGGAACTTTTTTTTTTCTCTCCTCCCAAATTGAGCCGTTTGAAATGCCTAGGGAGTTTTTAAAAGAAAGGCGGGCACATCCTTGTATTTACAGGCAGATATCCTCCCTTTCCTCCTCGGCTGCTGCTCTTACTTTGACAAGCCAGGCTAACATTGAAGGTATGTACTTCTGGACCTGAAATCAGACGGCTCAGGTTTGGTCTGGCCTCAGTGCTGAGTGTCTGTGGCCATAGGTGCCTTAAACTTCTTTCAGCCTCCTTTTGTTCATCTTTTAAGTGGAGATCTCTGCTGACCCCACAAGATTAAATTCAGCGTAACAAATTGTGTTTATTCTGTGCCAGCATTTTCCCAGATGCGGGGAATGCAGCTTTAAAACAAAACAATGTAGACCCTGCCCGCGTGGAGCTAGCAGTGTTTGCAGGGATGTTTAAGAAGTAATTATAAATGTTGATGAGTGTTAGGAAAGAACAGGGTGCTCTGAAAGTATGTAACAGGGGGTTCAGGAAAAGCCCTTCTGAAGAAGCAGAGTTTTTAAGATGAATTTTGAAGGATAAATAGGAATGCGTTCGAAGAGTGGAATGAGAACATTTGAGACAGGTTAGCATCAGAACTGTGTCAGTTGAAGCTCTTTGTGGGGCTCTCTCTTCAAGAGAAAATCCGGGGGCATATCAGCACATTTATCATTTACCAGACTTTTATTTAATTTATTTATTTGTATTTTTAGTAGAGATGGGGTTTCGCCGTGAAGGCCAGGCTGCTCTCGAACTCCTAACCTCAGGTGATCCCCCCACCTCGGCCTCCCAAAGTGCTGGGATTACGGGCATGATCCACCGTGCCCGGCCCCACCAGACGTTTATTAAGACCTTAATATGTATGAGGCACATTTTAATGAGATAGCCTTTGTGGCAAAGAATACAGTTCTTCTGGAGTTTACAGTGGGAGAGGAAATAGACAAGTAAATGAGGGATGGCTTACAGTGTCATAGTGCATAGCACAGGGCTACAAGAGCACAGTGGAGAAATACCTGAGCCAGGTGCCCAGGGTTCCAGGAGGAAATGGGAGGCTAACTCTTGAAATATTTATTTAGCTACATAGGGAATCCGGAAAAGGGATTTCCAGGCAGAGACTACTACAGGTGCAAGGACCTGGAGAACCGGACAGCTGAAAGACCATGACGAGTTCAGTGTGACTGGAATTCTAGTAATGGCTGGGGAAGTGGAGGAAGTGAGATGTGGTCAGGTCAGTCATATGTGGAGGACATTGTAAGTCATGCTAAGGAATTTGGATTTTTACCCTGAAAGCTATGGAGATGCTTTGAAGGGTTTTATGCAGGAAAATGATGTCGTCAGATTTATATTTCAGAAAGTTCATTCTGTCAAGTAGGAGGGGACCAGCCCTGTGGGGAAGTAAAACAGTGTTTGGAAGCTCTTGCTGTAGACATGGCCTGAACTAAGACAGTGGAAATGGGAATGGAGAGGAGGCATCAGATGTGAGCAATATTAAGAAGATAGAATCCATAGAATTGGAGGCTGATTATGGGAATGAAGAGGTAAGAATAGCGCGATTGCCTGGCTTTCTGGCTTAGGGAACTGAATGGGTAGTACCATTCAGATAGAGAGTATGAGAGGTAAATTAGGGAAGTGACATGGGAAAAAATGCATTTTGAATGTTTTTAGTTTGAGGTGTTTGTAGCACATCCAGGCAAAGATGTCTAATAAGGTGGGTCAGCTAAAGGAAAGAGCAAGAGTAAAGATACGGAGGCAGGAGAGGGCCTAAATTGTTCAGTGATACTGGGGCCTGGAGTTTTGCAGAAGACCAGACTGCAAAAAAGGTTAGATGTCGGCCAAGTTGTGAAGGGCTTTTTGTTTGTTTGTTTGTTTTGAGACGGAGTCTTGCTCTGTTGCCCAGGCTGGTGTGCAGTGGCACAATCTCGGGTCACTGAAACCTCCACCTCCCAGGTTCAAGGAATTCTCCTGCCTCAGCCTCCTGAGAAACTGGGATTACAGGCGTGCGCCACCACGCCCGGCTAATTTTTGTATTTTTAGTAGAGACGGGATTTTACCATGCTGGCCAGGCTGGTTTCGAACTCCTGACCTCGTGATCCGCCTGCCTCGCCCTCCCAAAGTGTTGTGATTACAGGTGTGAGCCTCCGCACCCGGCGTGAAGGGCTTTTAATGCCTTGTTGAATTTGTTTGGATTTGATTTTGTGGGTGGCAGTTTGCTAATTGATTTGCCCAGGTCCAGCATAAAGAAATTTCTGGGCTGGGCACAGTGACTCACGCCTGTAATCCTGACACTTTGGGAGGCTGAGGTGGGCAAATCACTTGAGATCAGGAGTTCAAGACCATCCTAGCCAACATGGTGAAACACCATCACTACTAAAAATACAAAAATTAGCTGGGCGTGGTTGTGCATGCCTGTAGTCCCAGCTACTTGGGAGGCTGAGGCAGGAGACTCGCTTGAACCCGGGAGGCGGAGGTTGCAGTGAGCTGAGATTGCACTGCTGCACTCCAGCCTGGGTGATAGTGAGACTCTGTCTCAAAAAAAAAAGAAAAGAAAAAAGAAATTTCTCGCTTTTTCCAGAAATACTTCCTCAATTGGGTAGGCATAATTGATATCTCAGAGAAGTTTAAATAAAATGGTAGCAGCAAAAGTACTTTGTAGAATACAGCCTGATGTGCAAACCAAAAGTGGTGATATTGTTAAGATTCAGTGAGTATATTTTTGCTTTGGAGTTTAGCTATTGAGTCTGTAAAATGTTTTGTTTCCAACCTAGGGATGATCTTTTATTCTCACCCTTTTTCCTGGTTGCAGTTATTTTTTTAGCTTTTAAAAAGTGACTTTCTTGAGGCTGAGTTAGAGACTAGCCTGGTCAACATAGTGAGACCCCTGTCTCTACCAGAAAAAAAAAAGGTGACTTCCTCCTTTCAGTTTTTTGTGAAGCATTGTGAATCAAATTTTTTTTTACTTAAGCAAATGCAATGTGTCACTGGAAGCCGAACCTCTGGTTTGAAATTTAATGCTGAGATTTGAAATATGAGAGTTCTCGAGCGGTATCTTACCCAATTTTAGTGATTATTACTTTGAAATGTTGACATCAGTTTCTTTCTTTATTTGTGCTAACCTGGCTTTCATGACCTATACTTCAGTTTCTCTATGACAACCAGACAAATCTTTTTAAAGTTCTCTAAGAAGAAGCATTTTTCATCTTGTTAGTCTTCACTGACTTCATATTTACAAAGAATAAATTCTGAACTCTTTTTTCCATCTTACAGAATTCTCTACAGTTTAGACCCTTATCTTAATTTTTATTAGATGATACAGGTTGACTTTCTAATTTAGAAAGTCGTGAACTAGCATTTTACTTAACCTTTTGCACCTCCCTATGCTCCTTATTAAATTAGAACAGGGTTTCTCAACGTTGGCACAATTGACATTTTGGGCCATATAATTCTTTTTTTTTTTTTTTTTTTTTTTTTTGAGACAGAGTCTCTATCTGTCACCCAGGCTGGAGTGCAGTGGCACAATCTCGGCTCACTGCAAGCTCAGCCTCCCGGGTTCACGCCATTCACCTGCTTCAGCCTCCCGAGTAGCTGGGACTACAGGCGCCCGCCACCAGGCCCAGCTAATTTTTTGTATTTTTAGTATAGACGGGGTTTCACTGTGGTCTTGATCTCCTGATCTCGTGATCTGCTCGCCTCGGCCTCCCAAGGTGCTGGGATTACAGGTGTGAGCCACCGCGCCTGGCCATATAATTCTTTATTATGGAGTTGTCCTGTGCACTGTGGGATGTTAAGCAGCATCTGTCTCTACCCAGTAGATGCCAATAAGACTTCCTCAGTTGTGACAACCAAAAATGTCTTCAGACATTGCCATATGTCTCCTGGAGGACAAAATTGCCCCTGGTTGAGAATTGCTGCGTTAGAAAGTATCGTAGCTATGATTGTACAATGTCCCCAACTAAATTCTGTGAGGGCAGGCCCCATAGCCATACTTAGCACAGTCGATGGTACATGATAAGCACTCAGTATCCTACAATGAATGAATCATTTGTTTCTGTTGAAGCTTCAAGAAATTACTGTTCCTTCAAGGAATTTCTGGGTGGGCAGGTTGGAGTACAATGGTGCAATCATGGCTGATTGCAACCTCCAACTTTTGGGCTCAAGTAATCTTCTCGCTTCAGCCTCCTGAGTAGCTGGGACTACAGTTCTTTTTCTTTCTTTTGTTTTTTGTTTTTTTGAGATGGAGTTTTGCTCGGTCGCCCAGGCTGGAGTGCAGTGGCGTGATCTTGGCTCACTGCAACCTCCCCCTCCCGGGTTCAAGCAGTTCTCCTGCCTCAGCCTCCTGAGTAGCTGGGACTAGAGGCACACACCACCACACTCAGCTAATTTTTGTATTTTTAGTAGGGACAGGGTTTTGCCATGTTGGCCAGGCTGGTCTCGAACTCCTCAAGGGAACCACCCACCTCAGCCTCTCAAAGTGCTGGGATTACAGGCATGAGCCACCATGCGCTCGGCCAAATGTTTGATTTTTTTCAGAGACAGGGTCTTGCTATGTTGCCTGGGCTGGTCTTAAACCCCTGGCCTCAGGTGATTCTCTGGCCTCAGTCTCCTGAGTCACTGGGATTACAGGCATGAGCCACCACACCTGGCAGATGTGATCTTAAGAGAAGTGCCATTGGTTTGAGTACTAGAAGCAAGCTTCTTGTTGATGGTGTAAGTCAGCAGATTTCCCTCTCTATTGAAAATTGTGTGAATTCCTGTTTTGTTTGTGTTCCTTGTATTTAGAGTGCTTGGTTTTAGTGGACAGGGACTATCATTTATTTTAAAGTTGCATATAGGCTGGGCGTGGTGATTCACGCCTGTAATCCCAGCATTTTGGGAGGCCAAGGCGGGTGGATCACCTGAGGTCAGGAGTTCGAGACCAGCCTGGCCAACATGGTAAAACCCCGTCCCTACTAAAATTACAAAAATTTGCTGGGTGTGGTGGCATGTACCGTAATCCCAACTACTAGGGAGGCTGAGGCAGGAGAATCACTTGAACCCGGGGAGGTGGAGGTTGCAGTGAGCTAAGATCGTGCCACTGCATGATCTGCGCCAGCTTGGGTGACAGAGCAAGACTCCGTCTCAAAAAAACAAAACAAAACAAAAAAAAACAAACAAACACTAAAGTTGCATATAGTTTATGGAGTTATTCACATTTATTTTAGTTGATAAAATTATACAGTCATGTGTTGCTTAATGACAGGTACATTCTGAGAAATTTGTCATTAGGTGATTTCATCATTGTGGGAACATCATAGAGTGTACTTGCACAAATTTAGATGATACTGCACATGGTGTAACTTATTACTCCTGGGCTACAAACCTGTATAGTATGTTACTGTATCTAATACTGTAGGCAGTTTGTAACACAGTGTAAGTATTTGTTTATTTAAACTTTTTTTTTTTTTTTTTGAGACGGAGTCTCACTCTGTCGCCCAGGCTGGAGTGCAGTGGCACGATCTTGGCTCACTGCAACCCCCGCCTCCTGGGTTCAAGCAATTCTTCTGCCTCAGCCTCCTGAGTAGCTGGTACTACAGGTGCGCACCACCACGCCCAGCTAATTTTTGTATTTTTAGTAGAGATGGGGTTTAACTATATTGGCCAGGCTGGTCTCAAACTCCTGACCTTGTGTTCTGCTAGCCTTGGCCTCCCAAAGTGCTGGGATTACAGGCATGAGCCATCGCGCCCGGCCACATTTTTAAAGTACAGTAAAAATAGGGTATTATAATCTTATGGGATTTTGTGTTGATTAATCCCCATATAATCCCATATAATCTTATGGGACCACTGTTGATTTTGTGGTCCATCCATTGACCAAAATGTCATTATGTAATGCATGACTGTAGTTTCATAATTTTAAATTAATGCAGCTACAGCATTCACCATGAAATTATTTCTTGATGTACTATATGTTAACCTGATAAAAACAAAGTTCTAAAAATATGCCTCAGCTACAGTGCTGCTTTGTTTGCCTTGTATTACCAGACCTTTTGTGCCAAACTTTTCCATTTGGCTGGAAAATAGTTGAAATGTTTAATGGAAGGAGCAGACTTGCTTTGTTTTGTTTTGTTTTTTCCTCCAGAGGGCATTGAAATTCCTATACTTTAGTTAATTATAGACTTACAGTCTTTCCATATTCCTACTTGTAGATGAATCATGGCTAAGGACAAACGTCATCCTTGAATCCATCTTTATATATTAGAGTGGGAAATGCTGTTTTATTAAAGCAACTATTCAGGCTGAAATCAGCCAATGCAGTTTTCCCTTACACGCTATAAAACATGTAGAAGTAGAAAGGGACTGCCGAGTGCTCTGTGCAATTAGTCTTCATAATATTCTTTGAACGTAGGAGAGAAGAGAACCCATGACCACACAAAGTTACCTGTTTGCTCCAGACATTGAAACAGCTAGTTCCCAAGTCTAATTTCACTTTATACACTAACTTTACTCACTCCTGGAGTTTCAGGTAGAGGACATGTGTAAGGAGGGAACAGGAGACAGGTGTTGATGTTGGGTTGGATTCCTTCCCTCCGTAGAAGATAGGCCTTTCTTTTAAAATCTAAACCTCGGGTGGCAGTGACTCAGGCACTAAATGTCATTGGTTTAATCAGTGAAACCAAATGCTTAGAGAAGAACAGTGGCTCCTGATTTGGGTTAGATTTAGATGGCATCTTTTTTTTTTTTTTGAGATGGTGTCTTGCTCTGTCTTGGCTCACCGTAACCTCCGCCTCCCGGGTTCAAGCAGTTCTCCTGCCTCAGCCTCCTGAGTAGCTGGGATTACAGGCATGAGCCATTGCACCCACCCACCATCACGCCTGGCTAATTTTTTTATTTTTGTATTTTTAGTAGAGACGGGGTTTTGCCATGTTGGCCAGGCTGGTCTCGAACTCCTGACCTCAGGTGATCTGCCCTTCTCAGCCTCCCAAAGCGCTGGGATTACAGGCATGAGCCATTGCACCTGGCCTTACAGGCATGAGCCATTGCACCTGGCCTAAATGGCATCTTTACTGGGGCAAAGTGGTGCCTGTTATTTGGTTTCTGTGTTAAACAAGCCAACTTGTATCTTCTGGTAGCATGTGTAGGTTTTACTTTGTGACATGTTAAAACCTCGTGATAAGAATTCATTAGAAGTAGAACTAACTACTACATAGTTTAGTGGTAATTTAGAAGGGATAGTCAAGTAGAGATTTTTATTATTATTATAAAATATTATATGTTAAAAGAAAGTTTGGAAAACAGGTAGAAATTGTCAAAAACCCATCACCCAAATGTGACAAATATTGTAAATTTTGCGTTCAAGTTTTTTTCCACACTTCATTTAGCTATTCCCCTATAATTAGAAGTCCAAGATAGATATAGATAGATCAATAGATCTAACATTGCAGCAAACATCTCCATGCTTATCACTTTTCTCACATTATGATTTACTTTCTTAGGATAAAACCTCAGGAACAGGATTACAAAATTAAGAGAAGCATTTTGAAGCAAATCAATTGGGCTACCATAGTAGACAGGCTGATTTGTATGGGTGCTTTATTTTCAATTTTACCTAAGGATGATGACTTAGAAAAACAACTGTGGGACAAAGTAGAAAACATTTCAAGCATAGCAACTTCCTACTCAAGTAGAAATTCATGCTACTGTCTTAATTGCCTGGTGGGATGCAACAAGAACTGCACGCATAACCTGGTTCCATTTACTTCTGAATGACTTCCTTGAATAGGCAGAAGGAATTGGGTTAAGTTGTTAGAAGTATAAGAGTGTGAAGCAGCTTTGGCAGGAATCACTAGCCATTTCTAATTTTTTTTTTTTTTTTTTTTTTTTTTGAGACAGAGTGTCTCTCTGTCGCCCAGGCTGGAGTGCAGTGGCGCGATCTCGGCTCACTGCAAACCTCCGCCTCCTGGATTCAAGAGATTCTTGTGCCTCAGTTCTGGCAGAAGGTGGTGTTTTTACAAGATGATTTCTAGGATTACAGGCATGCACCACCATGCCTGGTTAATTTTTGTATTTTTAGTAGAGACGAGGTTTCGCCATTTTAGCCAGGCTGGTCTCGAACTCTTGACCTCAGGTTATCTACCCGCCTCAGCCTCCCTAAGTGCTGAGATTACAGGCCTGAGCCACTGCGCCAGGCCTGGTTTTTTGGTTTCAAACCACAATAGACATTGCTGGAGAATCAAGCTCATAGTTTCTTTTTACTCTGCATGATATCCCTCCAAAAGCTTGTCTGTTCTCATGACTTCATGACAGTTCTTTGCCAATGATTTGCAAACATTATCTCCAGTCTTGATTCTTTCCTAGGCTTTATTTCTAAATACTCACTAGTCATTTCCACTTAGAAGCTTTGTCTTCTTTTCAAACTCAGCATATCCAAAACTGACCTCATCTTGTTGCCCTAACTAGAACATGCCACAACCCATTTCTGCCTATAATGTCATTATTCTCTTAAGGCCCCCATATTTGCAAATCAGGAGTCATCTTTGCCTCCCTTCTCTGAATGCTGCTGTGCTCACAGTCAGTACCATACAGTTAGTACTTGTTCTCAGTTTAATGCACACTTGTTTCATATGACCTCCTAGGGCAGAACCAAGATTCGTGGGTGGAAGTTGCAGGGAGGCAGATTTGCCTCCATATAAGGAAGAACTTTTTAATACTTTGAGCTGTCTGAATGGAATGGACTGCCTCCAGAAGTCTCGGGTTCTCCATCACTGAAGGTGTTTGAGCAGAGGCTGCCTGACTAATTGCTAATTGAAAGGACTGTTCTGGCATAAGATGGTGTTTTTACAAGATGATTTCTAGAATCCCTCTAATCCTGAGAGCCAGTGAGTCGATAGAAGGTAGCTTTGTCTCTCCTGCTAGACTCCCTTAGGACAGGGAGACTATTTTACCTTTCTTTTATATTCTGTACAGCACTTAATTCAGGTGCTGGTCTCTTAATTGCCTAAAGATGATTATTTACAGGTTAATTGATTCTTTTCATTTTGTTCCAATATTTGGTTAAACACCAAATATTGTGGATTTTTTTCCTTTGAAATATCTTGGGGAGACCAAGGCAGGTGGATCACCTGAGATCAGGAGTTCGAGACCAGCCAGGCCAACATGGCGAAACCTTGTCTCTACTAAAAATACAAAAATTCGCCGGGCGTGGTGGTGCATGCCTGTAGTTCCAGCTACTCGGGAGGCTGAGGCAGGAGAATCGCTTGAACCTGGAAGGTGGAGGTTGCAGTGAGCTGAGATCATGCCATCACACTCCAGCCTGGGCAACAGAGTGAGACTCCATCTCAAAAAATTACAGTAATAATAAATAAATACAAATATCTTTTGTAGTAGCATTATTTTAGATGAATAACAGCTTTTAACCTAACTTTCTAGACCCTAATATCATCACTTGTCTCCACATCCCATTCTGTTTATCAGACAGTACTTGTAAGCTCTTTGCTTTCATCATATTATTCTTTCACTCAAAACCCTTGAATGGCTTCACATTGATCACAACGTCAAATTTAAATTTTCCCTGGCTTTCAGTGCCCTCCATCATCTGGCCCAGCTTGCTCATGCATCCTTGTTCCCTATAATACTCCATGTTCCATGCAGGCTAACCCACTCACATTTTCTGTACATAGCCTGCTTGGTCTCCTTTTTTGCTTTTGACTTGCTCTGGAATGGCTTCCCTTTTTTCTCTTGCCTCTTCAAGATGCCTCACTTCCCTCCTGAAACCAAGCTACCGCCAGTCCTCATTGATTTCCTCTGAACTCTCAGAGCATGTAGTAATTTATGTAATTCAGAACCGTAGCAACAACATTCTGTGAAGAAAAATCTGCAAGAATAGGCTGATAATTTAACTTTCCCTAATCCAACTGGATATTCCCATAATAAAACTTTTAAAAATATAGGCTGGCTGTCATGGTTCACATCTGTAATCCCAGCATTTTGGGAGGCTGAGGCAAGAGGACTGTTTGAGCCCAGGAGTTTGAGACTAGCCTGAGCAACATAGTGAGACTCTGTCTCTATCACACACATACACACACACACACACAAAAGCCAGGCATGGTGGCATGTAGTTATAGTCCCAGTAGTCCCAGCTACTCAGGAGGCTGAAGCCAGGAGGTCAAGGCTGCAGTGAGCTGTGAACACACCATTGCCCTCCAGCCTGGTCAATAGAGCCAGACCCTGTTTTTTGTTTGTTTGGGGTTTTTTTGTTTTGTTTTTTTGTTTTTTGAGATGGAGTCTCACTCTGTCGCCCAGGCTGGAGTGCAGTGGCGCGATCTTGGCTCACCGCAAGCTCCGCCTCCCGGGTTCATGCCATTCTCCTGCCTCAGCCTCCTGAGTAGCTGGGACTATAGGCCCCTGCCACCGTGCCTGGCTAATTTTTTTTATTAGAGACGGGGTTTCACAGTGTTAGCTAGGATGGTCTCGATCTCCTGACCTTGTGATCCGCCTGCCTCGGCCTCCCAAAGTGCTGGGATTACAGGCGTGAGCCACCGCGCCCAGCCTGTTTTTTTTTGTTTTGTTTTGTTTTTTAAATAAAAGCAGAAAAACTTTAACAAATATAATCTACAGTATTTATTCCATTCACATTTTATTTTGTTGTCTTAACCAATATGAGTGCTTCTGGAGGGGAGGGACCATGTGTCTTCTATTTCTTCAGTAGGCCCACAATGCTAAGCACTTTGATTTTATTAGCATCTTCTGTGTGCCTAGTTTTTCTAGGTGCTGGGAGATAGAGTCAGTGCAGGAGGTAGAATGGATAAATTCCCATCCTTCTTGAGCCTATATTCTAGTACGTAATATGTAGTGCTAACATTTTACATTTGAATTGCATTTTAAGGCTTCTGAAGTGATTACTCGTATCTATGAAATCACCTCCTTTGATCCTTATATCTGTGTATGCTAGATGAGGATTATAATCCATTATGTGACTGTGTAAAGTTGCACAGTTAGTATGTACAGCTTGGGACTCAGGCCTCAGTCTTCTAATTTTATTTGGACTTGTGTAATTTTGACCACCTGTGTTTCTGAAGCTTTTATGATGAATGCTTAAGTAGTTGGGAATCCGGACATTCATTTATGGAGGTTTACGTATAGTTCTTGGTTATTGACAATTAGAAATGGCAAGGAGCAAGATTAGGCAGACATACAGTTCTCTGCTCTGATACTTCTGTGTTTGGGAGAAGCCTTATTTATTTATTTATTTAAATAAAAGAGATGAGATTTTGCTATGTTGCCCAGGCTGGTCTTGAACTTCTGGCCTTAAGCCATCCTCCTGCCTTGGCCTCCCAAAGTGCTGGGATTATAGGTGTGAGCTATCATGCCTGGCCTGAGAAGCCTTATTTTAAACATTTGCTTTCCAAATATGTCTCATCTATCCTGAATGTGATTGAAAAAAAGTTGGCCTCCATGGAGAAAATTGAAAGCAGAAAAATGGAAGATGCTGGCCAGGCGCGGTGGCTCACGCCTGTAATCCCAGCACTTTGGGAGGCCGAGGCAGGTGGATCACCAGGTCAGGAGATTGAGACCATCCTGGCTAACACGGTGAAACCCCGTCTCTAATAAAAATACAAAAAATTGGCCAGGCATGGTGGCTCACGCCTGTAATCCCAGCACTTTGGGAGGCCAAGGCGGGCGGATCACCAGGTCAGGAGATCGAGACCATCCTGGCTAACATGGTGAAACCCCGTCTCTACTAAAAATACAAAAAATTAGCCGGGCGTGGTGGCAGGTGCCTGTAGTCCCAGCTACTCGGGAAGCTGAGGCAGGAGAATTGCTTGAACCCGGGAGGTGGAGGTTGCAGTGATCTGAGATCGTGCCACTGTACAGCCAGCCTGGGTGACAGAGGGAGACTCCATCTCAAAAAAAAGAAAAATGGAAGATGATAATAATGTAACTAAAGACACCATAAAGAGACCTTGAGCCCATAGTGCTGTGCAAACAAGTTGGGGCTGGATACTGTGATTAACCATATAGTCACTTAATTTGTTAAAAGCCATTGTGGAGTAGCAAGAAGAGCTGCAGAGTAGGATTCAGAATATTTGTACTCTAGGCCTAGGTTCTTTACTCACTAGTTGTTTGACCTCTGGCAAGTTTTTTTTTTTGAGATGGAGTTTTGCTCTTGTTGCCCAGGCTGGAGTGTAATGGCGTGAACTCGGCTCACTGCAATCTCCGCCTCCCAGGTTCCAGCAATTCTGCCTTAGCTTCCCAAGTAGCTGGGATTACAGGCATGCACCGCTACTCCAGGCTAATTTTGTATTTTTAGTAAAGACGGGGTTTCTCCATGTTGGTCAGGCTGGTCTCGAACTCCCGACCTCAGGTGACCCACTCACCTCAGCCTCCCAAAGTGCTGTGATTACAGGCATGAGCCACCGTGCCTGGCCATCTGGCAAGCTTTTAACTGCTGTGAATGTCAGTTCAGTTTCTTCATTCTAAAAATAGGGATCAATGTCTGCGTAACATACCTTGCAGAATTATTTTAAGTCTCAAAAGAATCAACAGATTAATAATGTTAAGCATTTACAACTATACAGAATTACTATATTTAATTGATATTATATATTCTAAGAAGAGTACTTTCCTTATGGTACTTAGTTTGAAGATCTCTATATCAGTGTGATTCGTGGCTGAGAAGGCAACATTTATTTGAAAGACAGGAGGGTTTGTAAGGTCCTGCAAAAGCAGATAAGCAAAAAATTAAAACAAAACAAAACAAAACACTTCTCCATGGATTCGATAGAGAAGATAGCCACACTGTGTTGAGGGGAGAGTGAGTAAGAGCCTTTATTTATTTATTTTCTTACTCAAACACCTTTATTAGCCCACTGTTCTTTTTTTTTTTTTTGGAAACATAATCTCACTCTGTTGTCCAAGCTGGAGTGCAGTGGCGCAATCTCAGCTTACTGCAACCTCCACCTCTCAGGTTCAAGCAATTCTCATGCCTCAGCCTCCCAAGTAGCTGGGACTACAGGCGCATACCACCACGCCTGGCTAAGTAGAGACGAGGTTTCACTGTGCTTCCCAGCTGGTCTCGAACTCCTGAGCTCAGGCAATCCACCCGTCTCGGCCTCCCAAAGTGCTAGGATTACAGGCGTGAGCCAATGTACAGTGTTTTTAATGCCTCCTATGTTTATAGTAGTGGAATTACAGTGGCAAGACATGGTCCTTGCCTTAGGGTGGCTAGTTGCCTGTTGACTGTTAGAGGAGATCAGATGCATTCAGGGGATTATGGCCATAAACTCTTAGACTCTGAAGGCTATTAAATAAATTATTTTATTTTTTTATTACTAATGTCTTGAGACAGAATCTTGCTCTGTCACCCAGGCTGGAGTGCAGTGGTACTATCTCGGCTCACTGCAACCTCCACTTCCCAGGTTCAAGCCATTCTTGTGCTTCAGCCACTGTAGTAGCTGAGATCATAGCATGCGCCACCATGCCCAGGTAATTTTTGTATGTTTAGTAGAGATGGGATTTAGTAGAGACGGGGTTTTGCCATGTTGGCCAGGCTGATCTCAAACTCCTGGCCTCAAGTGATTGCCTGTGTTGCCCTCCCAAAGTGCTGGGATTACAGGCGTGAGCCACCATGCCCGGCCAAATAAATGATTTTAAACCAGTGTGTGCAGTGTTGTGACACAGATAAGTGCACAGTGTTGTGGTAGCACATACTAGAAATACTTCCCCAGGAGGTGATAACTTAGCTGAGACTTAAATGACAATAGGAGTTCTAGAGGGGCAGATGGGAAAGGGAAAACATCTAAGCAGAGTGGATAGCATTATAAAGGCTCAGAAGTGAGAGAAAGCATGGCTTTTTCTGGAAAACGCAAGTAGTCCCGGGTTGCTGTAGTGTGCTAAGGAAAGGTGTAGCAAGAGATAAAACAGGAGTGGTAGAAGATTAAGCAGGACTAGATGAGAGAAACCCTTGTTTGGACTTTACCCTGAACGCTCTGGGGTATGTGTCAAATGCAACTCTAATATCATATCTTAAATGCAAATATAATTATAAATATTTCTTTAATACCATTCAGTACTCTGGGAAGTGTTGAGATAGATCACTCTGACTATAATATGGAGAATGGATGAACAAAGTTTATTACTGTAACTAGGGGAGACTAGCCAAGAAGTCATTGCAGTAATCTTGGTGAAGTCTTGATATCCTTTTTTTTTGAGACAGGATCTTGCTTTGTTGCCCAGGCTGGAGTGCAGTGGTACTCATGGCTTACTGAAGCCTCTACCTTCTGGGCCTAAGCCATCCTCCCACCTCAGTCTCCCAGGTAGCTGGGACCACAGCTGTACACCACCATGCTTGGAAAAATTTTAAATTATTTTTGTAGAGACAAGGTCTCCCTATGTTGCCCCGGCTAGTCTTGAACTCCTGACCTCAAGCAACCCTCCTGTCTTGGCCTCCCAAAGTGCTGGGATTAGAGGAGTGAGCCACTGTGCCCAGCCAGTATCCTAACTCTTATCAGTCAGGATGGAGGCAAGAGGCATCTATTCATGAGATACACTAAATAGAGCCTATGGATTTTGATGACTGATAAGATGTTGTGGGGGAGTTTATGGAATCCTTACTATTTTCCAGGACTGTGCCAAGCACTTCTACATGGATTCCTTCATTTATTCTCACTGAAGCCCTTTGGATTTTTGTGCTATTATTGTCTTCATTATAAAGATAAGGAAATTGAGTCTCAGAAAGTTTGATAACTGCTTATAGTCACAAAGCCACTGCATATTGTTATTCAAACCTCCAATCTCTCTGATTTCTCTAAAGAACACTCTTATCCACTATATAATACTGCCCAACAGTTTCCAGTTACTGACTTGATCAATCAGGTGATTGATAGCAGTGCTGGAGCAATGTTAGGGAATATGATTTCTGCTTTTGGACATTTCAGGTTGCCTTTGGGACATCCAGGTAGCGATGTCTAGGTGAAAGCTGGATTTTTTTTTTTTTGGAGACAGGGTCTCACTCTGTCACCCAGGCTGGAGTGCATGGTACAATCACTACTCATTGCATCCTCGACCTCCTGGGCTCAGGTAATCCTCACACCTCAGCCTCCTGGGTAGCTGGGACTACAGGTGTGTACCATCATGCCCGGCTAATTTTTTTATTTTCTGTAGAGATGGAATTTTGCCATGTTGTCCAGGCTGGTCGTGGACTCCTGAGCTCAAACACTTCCTCCCATCTTGGCATTCCAGAGTGCTGGGATTGTAGTTGTGAGCCACAGTACTTGGCCTGAATCTAAAATTTAATCCCAGATGAATGGCCTGAGCTAGATGGATATGCTGCTCTGGTAGTCTTTAGTCTATAGGTGGTTATGGTGGTACCACCTCGCAAATAGGCTGGGTGTTACTACAACAAGGGTAGTCAGAGGCTTTAGGAGTGTACATGACCACCGGAAGAATGTACGTGTGTATAGAGAATAAGAAAAGGTGTGTCTTTCACACAACTGAATCTCATTCTCTACACACACATACAATGTCATACTTAAATTCTGGACATTATTTTCCATAACATCTCAAATCTCAT
Source organism: Homo sapiens (assembly GCF_000001405.40). Classification (NCBI taxonomy): domain Eukaryota; kingdom Metazoa; phylum Chordata; class Mammalia; order Primates; family Hominidae; genus Homo; species Homo sapiens. Next base: position 40,056,890 of record NC_000001.11, read on the forward strand.
CTTACTCCCACCAAGAGCAAAAAAAACAGTTTCTGTTCTTTTGTATTTGGTTAATGGTAGAATGAGATTAGCTATAAATGGTAGCTGTATTGTCCTTTTTCATTCTGCTTAAGTCAGACAGCGGAACTTTAGCTTGTTTAGCAGTGAAAGCCTATAAATACAAATGAAATATGGAAAAAGGGAGCCAAAGTCCCATGAAGCTCTATTATTAAGCATTTAAGATTGGTAAATGTTCACAAACTCTGGCAGCCTCTAGCAATACATGTACTGTGTCTCCATGTTAACAGTGGTCTCAACCTGAAACATCCATGTATGAAGGAACATGTTTTAATAACAGAACTGAGTGGTATCTGTTCATGGAAGGTAGCTTAGGAGTTTATTGCGTTCCTTGCCTTTTCCCCTGGACTTACAGTGTGGTGGATTGTATATATATGTGAGTCTGTCTCTTGATCAGTATGCATAATGGAACAGGGCAGGAATTCAGATATCAGTTGATAGTGTCATAACATTAGGGAAAGTATGTTGACTGCTTATGGTCTGCTCTATTTGAGAGTAGGACATAGACCTGGAGGCTTCTGCTGCTGCTGCAGGCCAAGGAATGGAAAGGTTTGTTTGGTTCTCATTCTCATTTTTTTTCTTTGCTTCTCTTTTAAACAACACTCTCTGACAAGTGATTGGGCCCACAGAGACCAGAGCCTGTACACAGAGAATGGACAGAGACTATATTGTCTTCCTTACTTTATCTTGTGAGCTGCTTATCTCTTCCACAGGGAGGACAATGTGTTAAATTGAGATAATTCTGGCATGCTGTCATCTTTGGGGGAATCATAATTGCTGTTGTCATTTTAGGCAGCTTCAAGGGAGTTGAGTTCATTCAGCTTCAGTTACCTGAACTGAATTCAGTTGCCTGAATTGACGCTTTTGTGAAATGGAATCTTTCCAAGTCAAAGCTTGGATTGAAATTTCACTGACTGGTTTTTATGAGATCACTTAGGGTCTCAAATACTTTATGTAGAGGTGCATTGATCATATTTTACACTTATGTGTGACTTATGGGCAACTTTTAGCACCCTTATCCCTCTGGAGTTTTGGAATGCTATTTGTGAGGTTTATAACTTCATAAATATTTATTGAACATCTACTACCTGCCAGGTAGTAGTCTAGATGGTAGAGTATACAGTAAGGAACAAGCTATATAAGGTCCTTTCTCTGTTGGAGCTTACTTTCTTTGGGATATTAGACATTGAATTAGGCTATTTCAGATAAGATAGTACTTGTGAAAGATCTATAACAAATTCTTTTGGATGTGTCTAGTGTCCTTCCCTACTGCATGTCCAGATCTTTCTCATCTTCATTTGAAGGCTGGCTCAAATGGCAGCTTCTCCATCATATCCTTATCTGATCCTTCCAGCTGATATATTACTCCCCTCTTTGAAATCTCATGCCTCTCTATCAGCAACTTTCTTATGTCACCTTAACATTTTTTTCTATTTGTTTCATAGTTGTTAGTGCATATGTTAAGTCTCCCCATTAGACTATAAATTACTGAGGGCAGGCCGGGCACAGTGGCTCACGCCTGTAATCCTAGCACTTTGGGAGGCCAAGGCGGGTGGATTACTTGAGGTCAAGAGTTCAAGACCATCCTAGCCAACACAGTGAAACCCTGTCGCTACTAAAACTACAAAAAATTAGCTGGGCATGGTGGCGCACACCTATAACCCTAGCTACTTGGGAGGCAGGAGAATCCCTTGAACCCAACAGGGTGGAGCTTGCAGTGAGCTGAGATCCTGCCACTGCACTCCAGCCTGGGTGACATTGTAAGACTTTGTCTGAAAAAAAAAAAATTATTGAGGGAAGAGTAAACATCCTATTCATCTTGGTTTGGGATATTTCACATGCAGGCAGCAGGATGTTGTAGGAAAAAAACACACTGAACTTAGAACCAGAAGGATCAGATAAGGATATGATGGAGTACTGGCTTCTCTATTCACTGGCCGTGTGACTAGACAAGTCATTTAGCTTCACTGAAACTAAGTTTTCTATCTCTAAGCGTGTAGTAATCATCCTTCTATTCCTGAATAGTTGTCGGGAGGCTCAAACTGAGATAATGTATGTGACTATCCTTTGCAAATTCTAACTTTCTACACACAGTATCATAGTAAATATTGAGTATTTGAATGAGTAAGCATTTACTTTAGTGAACACCTTTTCCTGAGCAGTTCTCTTGCTTAATGAGGTCTTTTGATTTTGTAAATATGCTACTTTTTTATCTGATATTTTTGTATTGTTCCATTTTGCAGATGATATCTAATTTTATTAAATTATTCTGTTCCTGAGAATTGGCATCCTCTTCATCCACCTGGGGATGACCAGGAATTTTCTGTTTTTTTCTCTGTAGGTGCTATTTAATATTTAAATAACAAATGACATTTGATCTGTTTCAGCAGGTGGTCCATTATGGCTGACATGCAAAATCTGGTAGAAAGATTGGAGAGGGCAGTGGGCCGCCTGGAGGCAGTATCTCATACCTCTGACATGCACCGTGGGTATGCAGACAGTCCTTCAAAAGGTAAGCAGTCCACAGCCCAGCAGAATGCTTTCTTTGAGCGTCTTGGCCTGAAAATTTTCTATTATTCTCTCCTTTGGCGCTAACTTCCCAAAACTTAATCTAGAAAGTTTACCTTTTGTAATTTGTATTGCTGTGAACAGATAAGAGAGGAAATGACTTGTACAGGGAGGCCTGTGGTTAAGTTATTTTAACACAAGAACTTCCTGCTTGTGCAATATTTCCTGCTCTTTCTTTAGCAGAATGACTCCAATGTAAGTCAAATGACAAGTGATAATAAAATTCCTCTCTCCAAACAATTGGCAAATTGGACATTTTGCACATGCACCAGTTGGAACATAGAATGTTAGCACTAAAAAAAACCTTGGAGGATCATTTTGTTTATTTTCATTTTATAGATAAAGAAAATTAAGCTCAGAGAGGAAAAGGAATTTAGTCAGGGTCACACAACCAGTTAGTGGTGATACTGGACCTGGAACCCAGGTTTCCTTACTCCTGTTCTGTATCCTGTTGACTGTATTACCTTGCCTCCCCACTTTCATGTAGAAGCACGTTTTAAAGAAGCCTCCTTCTGATGCATGGCTGATTCTTTGTGGTGTGTTTGTCTTTAGCAGGAGCAGCTCCATATGTGCAGGCATTTGACTCGCTGCTTGCTGGTCCTGTGGCAGAGTACTTGAAGATCAGTAAAGAGATTGGGGGAGACGTGCAGAAACATGTAAGGATGTTTTGCCTTTTTCCCCTTCTTTTAAGGACTAACAGCTTTCTTCAGTCAGCCAAGGTCCTCATCCTTGGTTTAAGAGCTCCTTGAGAAGTTCCTCTTGGTTTGGGGCATTACACATGTTCTTTCTCTTTTGCCTGTACTGAGGAGTTCAGTCTAGCCACAGAAACGATTCCTCATTTTTTTCTAGGCCCCTTGCTTTTATCACGTATTTATACAGAAAGCTTGCTTGGTACATAAAATATGGTTCTGTTCATCTTTGTAGTGAAGAATATGCACCAGTTTGATCCCAACATATTACATAATCAAACCTACAGTGGCTTATTTAAAGGAGTCATTATCATGACTTAGCATTTATAAAACTATGCTTGATAGTTATTAGTTATGCTAATGTGGGTTATTTTCACACTTAACCCACAGCAAGAATATGAAGTAGGCAATGACAGGTGCCTTTCCTCCCACCTTCCTTTATGCCTCCTACGTCATCACCACCACCCCCCACCCCCACCCCACACTCACATATACATTCTACCTCTATTTTTGGGACCCAAAAACCTTCCTGCTAGCTCACCGAATTATAAACAGTAACCATGCTTGGGAACTTCTTCACCTAAACCTTTCTCGAAGACTGGTTGCTTGGCTTTTGGAAAATCTATTTTGAGCCTCTCAAATACCATCTGTTGCCAATGGTTTTAGCTCTAGAGAGTGGGACTGGGACTTTAATAAGGGTGTGGAGGCTTGCATTTTTACTTAATACAGTTCTGTAACATTTGAAAAAACTTTAAAACATTTATCATTTGTATTTTAAAAATGCAAATCCAGAAAAAATAGATTGCTTTCTTTGAATTTTTGTATTTTAATAGTGCTTACAGTCTCATGTTTCTTAAATTCTTTTGACTGCGAATGACCCTTAGAAAGAAAGAACATATTCGTAACTGAGATAAAAGTTTCACAAGATGATATTTATACTACTTCTGCTGTACTTTTTTTTTTTTTAACTTTTTATTTGGAAATAACTTGAAGTTGGTGCACTGCACTCATACTTTTGTTCCATTAAGCTCACTAAATTGATTTAATTATTTATTAATGGGTCATGGTATCTGGCATTTGAGAGATAGCTTTAATCTAAAGGAGTAAATACCTTGAGAATTTTCAGCAGAAATTTAGGCCTTTGCCTTTACTCCTGTCTCCAATTTTTGAGAAAAGAAAGGTGTTTTTTTGGTTGCTGTTTGTTTTATTTTGCTGATGTGAAATAGGAAGGATTTTTCAGTGCACGGTATCACAATGCATGTGTAAGATGCTAACATGACTTCATGTAAGCTAGGTGATTATCCAATTAACTTCACTTCCAACTCTGGATATATATCCCTGATGAGTTCCAATAGGAACAGTAGTGTATGTAATTCTGCTCTCAGTCCCTGGAATCTGGAATACATGAGGAGGATAACATGAAGTGCCTGGGTTGCTATCAGAGTACATGGAAGTAGAGGTTTCAGGTTATTCTTATCAAGACTTCTCTAGTTATAATGTGTCATCAATAGCTGATTCTTCTTTCTGGCAGGCGGAGATGGTCCACACAGGTTTGAAGTTGGAGCGAGCTCTGTTGGTTACAGCTTCTCAGTGTCAACAGCCAGCAGAAGTAAGTTCACTACTAGCTGGTTTCATTTTGGTTTGATGCTCAGGACGAGTTGAGAGATTTATGTCAAGCTATTATAACATTTTAAAATAGACCTACTAGGCTTTTGATAATATATGTTCATACCAAGTCCCAGAGGTAGAGCCATACTTCAAGTGCCTTAATGGGAAGGTACTATTGGGTACTTAATGGTCTCTACTGGCTTTTTCTCTGTCATTTTGCATAGGACTGTGGTTATCCCTGGGACTTTGCTTGCCTGCCTCTTTGCTGAGTCCACATTCATCATAGTGTCTCCAAAGCCCTTTAAAGATGATTCTCTTGCTTCACTGTGGATGGGCTTTAGTAGTGCTCCTGTGGAGATCTTAAAACTCCTACAGTATTGCTTCTCTCCTCATCCTTCACTGGTTGGGAGACTCTCTCTTTAATTTTACTCCCACCTCAAAATTTTATGGTGCAAGATGTGAAAAGTTGAATTAGAGAAAATTTAGATTTCTCTTGGAGTCAAAGAATATAGGTTTCCTTCTTTTGCATTTGGTTTTCCTAGTTACAGAGGAATAATAAAGCAAGTTGTCCTAAATGCTGTATTAAAACCCTTGACCCTCAGCATGCCTAGATAATATAAAAATAGTGCAAGATAATGTCAAATATATTAGATTCTGGTTAAGTGTGCTGGCTCATTCCTGTAATCCCAGCACTTTGGGAGGCTGAGGCAGGAGGATCACTTGAGGCCAGGAGTTTGAGACCAGCCTGGGCAACATAGCAAGACCTCGTCTCTATTAAAAATTAAAAAAATAAAATAAATAAAAATAGCCAGGCAAGGTGGTGCATGCGTATAGTCCCAGCTACTTGAGAGGCTGAAATGGGAGGAAGATTTGGGCCTGAAAGTTTGAGGATGCAGTGAGCCATGAACACACCACTGCACTCCAGCCTGGGCGACAGAGCAAGACCTTCTCTCAAAAAACATTGTGTGTGTGTGTGTGTGTGTGTGTATAGATGCCATCTAATTCTAATATGTAGAATTAGATTTTAATTCTTAATCTGTCCTGAATGGTTAAGATCTGAGAATTGAGATGTTCAGGAAATGGAGCTTTGGAGGAAGGGTGCAAACACAAACAAAATTCATCCATTTTGCCAAGGTGCCTACTTGAATGCTAAGCCCCTAATTGTTTTTTATTTTATTTATGTTTAAAAAAAAATTTTTTTTTTGAGACAGGGTGTTGTTTTGTCACCCAGACTGGAGGGTAGTGGTGCAATCACAGCTCACTGAAGCCTTGACCTCCCAGGTGTAATGATCCTCCCACCTCAGCCTCCTGAGTAGCCTTGACTACAGTGTGCACCACCATGCCTGGCTTGCTTATTTACTTACTTATTTATTTATTTATTTCTGAGATGGAGTTTCTCTCTGTCGCCCAGGCTGGAGTGCAGTGGCAGGATCTCGGCTCACTGAAACCTCCACCTCCCAGGCTCAAGTGATTCTCCCACCTCAGCCTCCTGAATAGCTGGGACTACAGGCATGCGCCACCATGCCCAGCTGATTTTTGTATTTTTATAGAGATGGGGTTTCCCCATGTTGCCCAGGCTGATCTTAAACTCCTGGACTCAAGCGATCTGCCCACCTTGGCCTCCCAAAGTGCTGGGATTACAGGCGTGAGCCACCATGCCTGGCCCTAATTCTTTTTATTATTTGTAGAGACAAAGTTGTGCTGTGTTGTTCAGTCTGTCTTGAACTCCTGGTCTCAAGCAGTTCTCCTGCCTTGGCCTCCCAAAGTGCTGGGATTACAGGCGTGGGTCACCATGCCCAGACTAAGCCCCCTAATTGCATTTGATTCATCAGTTCTTTACAGCAGCTACTATATGGCTGGCAATGCATTGGGGGCTTTCATGATGATAAAAGAGCTCGTCTTTGAAGAATTAATGAGAAAGTAAAACATATTCACATGGGTCCATTAATAGTTTGTATTGGTGAGTGATAAAATGCCAAGATTGGTTATGCTGACAACAAATGCTGTAGGAGGCTGGTGTGGCTGGGTTGGAGGGCCCTCATGAAGCATGAGGAAAATTTGGATTCATGGGAAAAAAAGAGAACATCATGAGTAAGGCACAGGAATGATGTCCTGAGTGTATGTCCTCTGAGTGGAACAAAAAAGAGACAGGTGGCTGAAATGGAGGTTCTGTGGTATAGCTGAAGTATGGGTCCTGATCATGAAGAACCATCAGGTGCAGCCTGAGGAGTTGGAACTCTACGAGGAGAGTGAGATGATGAGCAGTATTTTAGCCTTAGGAATCAGGACAGGACTCATGCAGTTTATTTGGGTGCTCACTAGAGTCCATAGAGAATTCTTGCCTTCAGGATCAGAAGGCATAGACACCTTTGTGGAAAGATGTTAACCTGAATCTTTTCTTGTATCTTTTCCTAGAATAAGCTTTCCGATTTGTTGGCACCCATCTCAGAGCAGATCAAAGAAGTGATAACCTTTCGGGAGAAGAACCGAGGCAGCAAGTTGTTTAATCACCTGTCAGCTGTCAGCGAAAGTATCCAGGCCCTGGGCTGGGTGGCTATGGTGAGCAGCGCAGATTCCAGGGCTGGGGGTGGGTATAGATTTTAAGAGGGAAGGCAATATAGTTGGAGAGGTCCTGAGTCACTGACAGCTTGTCTCTCTCTAGGCTCCCAAGCCTGGCCCTTATGTGAAAGAAATGAATGATGCCGCCATGTTTTATACAAACCGAGTCCTCAAAGAGTACAAAGATGTGTAAGTTCAGCCTTTTCTCTCTTTTTTTCTTTTCTGAGACAGTGTCTTGCGTTGTCACCCAGGCTGAAGTACAGTGGCACAATCACAGCTCATTGCAGCCTCAACCTCCCAGCTCAAACAATCCTCCCACCTCAGTCCTCCAAGTAGCTGGGACTTCAGGCACGCTCCACCATGCCTGGCTAATTTTCTAATTTTTTCGTAGAGATGAGGTCTCACTGTTTCCCAGGCTGGTCTCTAATGATTCTCCTGCCTTGGTCTCCCCAAAGTGCTGGGATTACAGGTGTGAGCCACTGTGCCCAGCCAAGTTCAGCTTTTTCTCAAGGGGTAAAGGATAAACCCATTTGGTTACTTGCTGGAGTAGCACTTTGGAGTTACTGAGGGCTGCCCTTAGCCACTGTGCTGGTTTTATCTCAGGGCTGCTTTCTGGAGAGCTTTACAGATATTGTCTCACAGCTGCATTTGCAAGCAGGAAATACTTCTGCTTCCACTTCTGCTTTCTCTCCTTTTTTGGTAGAGGCCCTTTTAGTCTTCTGATCCTTACCCTTCTGGGTTTAGGAAGTTTTGCTGGCAGTAACATGGACTAATGCCCTTTATATAAGATTTTGTTCCTTTGTTGAGAATTTGTTACTGGCCCAATGGCAAAGGGTTCAATAGGACTTAATAGAAATTTTTCATGAAGTCAGTTAAAGTGAGAGTAAGGCTGCCTAGCCAATGCAGGTATTACGTAGGGCAGTCATTGCATGTCTAACCACATACGTCTACCAGTTCTGACTTCTCCATTGCTGGTTTTGAGCTGGAATGATTGCAGGCAAAATTTATTAAGTTGCATATCTACACAAGCCTTTCCTTTCTTCCATCCTTCATCAATCAACAAACATTTATTAACTACTCTTTTTAAGGAAAACTACACCTTCCTGTGAGTGAAATGTGTCCCAGAACAACAGGCACTTCCTTATCCTTCTAGCAACATGGAATTAAGCATGACAGTGTTTTGATATATCCCACCATTATCCCATCACTTTACAGTTGAGGAAACTAGGTCTTAGGCTAAATAACCTTCCCAGTTAATACATAAGAAGAGAGGGGACTTGAACCGTAGGCACAATGCTATTTCTATAATTTAAGGCTGATTGTTTCCCCCTAAGGGAAAGTTTTTAAGTTTGCTTTTGGTCAGGGTGGGCATATTTTGACATAAGGCATTGTCTCATAAGGCAGTTAAGTTTCTTAGTCTTTAGAGTTCCACAGTGATACTTAAGAGCTCTCCTCTCTACCATGGTTTTATGCACAGAATGTCTGCTTTTATCAGTTTTACATATTAGATTGTGTTTAAGGTCTACTTTGAAAAAAGTTTCAATAAGCAGCAAGTGGTCAAAAGAAAAAAAAAAGTTTTGGTACTTAAAACAGTTTGAGAAACATTGCTATGAGAGATAGAGATAGAATCCAGAGTCTCTATCTTAGTGGAGTTTGGTCTGATTAGGGTAATAGACTAGGTTGTATATACATAGAAGCTGGTGATGATAGAAAAGCTGCCATTGAGCGGAGCCTAAGAAACACCACGGGTAGGAGAATGTGAGCCCATAGGAAAGAAGGGTTCTGGAGTCACCACTGTTATGTACCCGGATCACCTGTGACAAGTTCTTCTTTAATCCTCCCAGGGATAAGAAGCATGTAGACTGGGTCAAAGCTTATTTAAGTATATGGACAGAGCTGCAGGCTTACATTAAGGAGTTCCATACCACCGGACTGGCCTGGAGCAAAACGGTTAGTGAATCCTTCCTCCCTCCCTCCCTCCCTCCCACTTTCTCTCTCCAGCATGGGGTCCACAGGTTTCTTAGACTTCAGCACTACCAAAGTCTGTGAGGGAATGCTAGTTTTTTCAGTGGAAGGGAGGAAGAAAAGGAGGAGAAAGAAAGGGTAAAAAGAGTAGAGGAAGCAAGGATCAGAGGAGAAGGAATATTCAGTGGTATTCAATTTCAATAAATATGTTAGGGACAGTGATTGGTGCTGGAGCAGGAGACACACACAAATGAGTTACACTATCCCAGCCTTTAAGGAGCTTAAAAATAAGAATGCAAAACCCCAATACAAATCACCAAGCCAAATGCTATAATAAAGATACAGACTAGAGTATGAGGAAGAGAAGAGTGCTTCTCACTAGAAGAGATTGTACTTTGAAGGTATATACTCTTCTGTGAGACTTGAAAGTAGTATAGGGCAGTGAGAAGTGGGATACTACAAAAGGCACAGCTTAAACAAAATACATGCAGAGTAAATGTAGAGATTGGTCATCTCTGGCTTCAATAAGGGGAAATGATCAGAATTTTAGGAGAAAAGGCTGGAAAGGAAGGTAGGCTGAGACTTTGGGATGAGGTATTTGAGCAAGGGAGTGATAATGATTCAATTTGTCTTTAAAAGAGTCTCAGTGTATAGGTTAGGGATAAGGACTCATGCTCAGATTATGAAAGTGGTCATGGTGTTTGGGGGATAGTAGAAAAACATTTGCAGGAGATAGCACCAAGATAATAGAGATTTGATAAGGTCGAAGAAGTTGGAATCCTCAAAGAAGATTGAATAGTCAGTCTTGGATAGTAACATCTTTCACTGAAATAGGGACAAGGGGATGATTGTACAGGGAGAGGAGCGGCAGGAAATGATGAAATCAGTTTTGAATCTGTTGAATCAGAGGTACTGGTAACACACTAAGGAAGATGTCAAGTAGATTTGTGGAAATAGTTTTTAGAGCTGGAATCAGGTGAGTTCAAAGGCAAAATGTGATGGTCAAGAAATAGAACTGAGAGCTGGATCCTTGGGAAAGGGTGAGAAGGCATAAAGCCAAGTTGGGTATGGGTAGGACACATTAATCATTGCCTCAAAGGCTGTGGTGGGGACCCCATGTGCACTGGCCCATGTAGGGCACTACTGGGAATGGTACAGAGGGGAGCAGAGAGGATGATGATGTTACCTGCACTTATTGTTCCAGGGGCCTGTGGCAAAAGAACTGAGCGGACTGCCATCTGGACCCTCTGCCGGATCATGTCCTCCTCCCCCTCCACCATGCCCCCCTCCTCCCCCAGTCTCTACCATTTCATGCTCATATGAGTCTGCTTCCCGCTCATCACTGTTCGCGCAGATTAATCAGGGGGAGAGCATTACACATGGTGAGTGAGCACTTGGACACGAACAGTAGGTACAACAAGTTGTGTGGGCCAGACCCCACCAACCAGAACCGTCTGTAAACTACAACCCTGGCTTGTGTGGTGGAGACTCGTTTGGTGTGTCCTGTTCCTTTAAGGGACGGCAAAGCTGGCTTAAATGGAAATTGAAAATGATGATCACAGTTGGAGGAAGCCATCTGCCCCATGGGAAAGTGACTTAATATTAGGTAGCATATATAGAGGACCCTCTTGTGCCAAGGCACAGAGCTGGCGGTTTTCCCCAGAGCTTTTTCCGTGGCACCACATGGCCTCTGGGAAGGCATTGTGTTAGGGAGTTAACTTCCTCAGAAGATGCATACTGGTTACATGGAAAATTTGCATGAGAGTGACCTAATGTTGGTATAAAGTAGATACCCTTAACACAGCTGGTGGAAGTCTGAGTTGTCCAGCCACTTCTAGGAATCTATGATCATAGTAGCTAAAAATGGTGTAACAACCTAAATCCAACTGTAAGAGAAATGGCTAACTACCACATGTCCTCTTGATGAAATGTTTTTTATTTTTTTATTTTTTTTGAGACGGAGTTTTGCTCGTTTCCCAGCCTGGAGTGCAATGGCGCGATCTCGGCTCACCGCAACCTCCACCTCCCAGGTTCAAGCAATTCTCCTGCCTCAGCCTCCCGAGTACCTGGGATTACAGCCATGCGTCACCATGCCTGGCTAATTTTTTTTTTTTGTATTTTTAGTAGAGATGGGGTTTCTCCATGTTGGTCAGCCTGGTCTCAAACTCCTGACCTCAGGTGATCTGCCCACCTCGGCCTCCCAAAGTGCTGGGATTACAGGTGTGAGCCACCACGCCCGGCCTCTTGATGAAATGTTGTGCCACCATTACATGTTTTTCTACAGTGAACCATGTAATGTTTAAGAAAAAAAAAATCTAGTATGTAAATTACAACCACAAGGAATGGTGGAGATAAAAAGGCCATTCAGTATTTGTTATACAGTTAACATAGATCTGGCCATGTTCAAAGCGAGGCGTGTGTCAGCCTGCTGTGGGAGATGATGAATTATTTTTCCCTTAAAACATAAAAGAAATATATTTTTACTTTTATTTTTTATTTTATTTTATTTTTTTTGAGATGGGAGTCTCACTTTGTTGCTCAGGCTGGAGTGCAGTGGCGTGATCTTGGCTCACTGCAATCTCTGCCTCCCAGGTTCAAGCAGTTCTCCTGCCTCAGCCTCCTAAATAGCTGGGACTACAGCACCTGCCACCACACCCGGCTAATTTTTTTGTACTTTTAGTAGAGACTAAAAATACACCATGGTAGCCAGGCTGGTTTTGAACTCCTAACTTCAGGTGATCCGCCTGCCTTGGCCTCCCAGAGTGTGGGATTACAGGCATGAGCCACAGCGCCTGGCCTAGAAAGATATTAAACTACAGGTTAACATGAGAAAGTTTTTAAGTGTCAATAGTTGAACTAAATTTGTTAACAATCTGTATGATTATAACCAACAAAACCAAATATATGTAGAAAACAATATTGTAGAGTTGCAAATGCCAACACTGACTGAGGAGGTGGGGGAAGTAGGGTTAGCTGTGGGGAGTGAGGGTATTTTTTTCTTTTCCTTTTACCAAATTTTCTTTACTACCACTCATTTTTCTTTATTGCTTTAAAAATTATATATTTGTGCACATACATTTGATATGTCTTTCTAGACATAGAGGATAAGGATTTACATATCCTTATCCTCACCCACAATATACACACATTCCATGTTGTTGTTAATGGAACCATATAATTTAATCTTGGGGAGAAGAGAAATGATAAAAGTACTTTTCCAAAACTGCTTGCAAGAGAACATCTCAAAGGCTCTGGTTTTGGCTTTGAATTTTCTGTTAAGGATGTTTAACATGACGATAGCAGCTCAAAGGTCTGGTATGAAGGACAGGAACAAGGTAGCTGTTGTTCTTACAGCCCTGAAACATGTATCTGATGACATGAAGACTCACAAGAACCCTGCCCTGAAGGCTCAGAGTGGTCCAGTACGCAGTGGCCCCAAACCATTCTCTGCACCTAAACCCCAAACCAGCCCATCCCCCAAACGAGCCACAAAGAAGGAGCCAGCTGTACTTGAACTGGAGGGCAAGAAGTGGAGAGTGGTGAGTTAAAAATACCTAGACAGGGGCAGGTATTTTTATTATTTTATTTTTTTGAGATGGAGTTTCACTTTGTCGCCCAGGCTGGAGTGCAGTGGCGCGATTTCGGCTTACCGCAACCTCCGCCTCCCGGGGAAAAGGAGTAGGAACAGGAGGTTAAATGGAGCTTAGCTAGATGAGGGCAGAGTTCTGGCTTCAATTGCAAGAACAAAAAGTTTGGGATAGCCTGGTTATTTTTTGTTCGGTGTGTGCTTTGTGATGAGAATCCTGGGATCTCTCTCTAACAGGAAAATCAGGAAAATGTTTCCAACCTGGTGATTGAGGACACAGAGCTGAAACAGGTGGCTTACATATACAAGTGTGTCAACACGACATTGCAAATCAAGGGCAAAATTAACTCCATTACAGTAGGTGAGTCTTTGTCGCTGTCCCACGCAAGCCCCGTCCCAGAGCCCGAGAAGGCTAATACCATTTTACCTACCCTATCCTTAAAGATTCCTAAATGTATATTACTTTCCTTTAAAGTTACACGTTGACACACTCCCTTTCTTCTCCTAGATAACTGTAAGAAACTTGGCCTGGTATTCGATGACGTGGTGGGCATTGTGGAGATAATCAACAGTAAGGATGTCAAAGTTCAGGTAACTCGATATTTTGGCTCCTTCTTTTTGTCCCTGAGGAATTAATTCAAAGAGACATGGTAGACCCACAGATGTTGCTTTGGTGGGAATCTGATTCTACAAAGTCTGTAAGCTGAGCTGCTTTGGACGTGGCAGAAGAAGGGTTGGCTCTTCAAGCAAGTTCTTTTCAGGACCCATCCCAACCCACCCGAGTATCCAGTGTCTTGCGCATCTGTGAGCTTTTCATGTAGTTGCTGAGTCACGTGAAACAGGAAACCTTTTCCTGCGACTTACTGTTGTCCTTCCCAACCACTGGGACTCAGTTCTCTTTGTTTACTCTGCAGGTAATGGGTAAAGTGCCAACCATATCCATCAACAAAACAGATGGCTGCCATGCTTACCTGAGCAAGAATTCCCTGGATTGTGAAATAGTCAGTGCCAAATCTTCCGAGATGAATGTCCTCATTCCTACAGAAGGCGGTGACTTTGTAAGTTTCTTGATCTCTTTAGTATGATGTTAAAAACAGAAGGGACTGAAGATTTCTGGCATTGAAGAAAGCTATTTTATGAACATTCTGCACTGAGCAGGTAAAAACCCAATAATGCACACCAAAAGTACACAGAAATGAGGTAGTCCCATGTAGTGGAGCCCCAAAGGTAGGTGCTTTCTGCCTAAGTGGAGCTCAAGGTAGCAAAAAATAATGGGGATGAGCCATGGCACCTTGTCAGGCTGGTGCTATAAAGCCATATGTACTGTTATTTACACCCCATAGACTTAATAGTCTGTCCAAGATCGCTGAACACTAGAACATAGCATGGCTCTGTGGGTTTGTCTCTTGCTACATTGTACCGTGCTCCTGGGGTTAAGTGGAAGCAAGCATTGGGAGAAATGTGTGAGATTTAGCCCCAGCTGTTCTTTAGCTCAGATTTAAACCTGCTGTCTCTTCTTTATTTGCAGAATGAATTCCCAGTTCCTGAGCAGTTCAAGACCCTATGGAACGGGCAGAAGTTGGTCACCACAGTGACAGAAATTGCTGGATAAGCGAAGTGCCACTGGGTTCTTTGCCCTCCCTTCACACCATGGGATAAATCTGTATCAAGACGGTTCTTTTCTAGATTTCCTCTACCTTTTTGCTCTTAAAACTGCTTCTCTGCTCTGAGAAGCACAGCTACCTGCCTTCACTGAAATATACCTCAGGCTGAAATTTGGGGTGGGATAGCAGGTCAGTTGATCTTCTGCAGGAAGGTGCAGCTTTTCCATATCAGCTCAACCACGCCGCCAGTCCATTCTTAAGGAACTGCCGACTAGGACTGATGATGCATTTTAGCTTTGAGCTTTTGGGGGTTATTCTACCAACAAACAGTCCATTGGAAAGAAAACAGTCCCTGGAATTAACAGATCAGAATGTTCACACTGGTTAATCTTTTTTTAACAATGAGCATGAAGGTAGCAGAAGCTGGTGTGTTTCCAGATGGTTCTTCTAACCAAACTAATTTTTCACTGTTGACAAGCGAGGCAAGGGTTGCACTGGACCAAAGGCTGAGGCTTGGCCATCTAGCATTCCATACAAAATTGTTTCCTATAAGCATTCCTTTTATTCTCTATTCTATCCTGGGTCTGCCTCAACCGTGAGATAGGAGAGTCTCTGGTACTAGCTGCTGTAGCAGTGCCCTTCATCCAGGGCAGTTAATGGAGTCTTGGACCCTTTCTTTCTCTGGGATCCCTGCCCAGCACCTTCCTATAGAGATGACTTTAAAAGGAAAAAAAAAAAAAAAAAAACCCACATGATTTCAAGGAGTCTGGCATTCCTGAATCCTTCTTCCCTGCCAGGTGCCTGTCACCTGTCTTCACTGCCTCCTTTTCCCTGTCATGCTCATCAGCTTATGGCTTCTGTCTAAGCACCTGAACAGAGGACTGAAACCTCCACTGCAGGCTGGTTTTAGGTCTTGAATTATGTAAGAATCTTGCACAGCACTGCTAATGTAAATTTCAGTTGTTTTTCCCTCTAGGACAAACACTTACCAAAATATGCAACTTTTTTTTGGTGGGAAGAGAGATTGTCCTGTGATTTCTACCCATTTCCTGAGGCCTGTGGAAATAAACCTTTATGTACTTAAAGTTATACAGAAAATAGAATAAAGTTAATACCAAACTTGCTTAGTTGTTTACCTGTGATATTGGCTGTACAGAAATGCAAAAAATACTGAAAACACCAAGGATAAGAAACTACTCTTTATTTTAGACAACCTCATAAAATTATTTTCACATCCCCCCCAACTTCTTGCTCTTAATCCTCATCTTTTAGTTGAAGAATAAGGCTTAAGAGAGAGAAAGGAAAAACCATAATGGCTAAACTTAGCAGCACCAACACGGTTCTTTCATCAAGGCGTAGCTCATCATTTCTCCAAACTGACATGCTACAGAAATGTCTTCCAAAAAGCGTTAAGTTTTCACAGAGTGGGGACTATGATTTCCATGCTCAAATAGTGTAGGAAATGGTAGATTACGTTAGTTTTGTTTACTGTAACAGGAATTCTCAGGAGTCCTTAGACACTCTAATGTGGGTTGATCTCCAGAAGGAGAAAGGGAGTGTGTAGTATTTTCCAAGCTTTTTGAGCAAACAATCCTTTTCTCATGGAACACATCAGAAACAGTTTGGAGTATGCTGGTAAATGTGTTTTGGGGATGGAAGTCAGAAAGCCTGATCTTTTTCATATGGTTCCTCCTATTCTCTGCTAAAGCCAGCAACAGAGTAAGTTGACTCTAGCATCAAGACCACTAGTCATATTAAGAAAGGGCAGGTTGGTCGAGAATGGAATAGGAAGAACTAGCTGCCTCACTTTTCACTTTCGCGCCTACATTTTCTTCGCTCCCTAAGTTATACAAGATGTACATTTCCTCTCTTAAGCAACTTAATTTGGGTGCTACTTCCCTCCTTTTGTGACAGCAACTAATTCATCACTACCTGAGGAGACAAAGTGGGTGCTGCAGAAGCAAGACTGTAGGCCAGTGGGATTTGTCTAATAATTGATGATAAGATGATAGCACAGAGGGCAACGTACTGAGAGAGGAAGGCAGCCTTAAGAAATGATGCAGAAATAGCCAAGCAAGATTTTTCCAAGCACTGGTTAAATCACCAGCAAAACAAAGCATTTATGTGAGTACCTCAGGCCTGGGCACCTCTTTGCTTGAAATATGGCAAGACTTGGAAAAATGTTTGCCCTTAGAATCTATCTCACTACTTTAGTTAGTTGTCTCCTTTGGGCCTGGGCACAGTTCTGGCACTGATCTGGAACAGACTCCCTTTTCTAAAACTGAACTTGACCACATCAAAAGTTTGTAAAACAATCTCCATGGTAATTAAACTTGCATTCAACACCATATGGTAACAGAAGATGGCAAAGGATAAGATTCAGATCTTAGATCTTTCCAAGTAGGGCATGTTAGATGATAGAAGGATTAGTTGCAAGCTGGATCTGAGCTCAGGCTTGGGCATGAAGGAAACTGTCTCCCATGTGGTTTGGAAGAGTTAGGGGCTCCCTGAGCTCTATTGTGAACTATACGGGTTTCATCCAAGGAATGGTATGATGTGGGCATAAAACCATTCTTCAGACAACTGAAGATGGTCCCCTTCTGTAGCCAGAAACACTAGCTGTCCTGCATTGTCCATTTCCTTTAGCCCCAGGCGGTCCTGCAGAAGGAAAGGCCATAATTAATTAAAAAGCTTAATGAAGTTTTGGAGTAAAATGGTAAGTACGTTAACTTGAGATATATTTTCAAAATGCAGTTTGTCCTGAGTATTAAAATTGAGGTGTATTTTCAAAAATGCCAAAAAGAATATCTCCTACTTCTTTTTCTTTCTCTTTTTTCTTTTTCTTTCTTTCTCTTTCTTCCTTTCTTTTCTTTCTTCTCTCCTCCCCCTCCTCCTGTCCCCCCCGCTTCTTCTTCTTCTTCCTCTCTCTCTCTCTGTCTCTCTTTCTCTTTCTTTCTTTCAAGACGGAGTCTTGCTCGGTTGCTTAGGCTGGAGTGCAGTGGTGCGATCTCGGCTCACTGCAACCTCCACTTCTCTGGCTCAAGCGATTCTCCTGCCTCTGCCTCATGAGTAGCTGGAATTACAGGCGCATGCCACCATGCCTGGGTAATTTCTTGTATTTTTAGTAGAGATGGGGTTTCACTGTGTTAGCTAGGATGGTCTTGATCTCCTGACCTCAGGTGATCCACGTGCCTCGGCCTCCCAAAGTGCTGGGATTACAGGCGTGAGCCACCACACCCGGCCAGTTTTTTCTAAGTATTAAAAATAGATATGCAATTGAGATTGCTCTATACAGTGTTCTAGATTCTGATTTTTGAAAAGCTCAGAGTCAGAGGACTACCTATAGGTGGGCAAGCCATAGACGACACTGCCTCAGAATGCCATAGGTAAGTGGGACTGAGCCAAAGACAGAACATTAGCTAGGTAACTTAAAAAACATCCAACCCAGGACAGGCGCGGTGGCTCACGCCTATAATCCCAGCACTTTGGATGGCCAAGGCAGGCGGATCACCTGTGGTCAGGAGTTCAAGACCAGCCTGACCAATATGATGACACTTTGTCTCTACTAAAAATACAAAAATTAGCTGGGCATGGTGGCGGGCACCTGTAATCCTAGCTACTTGGGAGGCTGAGACAGGAGAATTCGCTTGAACCCGGGAGGCGGAGGTTGCAGTGAGCTGAGATCATGCCATTGCACTCCAGCCTGGGCAATGAGCAAAACTGTCTCAAAAGAACAAAACAGAAAAACCATATCCAACCGTTAGGTAACAAACCCTGGACACTTTCATATTCTGGAGTTGAAAATGTCATTACCCATAGCCTAGATGCTGGAGAACAACCTCTGGTTGGGAAGATAAGCAGTTACGACAGTGCCAGAATGGTGCTTCTGCCGTGGCCAACATCATTTTGAGTTTTCACAGTAAGGAAGTTCTTAGCTGTAATTTCTCAAGCCTTTTTTTTTTTTTTTCTCAAATCAGATTCTAGCTTCCCTTTTTACCTCACCACCCAAGTTGAGGCACCCAGTGCAAAAGAAAAGCCAAGCCAAGAGGAGACAAATGACCTCTGAAATAACATGGAGGAATTCTAGTAGACGGTGATTGGTTCAGATGTAGTACTTAGCATTTTGGAGAGTCTGTCTCCAATATAAAATCCTTAGGGCTGGGCGTGGTGGCTCACACCTGTAATCCCAGCACTCTTGAAGGCTGAGGCAGGTGGATCACCTGAGGTCAGGAGTTGAAGACCAGCCTGGCCAACATGGTGAAACCCCGTCTCTACTAACAAAACAAAGTATTAGGCATGGTGGCGTGTGCCTGTAATCCCAGCTACTAGTGAGGCTGAGGCAGGATAATCGCTTGAACCCAGGAGGTGGAGGCTGCAGTGAGCTGAGATCACACCATTGCACTCCAGCCTGGGTGACAAAGCAAGACTGTCTCAAAAAAAAAAAAAAAAAAAAAAAAAAAAAAAAATCCTTAAAGTGTAGAAGGCCCCAGAACTGGAGGTGGCAAATTACTGCAACTTCTGCTTAAGATACAGGACCTACTGCTAAACAAAATTCAAAACTCTAGTCCCACTCAACCTCCTGCAGGAGCCTCCCTTGTCAGTGCGTAATTTAGAAACAGGATTTCACATCTATTAATGTTTAAAAGTAATGTCCCTTGGCCAGGCGCACTGGCTCACGCCTGTAATCCCAGCACTTTGGGAGGCTGAGGTGGGTGGATCACCTGAGGTCAGGAGTTCAAGACCAGCCTGGCCAACATGGTGAAACTCCATCTCTCCTAAAAATACAAAAATTAGCCAGGTGTGATGGCACACACCTGTAATCCCAGCTACTAAGGGGGCTGAGGCAGGAGAATTGCTTGAATCTGGGAGGCAGGGGTTGCAGTGAGCCAAGATTGCTCCACTGCACTCCAGCCTGGGTGACAGAGCGAGACCCCGTCTCAAAGAAAAAAAAAGGAATGCCCCTCATCATGCATGGAGGCTTCCTGGATTTGTAGCAGACTGTACCTCAGCCAAGGCAGCTAGTTTTAAAACCTTTTTATCAAAAGAAGGGAATCAGACATGAGGTTTCTCTTGTTGTTTGGAAACCATAAGGTTTCAGGATGTAGTGGATTTTTGTAACCCAGTGCCTAATAAGCTAGAGCACATAATCAAGAGCCTAACAAGCTTCACCCATATTGGACATGAGTCAGGTGTTTCAGGAGTACCTAGTGCTCTGAGGTGTAAAGGAAAGGGCTCCAGCACCAAAGAACATAGCAGCTTCAGGAACTGGGAGCTGAAAAAACACCAACCTCCCAAGATAGACTCCCTGCCAGTTACCTGTGTGTACAGGGAGGTCTCCTGTAAGGGAATGGTTTCCTTGGCTTGGCCACTTCTGTAAAATCCAAACCACTGCAGAAGAAGCAAAGGAAAGAAGCTCAGATATGACACACAGCACATACTGCCAAAATAATTTGAGACTGGTTAGAAGCTAAAACTGCCAACAAAGTGAACATCATAAAGCTGTAGGAAGAAGGAAAAATGGATAGGGTGCGTCTGAGTCATCTCTTCTTAAGGGTGGAGCCCGAGGGATGAGTTAATCTTTCTGAGAGGCCGCTTTCCACTTCCCCAGAATTTCTGCTTCCTAAAATTATTAAGCAATAAATGTGAAAAATTCCTGTGCTGAGCTCTAGACATTCAAGGATGAATACATAATCTGTTTCCAAAAAGCTCCCAGTCTTGCAAGGCACGGAAACAATTCACTGTTGAGTACAGAGGTCAGCAAACGTTTTTGTAAAGGCCAGATACAAAATATTTTAGGCTTTAAGGGCCATATGGTTGTAACTACTCATTGCTGCCACTGTAACAAATGCAGCCACAGACAGTATGTAAAAAGTAACTAAAACTGTTCCAATAAGGACACTGAAATTTAAATTTTACATAATCTTTATATGTCCAAATACTTGATATGTCTAAATAAATTTTACATAATCTTTATATGTCCAATTCTTTCCCCCAACCATTAAAAAATGTTAAAAACATTCTTTTATGTTAGTGTTTGGTGTTACTCGTGGGTAGCACCAAAACGGGTAGCAGGATGGACTGGGCCTGTGGGCCACAATCGGCCAATCCCTGGTGGTGTGACATAACGTGATGAGTGTTTTAACAGAGGCTGATGATTCTAAAAAAGCGATCACATTCTGCTTGGAATGGGGATGGCATCCTTGCCTTGACAGACGAATAGAAATTGTCAGGTGGAGAAGCCAAGGAAGGGCATTCTAGAGACAGAAATATATGAACCAAGGCATACGAGAGAAAAAGCACAAGTAGTACAATATGGCTTGATCAAGAGTGTATGAAGCGTGCAGACAAGGCAGATTAGGCTGGAAAATGGGGTGAAGCCAGATCAAGGCAGACCTTGGAGGCCAAGCTTAGGAATTTATATATTTTGGGCTAGTGATTCTGAACATTTTTTGGGTCTCTGATCTCTGGAAAATGGATTAAAATTATAGATCCTTCCCCAGAGAATGTAATTACATAATTTTGCATAGAATTTTGGGGTTGGGGGATTGATTACAATCTTCAGTGTCCCATTTATGGACCTCAGGTGAAGAACTGTTTTATACAAAAGTTGGTGGAAGGGACTGAAGGTTTTTTCCCCAGCAGGCAGCTGTATTTTTTCATTTCATTTCAATTTCATTTTATGTTCTTTTTGAGACAGAGTCTCGCTCTGTCACCCAGGCTGGGGTGCAGTGGCACGATCTTGGCTCACTGCAAGCTCTGCCTCCTGGGTTCAAGTAATTCTCCTGCCTCAGCTTCCCAAGCAGCTGGGATTACAGATGGCTGTCACCATACCCGGCTAATTTCTTTTTGTATTTTGAGTAGCGATGGGGTTTCACCAAGTTGGCCAGGCTGGTCTTGAACTCCTGACCTCAGGTGATCCACCCGCCTTGGCCTCCCAGAGTGCTGGGATTACAGGCATGAGCCACCGTGCCCGGCCAGCAGCCCTATTTTAATGCCATTTACTCTCCTGGCATGTGGCCTAAGTAGTGTCTCACCTCCGAATCTACAGGGTCCACAATGGAATCATTGAGGAATTTCACCATCACAAACTTCTTCAGGGCCATCAGGTTTTTCTTGTAGGACTCATTGATACCCTGAAAGAAAGGCCAGCAACACCTAAGGTCATTACCATCAGACACCAGCAGAGGGAGTAAAGCCTTCCTGTTTTCTGGTCTCCCTGACCCTGTGCCACTGTGTTTCTTCCCCATGGGTATGGGCTGTTTTCCAGCTTCCTGACCAGGATATACCTGTACAGCTTTTTTTTTTCTTTTTTTCTAAAAAACAAAATATTTTATTTTAGATTCAGGGGGGTACATGTGTAGTTTTGTTATAAGGGTATATTGTGTGATGCTGAGGTTTGGGGTTCTGTTGATCCTTTCACCCAGATAGTGAACACAGTGCCCAACAGGAAGTTTTTCAGCCCTAGCCTCTCCCTCCCAGCTTTTGGAGTCTCCAGTGTCTATTGTTCCCATCTTTATATTCACGTGTACCCAATGTTTAGCTCCCACTTATAAGTGAGAACATGTGATATTTGGTCTTCTGTTTCTGTGTTCATTTGCTTAGGATAACGGCCTCCAGCTGCATCCATGTTGCTGCAAAGAACAGGATTTCATTCTTTTTTATGACTGTGTAATATTCCATGGTGTATATGTACCACATTTTCTCTATCCAGTCTACCGCTGATGGGCACCTAGGTTGATTTCATGTCTTTGCTATGGTGAACAGTGCTGCAATAAACACGAGTGCAAGTGTCTTTTTGGCAGGACAATTTGTTTTCCTTTGGGTATATACCCAGTCACGGGATTGCTTACACAGCCTTTTCTTTTCCTTTTTTTTTTTTTTTTTTTTTTGAGATGGAGTCTCGCTCTGTCACCGAGGCCAGAGTGCAGTGGCACCATCTCAGCTCACTGTAACCTCTGCCTCCCAGGTTCAAGCGATTCTCCTGCCTCAGCCTCCAGAGTAGCTGGGATTACAGGTGATCGCCACCACATCCAGCTAATTTTGTATTTTTAGTAGAGACAGGGTTTCACTATGCTGGCCAGGCTGGTCTCGAACTCCTGACCTCAAGTGATCTGCCCACCTCGGCCTCCCAAAGTGCTGGGATTACAGGCGTGAGCCACCACGCCCGGCCTTCTATAGGCTTTTCTTACCATCCTATCTGACTGACATGCCACTGAGCATGGCATACAGGTACAACTATGAGTTTACACCACACTCCATAGGTGTCCATCACATAGGTGAGAGGCTTCTAGTCAGAGAAAGCCAAGACAAAATAAGAAACTGCAAATTCTGGGTCGTTCTGCTATATACTATTCTGTGTTGTTTTTTGTTTGGTTTGTTTTTCCCTTCAAACTGTTTCAAAACAAAAAACCAAAAGACTCTCCAGATGAGTCAAATATAAACTGAGCCATCTAGTTTACCAGAACCTACCAAACCATGTTTGTGTCTGGGACATACTCAGTGCCTACTGTATCTCTCTTTTAGGTAAATCTCTAGAGAAAAATCCACCCCCAGACTGATCCATCAGGAAAGCTTCCCTCATTAAGACAGCAGCTGTGAATTTCCACCTCGCCCAGTCAGCAACCTGCCGAGCTTATCCTGTGTGTTTCAACACTAGGAGAGGGAAAGAACTTAAGGGAAGAAAGGCAAATGAATTTCAACCTCCCTAAAGGGAACTGAATCTCAAAGGCCCTGCCTCCCAAAAAAAACAGAACTTCTCTTTCCTAGTGTCTGCCCAGGACAGTTTGGGTAAACAGTCACTGCTGATTTGTTTATGAAGACCTAAACAGGAAAAAGAACGCACATCTATGGGAGCCCGGTTTGGGTGCTTACCCGCTCCTGATTTATATCTGCCAAGAAGATGCTGTGGTTGCGATACACATCCTCCTTTATGGGGTCATGCCAGTATTCGGCTTGCACGAGGCTGTAGGAAAAAAAAAGAATGAGGTGATCAAGCTACAGGTCAGTCAGTACGCCCAGGGCATGCTCAGTGCAAAGGCCACCAAGAGACTTTAAAAGGACAAAAGGCCAGCCAGGCACAGTGGCTCACACCTGTAATCCCAGCACTTTGGGAGGCTGAGGCAGGTGGATCACGAGGTCAGGAGTTCAAGACCAGCCTAGCCAAGATGGTGAAACCCCGTCTCTACTAAAACTACAAAAATTAGCCAGGCGCGGCGGCAGGCGCCTGTAATCCTAGCTACTTGGGAGGCTGAGGCAGGAGAACTGCTAGAACCCCGGCGGCAGAGGTTGCAGTGAGCTGAGATCGCAGCACTGCACTTCAGCCTGTGCGACAGAGTGAGACTCTGTCTCAAAAAACAAGGACAAAAGGCCAAAGCCCTCAAGTCCCAGGCCTTACCCTTTAATACAGAAGACAAGACTTGCACCTAGGAAACAGTCTGTCAACAAGACACCTTGTTGAGACAGACTGTTCAGCATAGTACAGAAATTATAAAAGATTCAGGCAAAGGACTCATCAATATTTGCTTCTCCTGTGACACTGGGGTTTATCATACTTATCATGCTGATATGGTTTGGCTGTGTCCTCACCCAAATCTCATCTTGAATTGTAACTCCCACAATTCCCATATGTCATGGGAGGTGACTGAATTACAGGGGTGGGTCTTTCCTGTGCTGTTCTCGTGACAGTGAATAAGTCTCATGAGATCTGATGGTTTCAAAGAGGGGAGTTGGGCCAGATTCTGTGGCTCATGCTTATAATCCCAGCACTTTGGGAGGCCAAGGCGGGCAGATCGCCTGAGGTCAGGAGTTCGAAACCAACCTGGCCAACATGAGGAAACCCCGTCTCTACTAAAAATACAAAAATTAGCCAGGCACGGTGGCATGTGCCTGTAATCCCAGCTACTTGGGAGGCAGAGGGAGGGAGAATCGCTTGAACCTGGGAAGCTGAGGTTGCAGTGAGCCAAGATCACGCCATTGCACTCCAGCCTGGGAGACAGAGCGAGAATCCATCTCAAAAAATAAATAAATAAATAAATAAATAAATAGAAAATAAAATTAAGAGGGGAGTTTCCCTGCCCAAGCTCTCTTCTTTTGTCTACCGTCATGTGAGATGTGCCTTTCGCCTTCCGCCATGATTGTGAGGCTTCCCCAGCCACATGGAACTGTAAGTCCATTATAAACCTCTATTTGCCCAGTCTCGGGTATGTCTTTATCGGTAGCATGAAAACAGACTAATACAGTAAATAAGTACCAGTAGAGTGGGGTGCTGCTGAAAAGTTACCCAAAATGTGGAAGTGACTTTGGAACTGGGTAACAGGCAGAGGCTGGCACAGTTTGGAGGCCTCAGAAGAAGACAGGAAAATGTGGGAAAGCTTGGAACTTTCTAGAGACTTGTTGAATGGCTTTGACCAAAAGCCTGATAGTGATATAGACAATAAGGTCCAGGCTGAGGTAGTCTCAGATGGAGATGAGGAACTTGCTGGGAACTGGAGCAAAGGGGACTCTTTATACTTTCTTTCCAATCTCTCTCCACTTCCTCTTCCCTTCCAGCCCCCACCTCCTCAAAATGGGCACGGTTACCCCAAGGCCTCACATGGGGAAATTCGAACAAACTCTATCCCAGGTTGGCAGGGAGAGAAATCAAAATTTCTACAACATACGCTCCGTAGCCAGAGTGGAAGAGCTGCCCAGAGGCAGTGGTCCTGAAAACGCCACTCGGTGGAGCAGGCTGGCGCTAAAGCCCAACAGAGCCAGCTACGTCAGAGATGGAGCTCTCCCTCCCAGGAGCAGATGAGACTGAAGTTAAAGGAAGCAACAGTCAGAGTGACATTCTAGAATGTGTTTATACATGTATTTGAAACCTTTTAAAGGTTTAGAACTCTGAACATTTATAGAATGCAAAAAAAAAAAAGTTCCTGAGGAAAATTAGAAGTGTTATTTCAGTGAACACACAAATAATAAGGAAGCAAAACAGTCTTATTGCTGCTATGGAGAAAATCTGAGTGGTCTAGATAGAAGACCAAACCAGCCACAACATTCCCTTAAGCCAAAGCCTAATCCAGAGCAACGTCCTAACTCTCTTCAATTCAATGAAGGCTGAGAGAGGTGAGGAAGCTGCAGAAAAAAAGTGTGAAGCTAGCAGAGGTTGGTTTGTAAGGTTCAAGGAAAGAAACCATCTCCATAACACAGGAGTGCAAGATGGGGCAGCAAGTGCTGATGTAGAAGCTGCAGTAAGTTATCCAGGAGATCTAGCTAAGATACTTAATGAAGGTGGCGACCATAAACAACAAATTTTCAGTGTAGGTGAAACAGTCTTAAATTGGAAGAAGATGCCATCTAGGACTTTCACAGCTATAGAGGAGAAGTCAATGCCTGGCTTCAAAACTTCAAAGGACAGGCTGACTCTCTTGTGAGTGCCTCATGGAGCTGATGACTTGAAGCTGAAGCCAATGCTGGGTTACCATTTTTTAAATCCTAGGGCCCTTAAGAACTACGCTAAATTACTCTGCCTGTGCTCTACAAATGGAACACAAAGCCTGGATGACAGCAGATCTGTTTACAGTGTGGTTTGCTGACTATTTTAAGCCCACTGTTGAGACCTATTGCTCAGAAAAAAAGATTCCTTTCAAAACATTACCACGCAGCTGGGCATGGTGGCTCATACCTACAATGCCAGCACTTTGGGAGGCCAAGGTAGGAGGACCATTTGAGGCCAGGAGTTCAAGACTAGCTTGGGCAACATAGCAAGACCCCACCTCTAGAAAAGAAAATTCTTTTTAAAAGTAGCCGAGCATGGCGGTGCATGCCTGTAGTCCTAGCTACTCAGGAGGCTGAAGTGGGAGGATGGCTTGAGTCCAGGAGGTGAAGGCTGCAGTGAGCTGTGATCACACCACTGCACTCTAGTCTGGGCAAGAGAGCACAACCCTGTCTCAAAAACTATTTTTTTTAATTAAAAAAAGTTTAAAAACAAACTCAAAAAACAAACAAATATTACAGCTCATTAAAAAGCACCTGGTCACCCAAGCGCTCTGATGGAGATGTACAAAGAGATTAATGTTGTCTTCATGCCTGCCACAGCACATCCATTCTACAGCCCATGGATCAAGTAGTAATTTCAATTTTCAAGTCTTATTATTTAAGAAATACATTTACAAGGTTGTAGCTGCATAGACAGTGATCCCTTTGATGCATCTGGGCAAAGTAAACGGAAAACCTGATGGAAAGGATTTATCATTCTAGATGCCATTAAGAACATTAACGGGCTGGGTACCATGCACTTTGGGAGGGTGAGGAGGGAAAATCAGTGGAGCCCAGGAGTGTGAGACTAGCCTGGGCAACATAAATGAGATCCTATCTCTACAAAAAAATTAAAAAATTAGTGGGGTGTAGTGGCTCACACCTGTAGTCCCAGCTGCTCAGGACGCTGAGGTGGGAGGATTGCTTGAGCCTGGGAGGTTGAGGCTATGTTGCAGTAAGCTGTAATGGCACCACTGCACTCCAACTTGGGTGACAGAGTGAGACTCTGTCTCAAAAACAAACAAACAAAAATTCATGATTCACGGGAAGAGGTCAAAATATCAGTATTATCAGGAATTTAAAAGAAGTTGATTCCAACCCTCATGAATGGCTGAGGGATTCAAGACTTCAATGAAGGAAGTAACTGCAGATGTGGAAATAGCAGGAGAACTAGAATTAGAAGTGGAACCTGACGATGTGACTGAATTGTTGCAATCTCAAAAAACAGATAAGGAATTGCTTCTTACGGATGAGCAAAACAGTGGCTTCTTGAGATGGAATCTACTCCTGGTGAAGATGCTGTGAACACTGATGAAACGACAACAAAGGATTTAGAATAAATATTACATAAGCTTACATAAAAGCAGCGGCAGGGTTTGAGGATTGACTCCAGTTCTGAAAGATGTTCTATTGTGGCCAAAATGCTACCAAATAGCATCGCATGCTACAAAGAAATCTTTCATGAAAGGAAGAGTCAACTGATACAAAGTTCATCATTGTCTCACTTTAAGAAATTAGCACAGCCACCCCAATGTGGGCAGCAGGCCACCCAGGTGCCGAGGCAAGAGACCGAGGGCATGAGCTGTTCCGGTATAATAAAATATATAAAACAACAAGAGTTATCCTAGACCTAGATCATAAACATGATTATATATGAATACCATTCATCATTAGTTTGTAGCAATTATTCTTTATTCCAATATTATAATAATCCTTGCCCTACAATCATAACCTAGGAAAAGCCAGGCCATACAGAGATAGGAGCTGAAGGGACATGCTCAGAAGTGACCAGAAGACAATAGTGTGAGCCCTCTGTCATGCCCGGACAGGGCCACTAGAGGGCTCCTTGGTCTAGCGGTAATGCCAGCGTCTGGGAAGATGTCCGTTGCCAAGCGGACCGTGGTCTAGTGGTAGCGTCAGTGCCAAGGAAAAACACCCACTACTTAGCAGACTGGGAAAGGGAGTCTCCCTTTCCCCGGGGGAGTTTAGAGAAGCCTCTACTCCTCCACCTCTTGTGGAGGGCGTGACATCAGTCAGGCCCGCCTGCAGTTATCCGGAGGCCCAACCATCTCCCTGTGATGCTGTGCTTCAGTGGTCATGTTCCTAGCCTGCTTTCATGTTCCATCCTGTACACCTGGCTCTGCCTTTTAGATAGCAGTAGCAAAATTAGTGAAAGTACTAAAAGTCTCTGATATGCAGAAATAATGGCCTAAGCTGTCTTTCTCTCTCTCTCTCCCCACCTCGGCTGCCAAACAGGGAAGGGCCCCCTGTCCAGTGGACACGTGACCCATGTGACTTTACCTATCATGGGAGATGGCTCACACTCCTTACCCTGCCCCCCTTGTCTTGTATCCAATAAATATCAGCGCAGCCTGGCATTCGGGGCCGCTACCAGTCTCCACGTCTTGGTGGTAGTGGTCCCCCGGGCCCAGCTGTCTTTTATCTCTTTGTCTTGTGTCTTTATTTCTACAATCTCTCATCTCCGCACACAGGGAGAAAAACCCACCGACCCTGTGGGGCTGGACCCTACATCCCAACCTTCAGCAACCACCACCCTGATCAGTCAGCAGCCATCAACACCGAGGCAAGACCCTCCACCAGCAAAAAGATGACTTGCTGAAGACTCAAATGATTAGCATTTTTTAGCAATAAAGTATTTTCTAATTAAGGCATGTACTTTTTTTAGGCATGATGCTACTGCACACTTAATAGACTTCAGTATAGTGTAAACATAGCTTTTATATGCGCTGGGAAACCAACAACTTTGTGTGACTTGCTGTATTAACAATATTTGCTTTATTGTGGTGGTCTAGAACCAAATCCTCAGTTTCTCTGAGGTATGCCTGTAGTTCGTTACATTACTCTCTAACTTTTTTGAATGGCTGAAAGTCTCTGAGAGAGCCTGAGTAGATGCCTTAATATTTCCAGAAAACCAAGTTGCAAGTTCATCGGCTGAGGGCAAAGACATGGGAAAACTGGACAATTGAGGAAAAGCACTCTGAGATCCACTGAGGGTGGGGTGCAAACTGGGAGCGGGGCCCAGAGCAGACCTGGGGAAGGCAAGTTGCTATGAAAATTAAACAGGATATGTAAAGCTCTAGCTTCCTCTGAGCTGGTACGGGGGAAGACGGAGGCCAAGGCCAGGGCAACACTGAAGCATTCATTGTGGCAGGGAGTGTAGAGGTAGGAGGGTAGAGCGTGGGGCAGGGGATGGCAGGGAGCAAACCGGAGGAAGGAGAAGGCTAGGAAGGGCTGACAGCATCTGCAAAGGCAAAAGGGAACTAGAGGGTAGTTTTACATCCAGGAAGGAGAGAGAGAACTATTATACCATTCCTCGTTGCCCTCACCATGCCAAGCCGGGGGCTTCCCCACCAGTTACTGTGCGTATTAGGATATCACGTTTGCTTTGCTAAGGTTAAGTTATCTGAAGAATGTGGAAGACATCTTTTGGGGTCTCTGCCTCTCTTGCACTCTTCCTGCCCGGCCTACTGGTTTACAGGGAGGTGGGGTATGGTTAGTAAGCACGGTCCCACTTCTCTGGCCACAGCTAATGAGAGCAGAGGGGGAGACCTGACCTGAGCTGGGGCATGGTCCCTTCCTGAAGAATCTGAATCGGGACAAAGAGAGTCTAGCCTCAGACTGAGACAATCTCCTAACAGAAAATTAAACATTTGGAAGCCGTGCGAGGCCACCTTCCATCATGTGGGTGGCAGGGGAAGCTGGTCTGCATGGAGAGAAAGAAGCAGCGACACAGAGAGAGAAGCAACAATGGCACTGGAGAGAGAATACCCTGGCTCCTCATGGCTCCCAATTCTTGATTCTAGGCCCTATGAGGCTTTAGGCACCAACAGAGTATTACTTTCTTTTAAAATTTACTTTGGCTTGATATGGGTTTCTTCTTGCAACCAGAATTAATCCTCCCTAATACCAGGGGCAACCTGGGACAGTATCACAAAGACAAAATGATTTCTCTTTATTACTTTAAGCCTTCACCATCTGCTCTGCTAAAACAGTTCTCACACTCATTCATCTGCTTGCTTGCTTTCAAAAACATGTTGCCATTTTTTATGATCTCTTACCTCCTCTCTCCCTGTTCTCTCTGCCCTTGTGGGTTTATCACTTTTTATTCTTCTGCTACCACTTAATTAAAGTTTAAGGAGGAAGTGAAGATAAACACATCAATCTATAGCTTTTAATCAGTATTTTTTATTTTTATTTTTTGAGACAGAGTCTCACTCTGTCATCTAGGTTGGGGTGCAGTGGTGCGATCTCAGCTCACTGCAACCTCCGCCTTCTGGGTGCAAGCAATTCTCTAGCCTCAGCCTCCGGAGTGGCTGAGACTACAGGTGTGCACCACCACGCCTGCCTAATTTTTGTATTTTTAGTAGAGATGGGGTTTTGCCATGTTGGCCAGGCTGGTCTTGAACTCCAGGCCTCAAGTGATCTGCCTACCAAGGCCTCCCAAAGTGCTGGGATAACAGGCATGAGCCACTGCGCCCCGCCTTAATCAGTATTTAGGTGTCACTTGTCACCCCCCGACGGACTGCTCACTTAGCATCACTAACAGAATTCTGATCGCCAAGGGTTGTTTTGGTTCACACAAAGAAAGAAAAGTATAGGCGTTTTGGAGGCAACTGGGCAAGAGTGAGAATAAAGAGTAAAGGAAGAAGAATGAAGTTTAAATACCATGCAAATCCATGAGAACAGAGAATATGTAGAATATAAATAATTAAGTTGTAATTAGCCACAGCCAATCAAACCAGGCAAAGGGGAAAGCTTGGTGTAGCCTGAGGGTAAAAAAAAGGAGCTAGAGGTACAGAGTATCTTAGTTTTCTATAATAACCATCAGGTGGTACTGCTGACCCAAAACAGCTTTGTGGCTATTTGTGTAGCCAACGAGTGGGAAAAGAAAAGACAGCTATTAGCTGTAGGTGGTTACAACATGAGTCAGTCACAAGGCTGTATCTTGGAAAATGGCTTCAAGAATATACTGTAATAAAAAGTTGTTATTTGACAAGAATGAGACACTTGGAAAACCCACAGGATATTAGTTGATCCCAAACTCCAGCTATCATCAAGAGCACGTCAGACCTACCATCAAAACTTTTTTTTTTTTTTTTTTGAGACGGAGTCTCCCTCTGTTGCCTAGGCTAGAGTGCAGTGGCGCAATCTCGGCTCACTGCAAGCTCCGCCTCCCGGGTTTTTTAAGTGATTCTCCTGCCTCAGCCTCCTGACTAGCTGAGATTACAGGCGTGCGCCACCACGCCCAGTTAATTTTTGCATTTTTAATAGAGACGGGATTTCACCATGTTGGTTAGGCTGGTCTTGAACTCTTGACCTCATGATCCACCTGCCTCCACCTCCCAAAGTGCTGGGATTACAGGCGTGAGCCACCATGCCCGGCCCACAACTTCTAAGGATAAAGCCCAGGAATCCATTTTTAATGAATTTCCCTGTGGTTCTGATATACAATTAAGTTTGGAACCAACTGAACAAGCACATACTACAAAAGTAATTCTGCATCTTTTTTTTTTTAAAAATAGATTTTAACAGAGACAGGGGTCTCACTATGTTGTTCAGACTGGTTGTGAACTTCTGGCTTCAAGCAATCCTCCTGCCTTGGCCTCTCAAAGAGCTGGGATTACAAGTGTGAGCCATTATGCCAGGCTGGCCATGCTAAATACCCAAATACATTTGAGTAGTCAGGGACAGTGATATAGGGAGTAGCTAATGACATAAAGAATCTGTCCTCTAAATACCAACAATAATTCCTTGAGCTTAGTACTTTCTAAAGGCTTTCTGTTTGTTTTTTAAGGATGGAAATTTATTCTGTTATAATTACATTCTTCTTACATAGAAAAATGCCCTTGTTTTTCTTTCTTTGTTTTTTAGTTAATAGACTTTTTGGAGCAAGTTTAGGTTTACAATGAAATTGAGCAGATAGTACAAAAAGATCTCATTTGAAGGCCGGGTGTGGTGGCTCACGCCTGTAATCCCAGCACTTTGGGAGGCCAAGGTGGGTGGGTCACCTGAGCTCGGGAAGTTGGAGACCAGCCTAAACAACATGGAGAAACCCAGTCTCTTCTGAAAATACAAAATTAGCCAGGCGTAGTGGCGCATGCCTGTAATCCCAGCTACTCGGAGGCGGAGGCAGGAGACTCGCTTGAACCTGGGAGGCAGAGGTTGCAGTGAGACAAAATCACGCCACTGCCCTCCAGCCTGGGCAACAAGAGCGAAACTCCATCTCAAAAAAAAAGATCTCATTTGAATATCACAAGGAACTACTGCTGGAATCACTGTGAGCATGAAAGTCAGCATGATATTTTCACACGGTGACAGGTCTGTAATCTTTTCAGCTAACCATACATACCGTTCCTGAACAACTTTGGAGTACGCCCCAGCATTCAGTGTTTTTCGGATGAAGTCACAGATGTGAGAGCTCTCTCCTGGGCATCGAGGGAGTCCAAAAACACCTACAGTGGTAGATGACAAATATCCACTCCTTCAATAATGATGTATCGAATACCCACTATGCACAAGGCACTGTGAGAAACAAAATGAACAGGACCAAACTCTGATTTCATTCACTTATTCCTCATGAAAATAAAGCGCAGAGAACTAATACTATCACCAGCTTCCTCCTGGTGCTGCTACACTCTTTCCTGCCTAAGGATCTTTTTACCTGCTCATCCCTGGAGGATGTGTTGCATCACATGGCTGGACGCATTTTCAGCTCTCAGGTCTTGGTCCTACACAAGTCACATCTGACCACCTTATCTCAAATAGTACCCACCCCCATTTCCTTCCCCTCCCCCAGTTATACTTCATCCTTAGCATCCTCATCAATAACATTGTTTTGAGTAACACAAATAGTTCTAAGCAAAATATTGGCAATAATTAATTTAATCCTCACAACCACCCTGTGGAGTAGATTTCATTATTTGCCCTATATCACAGATAGAAAACTGTAAAAATGAGGTTAAATACCTTGTCCAAGGTTAGACAATAAGGTATAAGCCAGGATTCAGACACAGGCAGTTTGGCCCCAGAGCCCACTCCTTTAAGCACTACAACCACTAGTGTGTCCTTCGAACAGTATCCTGTTGTTTTTTTCCAAGAGATTGGGTCTTGCTATGTTGCCTAGACTAAAGTGCAATGGCTATTCACAGGCACAATTACAGCACACCACAGTGTCTTGAACTCCTGGCTTCAAATGATCCTCCAGCCTCAGCCTCCCAAGTAGCAGGGACTACAGGTGTACACCACCATGTGCCCAGCTATCCTCCATTTTATCGTGTATATATATATATGTGTGTGTGTATATATGTGTATATAAGTGCATATGTGTGTATATATATGTCTATATATGTCTATGTATGTGTGTATATAGGTGCATATGTGTATATATATGTCTATGTATGTATGTGCATATATGTGCACATGTGTGTGTGTATATATATATATTTCATGAATGCAAGAACCTTGTCTGTCTTGTTCCTGGCATATAATAGGTTTTCAATAAATATTTGTTAAATGAATGAATAATAAAGCTGTTTTTACCAACTTACGTTTGTATAATCCTTATACTTTTAAAAAGTATTTTCCTACCTATTATTTCACTTTATCCTCTGAAAAATTCCCATAGGACAGGCAGGGCCATATTTTGGTTTCTTCCATCTGTGAGTGGAACCTAAGATACCAAATTACTTGCCTAGGAGTAATAGTTAATTGGGTGAGTCCAGGTTTCCTGATTACACGGAGAATCATTCTGCTCCCACATTATACCAGCTAATAGCTATACCCATCAACAACAGAGATGAAATTCCATTCTAATGACACATCCTTCCCCAATAGTATGGAATTCCGTCAAAATAGAAAACCTGCTGTTTCTCAAAGAGTTTAAATTTATAGACACAAGAGCTTACACACTATTCTTTGCCTAAGCCTAAATTCAAGAGGATACCACCAAATCAGAGAACAGAAAAGGTCACTCAATTTTCCTAACTCCTCAACCACCACCTGCCACGTGGCTATAACCATCTTACTTCCATGCAATCGTGTCAATGAAATTGGAGAGAAGTAGATGCCAACCTAGTGATCCAGGCCTCTGGAATCCTAAGTCTCTTCCTATGTCTCCAGCAATGCTGGCTAGTTTGTTAAAAGCTAGAGAAACAGGATTTTGCAAGAATGGCTGATGTCTTGTGCAAATATAGTTCCTAGATTTTTTTTTAAATCAGGTGGTCATGTGGGTTAGAATACAGAAAAAAGAAAGCAAAGAGGCAAAGTTACCTTGATGTTGTCCCCCAACCGAGATCAGATTGATCATGGGAGGTGAAGGGCATCTCTGAGCCACTGCCCTCCTACGGAATAAAAGGGAGTTTTAGCTCCGACTGTCAGATGGAAATGTATCATCCACAATCAGCATCACAGATTAAGCTAGTCATCCTCTGTGACTCCCCAAACCCGCAGAGTTTCAGGATTTTCCTGATATGGGCAAATGCAAATATTTCTTTCAACTTTCATAGAAAATAAATTAAGCTCCAGCCAGGCATGGTGGCTCACACCTGTAATCTCAGCACTTTGGGAGGCTGAGGTGGGTGGACTACCTGAGGTCAGGAGTTCGAGACCAGCCTAGACAACATGGTAAAACCCCATCTCTACTAAAAATACAAAAAATTAGCTAGGTGTGGTGGTGAGCACCTATAGTCCCAGCTACTCGGGAGGCTGAGGCAGGAGAATCACTTGAACCTGGGACGTGGAGGTTGCAGTGAGCTGAGATCGCGCCACTGCACTCCAGCCTGGGCAACAAGAGAGAAATTCTGTCTCAAAAAAAAAAAAAAAAGAAAAGAAATTAAGTTCCATAAAGCTTCTTACACAGGAACATTTTAGGAAATTTCCCTTCCAAGATAGGTGACAATCTTGAATTGGAGGAGTGGATTTATCTGAATAAAAGAAACAAAAATCAATTCCATATAAGTGGTACAATATAACAAAAAGGAACGTACAGAAATTGGCCTCCCTGGGAGAATCCCATAGCATTGTAGCCTTGCTGCAATTTAGGATCCTTAGCAAGTGCCTGACACACTGTTGTTACTTGGGAATTGACATTCAAGAAGAAGCTGTTCTCCACGTCCTAAAAAAGAAGCCAGAGAGAAGTGAGAGGATGGGACTGAAAACAACCACTGACATCTTCTCTAAGAGGTAAACTCATTTAGGTTGGTATCCTCACATGAGCCACTCAAGGGTGAAAGTATCACTGTATGATCTGCTGCTGAAAACACAAGGCAAAGCATTTTAACAGTATATGCTATGAAATCAGTCAGCAACCCTTCAAAGGAACAGCTGTGAAGCGCCTTACCTCCATCAGGGTCTTCCCAATCTCTAAAGATAAGACGTAAATTCCAGGTATTTTCTTCTCCACCATTTTTTTAATAGCACCCATGCTTAAGGGATTGCAACAGCTGTCTCCTAGCCAACAAAACACAATGATGGAAACTCATGAGTCCAAATATTGTTTATTGTTTAAAAACTCTGAGGCCTCAAACAGCATTATCAAGGATGTGAAAACAATGTATAGAATGGAAGAAAATATTTGCAAAACAGTTATCTGATAAGGGCTTAATATCCAGAATATACAAGGAATCTATAACTCACTTACAACTCAACAAAAAGATAACCTAATTTAAAAATGGGAAAAGAAATTAAACAGATATTTTTCCAAAGAAGATATACAAATGGCTAACCACTGGCATGTGAAATGCAAACCAAAACCACGATGAGATACCATTTCACACAGACTAGGATGTCTTTAATAATAATTTTTTAATAGAAAATAACAAGTATTGTCAACGATGTAGAAAAATGGGACCCCTTGGACATTGCTGGTGGGAATGTAATAAGCAGCCACTGTGAAAAACAGTTTGGTGGTTTCTCAAAAAGTTAAACATACGATTACTAAATGACTCAGCAATTCAACTCCTAGTTATACACCCCAAAGAAATAAAAACACACGTCCATGCAGAAACTTGCATATAGATGTTAACAGCAGCAGTGTTTGTAATAGTCAAAAGGGAGAAACAATCCAGCAGTCCATCAATGAATGAATGAATAAAATGTGGTATATTCACACAATGGAATATTACTGAGTTATAAAAAAGGAACAAAGTGCTGACACATGTTACAACTTGAATGAACCTCAGAAACATTATACTAAGTGAAAGAAGCCAGACTCAAAAAGCCACATAATGCATGATTCCTTTCATAGGATAAATAAAGAACAGGCAAATCCACTGAGATACAGAAAACTAAGCTGGAGATTATCAAGAAGTAGTAGGAGGGGGCAATAGGGAGTGATTGCTTAATGGCTATGTGTGTTTTTCTGGGGTGTTGAAAAAGAAGTGTTAGTTGCACAACATTGCAAATACACTAAATGCCACTGAATCGTACCATTTTAAATGGTTAACTTTACATGAATTTTTACCTCAATTTTAAAAAACAGAAGAAAGAACATTTTTTGCTTAGCTCCTGTTTATCAAGTAATAACAAGCTTCAAAAGTCCATACAGGAGCTGGGTGTCATGGCTCACGTCTGTAATCCCAGCAGTTTGGGAGGCCGAGGTGGGTGGATCACAAGGTCAGGAGCTCGAGACCAGCCTGGGCAACATGGTGAAACCCCATCTCTACTAAATATACAAAAATTAGCCGGGTGTGGTGGCACATGTCTGTAGTCCCGCTACTTGGGGGGCTGAGGCAGGAGAATCGCTTGAAACTGAAAGGTGGAGGTTTCAGTGAGCCAAGATCATGCCACTGCACTCCAGCCTGGGCAACAGAACAAGGCTCCATCTCAAAAAAAAAAAAAAAAAAAAATCCATATAGGCCAAGCATGGGCTCATACCTATCATCCCAGCGCTTTGGTAAGACGAGGCAGGAGGATTGCTTGAGGCCAAGAGTTCGAGACCAGTTTGGGCAACATAACGAGACCCTGTCTCAAAAAAACCAAAAAGCCCATATAGGATAATTAAGACACCAAATTTACAAATGAAAAATAAGCAGAGGTACACATTCCCTTCCCCTATCACAGGGGATATTTGGGGTGAACAGATGCAAAGTTTTCTCTTCAGGGCCAGGACTAGGGTGAGGCAAATTAAGCATCTAGGACAGCGGTCTTCAACCTTTTTGGCACCAGGGACCAGGTTTGTGGAAGACAATTTTTCAAAACTGTTCCACCTCAGATCATCAGGCATTTGCTAGATTCTCATAAGGAGCACCCAATCCAGATCCCTCACATGCGCAGTTCACAACAGCATTTGAGCTCTTTGAGAATCTAATGCCACTGCTGATCTGACAGGAGGTAGAGCTCATGGTGGTAAGGCTGCAGGCTCACTCACCTCCTGCTGTGTGGCTAGTTCCTAACAGGTCACAGACCCAGGGAGTTTGGGACCCCCGCTCTAGGGCACAAAATTTAAGGAGGCACTCATTCTCAGGTTTATGTAAGTGTTGACCCTGAATTTGAGAGTGAGTGCCTCCTTAAATTTGCACTTCAGGAGCCTCTTCATCTTGTCCTAGCCCCAGACTTGTTTCTTCTATTTCAGGGAACTAGAACTAGGAACAGGAAGCAAACTGGCTACTGAGTAGAAGTGGACTGAGATCATTTCCCATTTTGAACTTACTTATTCCATTTT
Organism: Homo sapiens; assembly: GCF_000001405.40. NCBI lineage: Eukaryota > Metazoa > Chordata > Mammalia > Primates > Hominidae > Homo > Homo sapiens. The sequence continues at coordinate 40,094,720 of NC_000001.11, forward strand.
CAACCTGCGAGAAAGCTTAAGCACCAATTTTAGAACAAGAAAAGGCTACTGCCTAGAGAATTGTCTATTCCTTTTATTTCTCTGAAAACAACGTTCTCCACACTGAGCTGTAATTGTAGGTTACTTAACTGCCTCTGCCTCCCCTGTAACTGACTGTGAGCTCTGGGAAAACACAAAGCTCCTACCCTGTGTCCTCTTTTGACCCCACTGTAGTAGCCCCAGGGCCTGTTGGAGAACCTTGCAAGTGTTTGTATTTGCTGACTCTAATTACTCTGAATATTTTTCTGTAACCCATCCCAATAAAGATCTCACTATCACGACTCTCCCAAAACTGCTTTTGTCAAGATTAATCATCTTTATATTGCTAAATCCAATAATCAGTTGTCAGCCTTTATCTTCCTTGACCCATTAACATTTGATACAGTTGATCATGACCTATCAACATTTGATGCAGTTGATCATGCCCTTCTTCCTGAAACATTTTCTTCACTTGGCTTCAAGGACACTGCGCTTTCCTGACCCCTCCACTTCACCGGCTATTTGGTTACAGCCTCCTTTGCTAGTTTCTCCTCATTTCCTCCACCTCCAAATGGAATGGAGTGCCTCAGGGCTTAGTCCTCTGTGTACGCTCATTTCCTAGGTGGTCTCACCTAGCCTTTAACTACTAGCTGTATGCCGAAGACTCCCTACTTAAATCTCCAACCCGTATCTCTGTCCTAGACTCCACACTCCAAATGCCTCTACAACATCTCCTGGGTGTCTCATGAGGATCTCAAGTTTAGTAAGCCCAAAAGCAGACTCTTGATCTTTCCCCCACCCTAAGTCAGCTTGTCCTACAGGCTTCCCCATCTTGGTAAAATGAAAACTTCACCCTTCCAATTGTTCAGGCCAAAACCTGTGGAGTCATCTTTGGCTCCTTTCTTTCTCTCTTATTCCAAGTCTGATCTGTTAGCAATCCACCTTCAAAATCTATCCAAACTTTGACCACTTCTCAACACCTCTACTGTTACTCTACAGTTCCAAGTCATCATCTCTTGTTTAAATTATTGCAATAGTTTCCTAACCTGTCTCCCTGTGACCATCCATGACGCCCTACGATCTATTCTTAATACAGCAACTAAAGTGATTCTTTAAAAATGTGTCAGATCATGTCACTCATCTGCTCAAAAAGTTCCCCATGACACTCTAGCCAAAGTCCCTGCATTAGTCTTACTAGGCCCAATAACTTCTGTACCTGCCCCTCCCTTCCAAACTAAACTCCTAACTTCTTCCCCTTGCTTACTCATTTCCAGCCACGCTGATCTGAATGCTGTCCCTTGAACACACCAGACATACTTCCACATCAGGGCTTTCCCATTTACTGTTCCTTCTACCAGACAGCCAAATGGCAACTGTCCTCATCTACCTCAGTTTTGTACTCAGATGTCACTTTTTCAATGAATTCTTTCCCAACTTTGCTTTATTAAAAGTGCAAGCCCCCACCTCCAGTTTTTATCCTACACCCTACTATATTTTTCTCTGTTGCACATATCACCATTTGATATGTTATGTTTTACTTGTTAATTTCTTTATAATCTGCTTCTCCTACTGGAGAGTAGGTTCCAAAAGAACAAAGAATTTAGTCTGTTTAGTTCCCTACTGTATCCTCAGCACCTAGTAGGTGCTCAATAACTGTGTTAAATGAATATAGGTTGAGCATCCTAATCTGAAAATGGGAAACCCAAAATCTGAAAGTTTTTCAGCGCAGACATGATGCCACAAGTGGAAAATTCCACACCTGACCTCATGTGATGGGTTGCACAAAATTATTTAAAATATTGCATAAAATTACCTTCCAGCTATGTGTATAAGGTGTATATGAAAAATAAATAAATTTCCTGTTTACACTTGGGTCCCACCCCCCAGATCTCTTGTATATATGCAAATATTAAAAAAAAAAAAATCCGAAATGCTTCCCAGTCCCAAGCATTTCAGATAAGGGTTACTCAATTTGTAAATGAACTGTAGGTGCCTAACAAATCTCTGTTCAATGTGTGAAGGAATAAATAAAAGGGTAGATGCGCCAGTCATATAGCCAGCCGCAGCTCACCTAGCCTGACCAAGTGAGAGATGCTGCATCCTGACGCCACTACTGTAAGGATTAATCAAGGACAGCATGTAAAACTTCAACGCCGTGCGCGGCTCTCTCTTTCCTTCCCCTTCTCTCTTTCCAGTGAAGGGGACGGCTCCTTCCCCTTCTCTCTTTCCAATGCAGATCCTTCAAATCCTAAAATGTCGAGGCAGCCGCGTGCTGTGGGACCACGTCCTCGCCCTCTACACCCGCATTTTGCAGATGCGAACCCAGGCTAGGAAGAGAGAGAATCGCCAAACCCTTTTAAATTTCTCACTCACTCACCCATCCCATGCCAGATCACCAACGGCAGCGGCGCCGGCGGGTCCAGATGCTGCAGCGCCCGAGAAGCGCAGGTCCATGGCAGGAGAGCCACAGCCAAGAGCCACAGGCAGCCGGGCGACGCCATCTTCGCTGTGTCACATGACCGCGGGCGCGAGACTCCGGGAACCGCGCTCCGCCCGCCTGGGCGTGGCGCCGCCGGTTGCAGATCGCAACCTGCGCATCCCGAACGGATGCCCAGCCTGATGGGCGTCGGCCCTACCCTGGAGCTTTCAGCGCGACAGGTCCCCCGCCAGACCCCGCTGGCCGAGTGGGGCTCTGCGCTCTCGTAGACCGCCCTCTGCGGTGAATCAAAATAATTGCTAACATATATTCAGTGCTGATCAGATGCTATCAGGCACTATTCTTACAACCTTTAACTAATTCACTCTTCATAACAATGCTGTATGCACTTCTCCCCCTGACAGGTGAGGACACTGAGGCACTGCGAATTGGCACTGAGTAAGGTGCCCAAGGTCACAGAGATAGCAAATTGGTGGTTCCAAAGTCGTTGCTCTTCACCACTGCCCTGTACTGCCTTTGCAAGAAACATGCACAGAGGAAGGAAGAAAGAAGGAGGGACGGTTTCCAGCCAGGACCAATCATGGCAGGGTGTGGGGTTTGTTCTGGATATTGAAGGAGAGGTAGGATTTCAACAAGCAAAGATGAAATTCAGAAGGACTGAGATGAGCTAAGGTAGAGAGGAGAAAGACAACTGTGTTTTCTAGAAATGTCGGGACTTCAAGACGGACGAAAGCATATGTTGGATGCATAAGAGTGAGGGGGAAACCCATGGCCACTAACTGGCCTAATCTCAGCTGGATTATTTCAAGGGTCTCTCATCAACCATTTCCTTTTCCATTCTCTCCTCTTTAATTCATTTTATGCTCTATTGCCACATTCATCCCTCAATCCACCTTCATAATATCAGTTCCCTGCTCAAGTTTTTTTTCAACAAAACATCAAAAAATAGTTTAAATAATTTATAAAGAAATTAGAGTGTATCCACTATACAATGGAATAATATGAGGCCAGTTTTATAAAAAATGAGTATAGGGCCGGGCGCGGTGGCTCACTCCTGTAATCCCAGCACTTTGGGAGGCTGAGGTGGGCAGATCATCTAAGGTAGCGAGTTCGAGACCAGCCTGACCAACATGGAGAAATCCCGTCTCTACTAAAATTACAAAATTAGCCGGGTGTGGTGGCGCATACTTGTAATCCCAGCTACTCAGGAGGCTGAGGCAGGAGAATCTCTTGAACCCGGGAGGCAGAGGTTGCGGTAAGCTGAGATCATACCATTGTACTCCAGCCTGGGCAACAAGAGCAAAACTCTGTCTCAAAAAATAAGAATAAAAAATAAATAAAAAGAGAGTACAGCCCAGGCAGCATAGCAAGACCCCATCTCTACAAAAAAAAAATTTTTTTTTAATTAGCCAGGGGTGGTGGTATGTGCCTGTAATCCTAGCTACTGGGGAGGCTAAGGTGGGAGGATCACTTGAGCCCAGGAGTTCAAGGCTGCATTGAGCTATGATCTCGCCATTGCACTGAGCTATGATCTCGCTGTTGCCCTGGGCAACAGTGAGACCCTGTCTCTCTCAAAAAAGAAAAATGAGGTAAATTTACATAAAGTGACATGAAAAATGCCCTTAATATGTTGTAAAAGAAAAGTCGATTACAAACCCACGGTCTGTAATCTCTTCTATTCCATGCCATTGGGACTAGAGGTAAGTTGTTAGTTGAAAAGTCGATTAAAATGCAGAATCCACTGGGCGCACTTTGGGAGGCTGAGGCAGGTGGATCACCTGAGGTTGGGAGTTTGAGACCAGCCTGGCCAACATGATGAAACCCCATCTCTACTAAAAATACAAAAAATTAGCCGGGCATGGTGGTGGGTGCCTGTAATCCCAGCTACTCAGGAGGCTGAGACAGGAGAATCACTTGAACCCAGGAGGCAGAGGGTGCAGTGAGCCAAGATTGAGCTACTGCACTCCAGCCTGGGCAACAAGAGTGAAACTCTGTCTCAAAGAAAAAAAAATGCAGAATCATAAAGCATTATACAGTACAGTATACAGTTTTGTTTTAAGAAAAATAAGCTTATTGTATAAGCATTTTATTTTAACTTAAGACTTACAAATTGAAGTAGTTTCAGGATTTTTCTGTGAATATAGCCCGCTCAATGAAGTTTCCTGCCTTTAATGAACTATTTATAATTTCTTTAAAGGTTTCTTTAAACTGGAGCAATAACTGAAAGACACTTGTGAAGCAATCTGAATGCAATTTTTTTTTTTTTTTGAGACAGGGTCTTGTTCTGTCCCCCAGACTGGAGTGCAGTGGCGTGATCTTGGCTCACTGTAACCTCCACCTCCCGGGTTCAAGCGATTCTCGTGCCTCTGCCTCCCGAGTAGCTGGGATTACAGACACACCACCAACATGCCCCGCTAATTTTTTGTGTTTTTTGTAGAGACAGGGTTTCGCCATGTTGCCCAGGCTGGTCTCGAACTCCTGAGCTCAGGCAATCCGCCCCCCTCAGCCTCCCAAAGTTCTAGGATCACAGCTGTGAGCCATTGTGCCAGACCAACATTCTTTTTGTTTTTTATTTTTGATTCAGGGTCACATATGCAAGTTTGCTATATAGGTAAGTTGTATGTCAAGGAGGTTGGGTGTACGTTTTATTTTGTCACTGCCATAATGAACATAGTACCCAATAGGTAACTTTTCATTTCCACCCTCATGTAGGCCCCAGTGTCTGTTGTTCCCTTCTTTGTGTCCATCTGTACTTAATGTTTAGCTCCCACTTATAAGTGAGAACATGTGGTATTTGGTTTTGTTTTCCTGCATTAGTTTGCTTAGGATAATGACCTAAGCAGTTCCATCTATGTTGCTGCAAAGGACATTATCTCATTCCTTTTTTGGCTGTGTAGTATGCTATGGTGTATACCTACCACATTTTCTTTATCCAGTCTACTGTTGATGGATACTTAGGTTAATTCCATGTCTTTGCTATTATGAATAGTGCTATGATGACTTTTTTTTTTTTTTTTTTTTTTTGCGACAGGGTCTTGCTCTATTCCCCAAGTTGGACTGCAGTGACACAATCATAGCTTACTGCAGCCTGGAACTCCTGGGCTCAAGGGATCCTCCCGCCTCAGCCTCTCAAAGTGCTGGGATTACAGGTGTGAGCCACAGTGTTTGGATGTGAAATTATTCTAGATGGAAGACTTTCCACTCTCAGATTTCCGACCCAGAGTTACTTTAACAATTTTTTTTAACAACTTGCCTTTAACAAGCTTTTCCAATGCATTCAACTTAGTTTTCACAGAAACATCTCTTTTCTCTTTATGCTCATATTTCATGTTTTCAAAAATTTAACTAAATTATGATAGCAAATATCACCGATATATTAATAAATAAATAAAATAAGCCCAAAGGCATTTAGTAAGCAAGTAGCTCAATTGACAGGAACAGAACTACCCAAGAGTTCTGAAAAGCAGCCTCTAGCCATGTGGGCATGCTGTGGGCATAGGTAAGTAGGTAAGTACATTTTAGAACTGGGAGAGTAAGTTAAACAGGGCATAAGAAAATAACTATGTATTTATGTACATACATATATGATGGTTGTACAACTCTATAAATTTACTAAAAATCATTGGTTTGTACACATAAAATGGGTGACTTTTATGGCATGTGGAATATATTTCAATAAAGCTGTTCTTTTTTTAAAGAAGACATCTGTGTATTTATATATTTGTACATTATCACTGAAAGGTCAAAGCATTGCCAAGAAAAAAGAGGCTGGGTGCGGTGGCTCACGCCTGTAATCCCAGCACTTTGGGAGGCTGAGGCGGGTGGATCACGAGGTCAGGAGATCGAGACCATCCTGGCTAACACGGTGAAACCCCGTCTCTACTAAAAAATACAAAAAATTAGCCGGGCGTGGTGGCAGGCACCTGTAGTCCCAGCTACTCGGGAGGCTGAGGCAGGAGAATGGTGTGAGCCCGGGAGGCGGAGCTTGCAGTGAGCCAAGATCGAGCCACTGCACTCCAGCCTGGGCGACAGAGCGAGACCCCATCTTAAAAAAAAAAAAAAGAAAGAAAGAAAAAAGAAAGAAAATAAATATTTAAAAAGATCTGGAGACCGTTAAAAGTAATATTCTTGAGGGCAGTATTACAAGGAACTTTCACTTTTTACTTTATATACTTGTGTTTGGTTTGAAATTTTACAGCAAGGATATACAATTTTTATAATAAAAATGGAAAATATACACACATTAAAAATTATTAGACTTCTAGATTAAGAAAATGGAGTAAAGCTATCTCACAGACTCTGTTTCAACCAATATCTAGGAAAGTTTAAAAAGTTAAAATTGTATCCACGGCAAAAAAACGTCAGTATCTTAAATGTCAGTAAGTGGTGGTCAAGGAAATAAATAGAAGATTCTGGGCTGGAGCATGTCAAGGCTTCCAGTTCTGCCTTCATTCCATCAAAACTCATACAATTAGATCCACAAAATCCTGACAATTAACACAAACATATCCACATACATTACAAGAGAGAAGAAAAGTAAACGCTTTCCTTCTCTTTCCCCTCCCATCTCTGGAAAATTGAAAATGGCTACTGGGGAGAAAAACTTGAAATGGGAAGTATGGAATAGACCAAATCTTTAAGATGGCAGTGAAGACTCAGGAAAACATGCTGAACTGAGAGAAGTTCCAAAAAGTGAAGCTATCTTTTCCATGGAAATGGACTACACCAGCCATTAGTGGGGTGAACTTTGGAATAGACACTTAACAAAACCTCAGAAGTGATTGCAGAACTTAGGTATTCTAACAAAGGCTGCACATGAGCAGCCCTCTCCCCTCTTCAGACAAGCATAAAAATCATAGAAAAACTGCATACTGCATAAAATAACACTCTTCTAACTGCAGTTCAGTAGGAAAAACAAATAAGTTTCAAATAAAGTGGAAAGCAATTCTGGAGACAAATAGAAAAACAAAAAACTTCACCCCAAGTGCTTTGAGCTGTAGAACAATTTATTAAGAAAATGACCTCAGGTCAGGTGTGGTGGCTAACACTTACGTAATCCTAGTGCTTTGTGAGGTCAAGGTGAATGGATTGCTTGAGGCCAGGAGTTTAAGACCAGTCTGGGCAACATAGCAACACCTTGTCTCTACAAGAATAAAAAAATTTAACCAGGCATGGTGCTGGGCACCTGTAATCCTAGCTACTTGGGACCCTGAGGCAGGAGAATTTCTTGAGCCCAGGAGTTCAAGGTTACAGTGAGCTATGATTGTGCCACTGTACTCCAGCCTGGGCAACAGAGCAAGACCTTGTCTCTAAAAAAAAGACAAGAAAATGAGCTCAATAGAATAAGAACTCAAAACCAAGATAATAAAACAACGGAAGGAGATGAATAGGGAAGTTGCACATTTGAGAATCCAAAGACTAATAAATACCTGAAAACAAGGAACCAAATAGACATGGCTAGGAGTGGAATTAGTTTTTTCTTTTCTTTTTTAAAGACTTTTACACTCCTAGAAATGGAACTATTGATATGGAAAATGGTTTTAAATAATCAAAATAATGGTAGATGAAAACACAAAGATATTAAAACAATCAGATAGAAATCTATAGATATGGAAGACAGAAGTTATTGGTGTCCCTGAAATTGAGAACTCATTAAATGGAACAGAAGTATTCAAAAATATAAAAACAAAAGTTTGCCCCAAAATGAAGTACTAATCTACAGCTTGAAAGGTCAAGACAGAAAGCACTTTGATACAGAATATTCTGTCCTGAAAAATATTGTAATTAACTTATTGAACTTCAGATAACCAGGCAGAAAAAGTAGAATGCCTACAAGGAAAAAAACTCAGGCTATCCTTACATTTCTCAACAGCAACATTCCAGAGACAGAAGCCAATGGAGCACTGGCTACGGAATTCTGAAAGAACAAAAGTATGATCCAAGAATATTATACCCAGCCAAGATGTCATTTGGAAATAAAGATACTAGGCAGATTCCCACAAATACAAAAGAATGCATAGGAAAGAGCTCTCTCTGGCCAGGCATGGTGGCTCACGCCTGTAATCCCAGGACTTTGGGAGGACGAGGCAGGCAGATTGCCTGAGGTTGGGAGTTTGAGACCAGCCTGACCAACATGGAGAAACCCCATCTCTACTAAAAATACAAAATTAACCGGGCATGGTGACACATGCCTGTGATCCCAGATACTCAGGAGGCTGAGCAGGATAATCGCTTGAACCCGGGAGGCGGAGGTTGTGGTGAGCCAAGATCACACCATTGCACTCCAGCCTGGGCAACGAGAGTGAAATTCCATCTCAAAAAAAAAAAAAAAGCTCTTTCAAATTCTTCTTGAGAAAATGCTTGAAAGTGAAATTCAGCCAATTAAGAAATAGGGCAAAATTAAGACTTCAATAATTAAGAAGTCTTGGGAAAAGGATTTGTGATGATCATTGAATCTGTTTAAATACAGAATTAATACTGAATACCTGTGTGAATCATTGCTTTATACCATGTACATATTATATGAATTAACAATGTAAAATAGTATGACTAAGAAATATTGGGCCCTGTGGAGGGAGGTAATGGAAGATAGTATAGTACGAGTGCACTCTCCTTGGGCTTACAATAGATTCTAATTTAAAACGTATTCTTAAAAAACCAGACCTGGGCAGTTGCCCATGCCTGTAATCCCAGCAACTAGGGAAGCTGTAGCAGGAGGATTTGCTTGAGCTCAGGAGTTCAAGACCAGCATGGGCAATATTGCAAGACCCCATTCCTAAAAAATTAGCTGGGTGTAGTGGCGCATACCTGTGGTCCCAGCTACTTGGGAGGCTGAGGTGGGAGGAGTTCAAGGCTGCAATGCCACTGCATTGCTGTCTGGATGACAGAGCACGACCCTGTCTCATAAAATTAAATTTAAATTAAATAAAATTAAATAAACTTCAAATAAACAAAACAACATAATGTCAAAGTCACTTTTCCTAACCCTTATTTGAAGTCCAGATTTTAAAATTTCTTTTTATACTTGTTCCTTTTTTCCTTTTTATTCCTTTAAGTTTATTTAATTCAAGTAAACTTGAATTTTTGAATCTTTAACTCAATTAACTTAAATTAGAATTCAGGATTAACAGAATTCAATTAACTTTAACTCAATTCTGTTAAATTCAAGTAAACTTGAATTTAATACTTTTTATTTTTTAATAACACACCTTATGATACAATTTTTTAAAGTACCTATGTCTATATACCTATTTATCTATCATTCTATCCATATAAAAGCATAAAAAGATATTTAGAATGATGTTAATCAAATGTTAATAGTGACTATTTTTAGATGGTTGGACTTAGGAGTTGTTTTTTTAAAAAAATATTTCCCCCCAGCTTTATTGAGGTATAATTGTCAAATAATGAGATTTCAGGGGGTTTTTTCTTTTTCTTTTGCATTGCTTAGATGATTTGCAGTGAAAACATATTATTTTCACAAGAACAATAAGTTGATTTTTCTTAAAATAAAGCGTAGAGCAAACCTTCAACACTTCTCCCTAGTCTTCAGGATGTAGTTCAAGCTTTTGTATTCAAAATGAGAATCCAAACTATCTTCCCAAACCTACTTCCCACATTTAATAATAACACAATTAATATATTAATATAAACAGTATTCCCTGAAAATTCCTGCTGCTGTTCCTTTGCCCAAATCATTTTACCATCTGGAACAGGCTTGCCATCTTTATCTGTATTAAACAAATGCAACCCACCCCACAAAGCTGAAGTTCTGTTCCATGTCTTCCATTGACCTCCCAGAGCCCCACAACATTTTCAAATCAAATAGTTAAAAGTATCCATGTAGAAAAATACCTACAGAGTTCCTACTTCCTCTGGATTTGGTTTAAAGAGGAACCATTTAGTGGGAGACAAATAAGTTCTCTCAGTGTAAGTCAATTCTTGACTGTTATTTTAGTAAGCAGCCACTGAAGCTTATTAATTTTAGTAATAAGAAGTGAGAAATTGCAAAGCCTGAATTTCAACCTAACTAGTACTGAGAGTTAATAAGATGCATATCAGTTCCCTGAATAGACTATAATTCAAGGAACAATGGGAACATAGAGAAGTATCTGAATGCTCATCGGTTTCAATTTTCTTTTTTGACATGAGAATAAAGTTGCTTGCTATTAAAAAGCATACTTATGAATAAGCAAGATCTAGAGACTTACTGGCTTTTCAATAAAATGAGCAGAAATTTCACCAAGTGACTAGATATATTAAGAGTAAATACTTTTGGACTGCCAAACAACCTACTTTTATTATCTGGGCCATGAAAAAAGACTATGATGCTGTTACCTTGTGGCAGCAGTGGATAAAAAGCAACATTAAGATTTCTTGGTTTGTTAACTGTTCAGGGCTACAGAACTGATCATAAAAGTGAGTAAGTTATATTAGACATGCCATCTATAGTAAAAACTTTTGAGAAAATGCTTTTATATATCTTTTCTTTCTTTCTTTTTTATTTATTTATTTTTTTAAATTTTTGAGACAGAGTCTCACTCTGTCACCCAGGCTGGAGTGCAGTGGCTCAATCTCGGCTCACTGCAACCTCCACCTCCTGGGTTCAAGAGATTCTCCTGCCTCAGCCTCCTGAGTAGCTGGGACTGCAGGTGCACACCACCACGCCCAGCTAATTTTTGTATTTTTAGTAGAGATGGGGTTTCACTATGTTGGCCAGGCTGGTCTCAAACTCCTGACCTCAGACGATCCACCTGCCTTGGCCTCCCAAAGTGCTGGGATTATAGGCATGAGCCACCAGGCCTGGCCGCTTTCATCTATTTTCTTGCCCAATGGAAAAGAATATTATTTTTTTTTCACAGCATTAAGACAACTTTTCAAGTTTTTGAAAATTTTTACCAGGTATGTACATACACACATGCAATATTTACATTTTATGAAGGGCACAAAAGAGAAAATAAAGTCTCTTTTCCTCCACATTTATTTTATTTTTGTGTTGTTTTTCTACACATTTCTTAAGTCTTACACCCTAGAGGCAATTCTGTTAACAATTTCTGCTTTTTAGTTTTCCTAATATTTATCATTAATATAATTATTTTAATTTGATTCAATTAATTTAATTATTTATTGATTTACCACCTTTAAACTATATCTCCCCATAATGAAAGACACAGAAATGAGAAAACTTGCCTTTCTTTCCACCTCTCCTTTCCATCTCTAAATTTTTGTTAATATAATAAAAATGTGTAATATTGGCTGGGTGTGGTGGCTCACGCCTGTAATCCCAGCACTTTGGGAGGCCAAGACAGGTGGATCTCTTGAGGTCAGGAGTCCGAGACCAGCCTGGCCAATGTGGTGAAACCCTGTCTCTACTAATAATACAAAAATTAGCTGGGTGTGATGGCACATGCCTGTAATCACAGATACTCAGGAGGCTGAGAAGGGAAAATTGCTTGAAGCTGGGAGGCGGAGGTTGCAGTGAGCCAAGATCCTGCCACTGTGTTCCAGCCTGGGCCACAGAGCAAGACTCCATCTCGGTGGGGGAAAAAAGTGTAATGTTTATATTATTTTCTGGGAATAAAAATATTTTGTGATTTGTATATAGATGGACAAAAAACTAAAAACTCAAACCCAGAATTTACCATATTATAATCCTCTGTATATTTGCTCTAGAGCCAAGAGATATGATTAAACCCTTAGTGATGGAAATATATTACTGTGTCACTAAGACTTTGTAACTCAAAAGGGAGTCTTCCACACATCAAGATCTAATGGATTGCCGGGCACGGTGGCTCATGCCTATAATCCCAGCACTTTGGGAGACCGAGGTGGGCGGATCACCTGAGTTCAGGAGTTCGAGACCAGCCTGGCCAACATAGTGAAACCCCGTCTCTACTAAAAATACAAAAATTAGCCAGTCATGGTGATGCACACCTATAATCCCAGCTACACAGGAGGCTGAGGCAGGAGAATCTCTTGAACCCAGGAGGCCCAGGTTGCAGTGAGCTGAGATTGAGCCACTGCACTCCAGCCTGAGCGACAGAGTGAGACTCTGTCTCAAAAAAAAAAAAAAAAAACTAATAGGTCTTTTATGTCTTCCCCCCAACTTTTCTTCACTTTGCCGGGTCATATACCTCTATTACTTATATCCCATAGGGTCCTCTTTGTTAGATTCCATTTCCATTTTGCTAAAGTCTATCTTTAGGTGATTTTCCACATAGAGTGTGTAGCACTAAACATTCTGAGTTCTGACATATTCCTTACTCTGCCTTTATATTGTTTGGCAGTATGTGTGGATACGTATCAAATTCTGACAAAGACTCTCTCTTTGACCAAACTTTAGACAGGCTCCTCTGAGCCTTCTTTTCAACTGAAGGCAGGCCCTAATCTTTGGGTCTGTCCTCAGCCTGCATTACCCAGTTTTAGAGCAACCTTGCTAAGTCAGTTTAGAGAGAATCCCCTCATCCTTGAAATCTGATCGCCAACGATATTTGATCATGATCCTCATTCCCCTCCATTGATATCTAAGTTCTTTGCCTGCCTCTAGCAAGAATCCCGTTAGGCCGGTTTACCAAGAACCTCCCTACCCTTGATGTCTCCTCTTAATAAATTTCTATCCCCTGACTCATCCAATCTACCTGTTGGCTATGAATCCTTAGCTGTATTTGCTGCATTAAGATTGAGCTCAGTTTTACTGAACCTCTCTTCCCTATTACAATAGCACTGAATATTTGTCTTTACTACCTTTAACAAGTGTCTGGCTCTGTTTCTCTGCAAGAATTCTAGGGTGCTATTCTTTTTCCCTTACAATTTTGAAGACTTTTTTTTTTTCGAGACGGAATTTTGCTCTTGTTGCCCAGACTAGAGTGCAGTGGCGCAATCTCAGCTCACTGCAACCTCTGCCTCCCGGGTTCAAGCGATTCTCCTGCCTCAGCCTCCTGAGTAGCTGGGATTACAGGAGTCCACCACCATGCCCGGCTAATTTTTTGTATTTTTAGTAGAAACAGAGTTTCACCATGTTGGCCAGGCTGGTCTTGAACTCCTGACCTCAGGTGATCCACCCACCTTGGCCTCCCAAAGTGCTGGGATTACAGGCATGAGCCACCTCGCCCAGCCAATTTTGAAGACATTTGTTGTATTTTTTTTTTTAGATGGAGTTTTGCTCTTGTTTCCCAGGCTGGAGTGTTATAGTGTGATCTCGGCTCACTGCAACCTCCGCCTCCCGAGTTCAACCGATTCTCCTGCCTCAGCCTCCCGAGTAGCTGGGATTACTGGTGCATGCCATCACGCCGGCTAATTTTTGTATTTTTAGTAGAGACAGGGTTTCATCATATTGATCAGGCTGGTCTCGAATTCCTCACCTCAGGTTATCCGCCCACCTTGGCCTCCCAAAGTGCTGGGATTACAGGCGTGAGCTGCCATGACCAGCCAAACATCTATTTTTAATGATGATAAGTCTTATTGCTTTTTAGGGAACCTATTTTGTTTTTGTTTGTTTGTTTGTTTGTTTCTCTTTGAATGTTTGGCTGCCCACTCAGATTCCTATACAGAGAGATGGCATGAATTTCTTCTACATGTGTATTTTTCCTCTAGGCCTATTCCTTAATCATGGGCTCTATGCGAGCAGGAGAACCACATGATCAGGGAGGCTTCTTTGTAGAATGCATGGGTGGGGAGTAGTCAGGCAGTCTGATGACCCCAAAACTGACTCCATCATGACGGTGAAGTGCATTACATGAATTACTCCTGAGTGAAGCTGCCACTTTTTTTTTTGTCCCATCCTTCTTTTTATGCAAGTCTGATCTACTTTCTCTCAAGCTAAATGTTCTCTCAAGGAGTCCTCCCCCAGGCAAACCACTACTTCTTTAGAGAGACGTTCTCACACTTCAGCGTTAGAGCAAAAGTTACCAGTACCAGATACCTTTATAAAGGTGGAAGAATAAAAACCCATTTGTACCAATTGGTTTCTTAAATTGTTTTTAATGTAACGCTTGAATAAATTACCTGATAGTTAACTTAAATCTCACTTTTGATTGTTTAAAATTTGTTGATTCTGAAAAGAACTGCCCATGTCCTCTAATCCTCATCTCAAGCGTGATTTCTTTCCTAGATACCTACTCCTGTGTTCTCTCTTACCCACTCTGTCCTCAACTTATTCAGAGTATCTGCACCCATCTATTTACCTCGTTGTCTCACCTTTAGACTAGCAAGTTCTCAAAAGCAGAGGCTAGGTCTAATTCACTTGGTGTTCAGAGGATCTCGCACAAGGTTAGTGCCCGACAAGTTCCTATTTAATAATTGAATGATCACCAAAGGTAGACATTGCAAATACACAAATCCTTCAAAGGACAGCAGTTCCAGAATCTAGTCTGAGGAAAACATGGAAGGAGGATCTAGGGAGCCTGCAGTCTACCCATCTGCAGCTACTGAAGAAGCCCAGGCTGAAGCTCTGTAGCCTCTAGCACAGGAAGAAAGTTGGGCATAGGCACTAGACAGGCTAAAGTTTAAAAAATGCAAATCACCATCTTGGGCAACATAGTGAGGTCCTGTCTCTATGAAAAAATAAAAATTAGCTGGACATGGTGGTACATGCCTGTAGTCCCAGCTACTCAGAAGGCTAAGGCAGGAGGATCGTTTGAGCCCCGGACTTTGAGGCTGCAGTGAGTGAGCTATAATCATGCCACTGCACTCTGGCCTGGGGGACAGAATGGGACTTTGTCTCAAAAAAAAAAAAATCTGAACAGAGCCGTAACTAATAAAGAGGTGGAATCAGTAATAAAAAATCTTGGCTGGGCGCAGTGGCTCAAGCCTGTAATCCTAGCACTTTGGGAGGCCAAGGTAGGTGGATCACAAGGTCAGGAGTTCGGGACCAGCCTGGCCAACATGGTGAAACCCCATCTCTACTAAAAATATAAAAAAATTAGCCAGGTGTGTTGGTGCATGCCAGTCATCCCAGCTACTTAGGTGGCTGAGGTAGGAGAATCATTTGAACCTAGGAGGTGGAGGTTGCAGTGAGCCAAGATCACACCACTGCACTCCAGAGCTTGGGTGACAGAGCAAGACTCTGTCTAAAAAAAAAAAAACTCCTGACATTGTCTCCTAACAAAGAAAATCCCTGGACATGATGGCTTTACCAGTGAACTCTACCTAATATTTAAAGAACAAACACCAATCCTTCTCAAACTTTTCCAAAACCTGGAAGAGGAGGGAACACTTCCTAACTCACTCTATGAGGCCAGAATTACCCTAATTTTAGAAGCTAGATTAAAAAAAGAAAGCTACAGAACAATGTTTTTTAAAGAACATTGATGCAAAACTCCTCAACAAAATACTAGCAAACCAAATTCAGCAGCATATTAAAAACATTATACATCATGACCAAGTAGGATTTATTCCTAGAATGCAAGGATGGTTCAACATATGAAACTAGATCAATGTAATGCACCACTTGCTAGATTAACAAAGAAAAAAGAAAGAAGATCCAAATAAGCACAATCAGAAATAACAAAGATGACAATAAAACTAATCCCACAGAAATACAAAAGATCTTTAGAAACTATTATGAACACCTCTATGCACATAACTAAAGAACTCTAGAGGAAATGGATAAATTCCTAGAAACATACACCTCCCAAGACTGAACCAGGAAGAAACTGAGAACCTGAACAGACCAATAAGGAGTTCTGAAATTAAATCAGTAACATAAAACCTACCAATCAAAAAAAGCCCCGGGGCCAGGCATGGTGGCTTATGCCTGTAATCCCAGCACTTTGGGAGGCTGAGGCTGAGGTCAGGAGTTCGAGACCAGCCTGGCCAACATGACAAAACCCCGTCTCTACTAAAAATACAAAAATTAGCCAGCCATGGTGGCAGGCACCTGTAATCCCAGCTACTTGGGAGGCTGAGGCAGGAGAATCACTTGAACCTGGGAGGCGGAGGTTGCAGTAAGCCAAGATTGTGCCACTGCACTCTAGCCTGGGAGACAAGAGCAAAACTTCAACAACAACAAGAAAAGCCCTGGACCAGATGGATTGACAGCCAAATTCTACCAGATGCACGAAGAAGAGCTGGTACTAATCCTACTGAAACGATTCCAAAAAGTTGAGGAGGAGAGACTCCTCCCTAACTCATTCTATGAAGTCAGTATCATCCTGATACCAAACTCTGACAGAGACATAGTGAAAAAGAACAAAAAAAACAAAATGGCTGGGCACGGTGGCTCATGCCTGTAATCCCAGCAGTTGGGGAGGCCAAGGCGAGTGGATCACCTGAGGACAGGAATTCAAGAGCAGCCTGGCCAACATGATGAAGCCCTGTCTCTACTAGAAATACAAAAATTTTCAGGATGTGATGATGTATGCTTATAATCCCAGTTACTCAGGAGGCTGAGGCAGGAGAATCGCTTGAACCCAGGAAGCAGAGGTTGCAGTGAGCCAAGATTGTGCCATTGCACTCCAACCTGGGCAACAAGGATGAAACTCTGTCTCAAAAAAAAAGAAAAAAAGAAAGGAAGAAAGAAAAAAATAAATTTCAGGCCAATATCCCTGATGAACATAGAGGCAAAAATCCTCAACAAAATATTGACAAACCAAATCCAGCAGCACATCAAAAAGTTAATCCACTGTGATCAAGTAGACTTCATTTCTGGGATGCAAGGTTGGTTCAACATATGCAAATCAATGAATGTGGTTCACCACATAAACAGAATTAAAAACAAAAAGCATGCAATCATCTCAATAGATGCAGGAAAATTTCTGATGAAATCTAACATCTATTCATGATAAAATTCTCACCAAACTAGGCATCAAAGGAACATATGTCAAAATAGTAAGAGCCATCCATGACAAACCCACAGCTAACATCATACTGAGCCAGCAAAAGCTGAAGTATTCCCCTTGAGAACTGGAACAAGGCAAGGATGTCCAAAGGATGTCCACTATGTCCTGGAAGACAAGGATATCTTCCAGAACGTAGTACTGGAAGTCCTAGGAAAAGCAATCAGGTAAGAGAAAGAAATAAAAGGCACCAAAATAGGGAAAGAAGAAGTCAAACTATCTCTTCACTGACGATATGATTCTATGCCTTGAAAACCTTAAAGACTCTGCCAAATGACCCCTAGAACTGATAAACGACTTCAGTAAAGTTTCAGGGCACAAAAATCAGTAGCATATATATACACCAATAACATTCAAGCTGAGAGCCAAATCAAGAACACAGTCCCATTTATAATAGCCACAAAAAGAATAAAATACCTAGGAATATACCTAACCAAGGAGGTGAAAGATCTCTACAAGGAGAACTACAAAACACTGCTGAAAGAGATTAGATATGATACATATAAATGGGAAAATATTCCTGCTCATGAACTGGAAGAATCGACATCATTAAAATGGCAATACTGCCCAAAGCAATCTACAAGTTCAATACTATTCCTATCAAACCACCAACATCATTTCTCACAGAATTGGAAAAAAACTTCTAAAATGCATGAGGAATCGAAAAAGAGCCAGAATCACCAGAGCAATCCTTAGCAAAAATAAAAACGTCAGAGACATCTCATTAGACAACTTCGAACTTATGCTACAAGGCTAGAGTAACCAAGATAGCATGGTATGGGTACAAATACAGTCACATAAACCAAGGAAACAGAATAGAGAACTCAAAAATTAAACCACACATGTACAACTATCTGATCTTGGACAAAATCGACAAAAATAAGCAATGAGGCCCAGCGCAGTGTCTCAAGCCCATAATCCCAGCACTTGAAGAGACTGAGGCAAGGAGAATTTCTTGAGCCCAGGAGTTCACGACCAGCCTGGGCAACATGGTGAAACCCCAACTCTAGAAAAAATACAAACATTACCCAGGCATGGTGGCACACACCTGTAGTCCCAGCCACCCAGGAGGCTGAGGTGAAGAATTGCTTGAGCTCAGGAGGTAGAGGCTGCAGTGAGCTGTGATCATGCCACTGCACTGCAGTGTGGGTGACAGAGTGAGACCCTATCTAACAAAAAAAGCAATGGGGAAAAGACTCCCTATTTAATAAATGGTGTTGGGATAACTGGCTATCTGTATGCAGAAGAAGGAAATCGAACCCCTACCTATCACCATATATAAAAATTAACTCAAGATGGATTAAGGACTTAAATGTAAAACCTAAAACTATAAAAATCCTGGAAGAAAACCTAGGAAATACCCTTCTTGATATTGGCCTTGGCAAATAATTTATGGCTAAGTTCTCAAAAGCAATTGCAACAAGAGCAAAAATTGACAAGTGGGACCTAATTCAACGAAAGAGCTTCTGCATAGCAAGAGAAACTATCAAAGGAGTAAACAGACAACCTACAGAATGGGAGAAAATATTCACAAACCATGAATTCAACAAAGGTCTACTATCTAAAATGTATAAGGAACTTAAATCAATAAGCAAAAACAAATAACTCCATTAAAAAGTAGGCAAAGGACATGAACAGACTTCTCAAAAAAAGACTTACAAATGGCCAATGAACATATGAAAAAATGCTCATCATCACTAACCATCAGAGAAATGTCAATCAAAACCACAATGAAATACCATCTCAACTAGTCAGAATGGCTTTTGTTAAAAAGTCGAAAAATAATAGATGTTGGTGAGGCTGCAAAGAAAAGGGAACACTTATACACTGTTGGTGGGAATGTAAATTAGCTCAGCCACCGTGGAGAGCTGTTTGGAGATTTCTTTTTTTTTTTTTTTTTTTTTTTTTTGAGACAGTCTTGCTCTGCTGCCCAGGCTGGAGTACAGGGGTGCAATCTTGGCTCAGTGCAACCTCCATCTCCTGGGTTCAAGCGATTCTCATGCCTCAGCCTCCAGAGTAACTGGGACTACAAGTGCACACCACCATGCCTGGCTAATTTTTGTATTTTTAGTAGAGACAGGGTTTTGCCATGTTGGCCAGGCTGGTCTCAAACTCCTGACCTCAAGTGATCCAACCACCTTGGCCTCCCAAAGTGCTGGGATTATCCTGGCATAAGCCAGCATGCCCAGCCTGGAGATTTCTTAATGAACTAATATTTGAACTACCATTCAACCCAGCAATTCCATTACTGGGTAGGTGCCCAAAGGAAAATAAATAATTCTACCAAAAAGACACATGCACCTCTATGTTCATTACAGTGCTGTTCACAATAGCAAAGACATTGAATCAACCCAAGTGCCTATCAATGTGGATTGGATTTAAAAAATGTGGTACATATATGCTATGGAATACTGTACAGCCATTAAAAAGAATAAAATCATGTCTTTTGCAGCAACGCGGATGTGGTTGGAGGCCATTATCCTAAGCAAACTAATGCAGAAACAGAAAACCAAATATCTCATGTTTTCACTTATAAGTGGGAACTAAACATTGGGTAAACTTGGACATAAAGATGGGAACAATGGGAAATACTGTTCACTGGGAAACACAAAACATTGGGAAATACAAGAGCAGGAAGTGAGGGAGTGGAGCAAGGGTTGAAAAGCTACCTATTGGGTACTATGCTCACTATCTGGGTGACAGATTCATTCATACTCCGAACCTCAGAATCATGCAAAATGTCTTTGTAACAAATCTGTATATGTACCCTCTGATGTTAAACATCAAAAAAAGATTAAACGAGAAAAAAACCTGTTAGAACTAATACATGAATTCAGCAAAGTAGCGAGATACAAAGTTAGCACACAAAAATCAGTTGCATTTTGATACACTAACAATAAGCCATCTGGAAAAAAATTAAGAAAACTATTCCATTTACAATAGCATCAAAAAGAATAAAATACGTAGAAATTAATTTATCCAAGAAGATTAAAGTCTTGGACAATGAAAACTACAAAACATTTCTGAAAAAAATTGAAGAAGACATAAATGAAAAGACATCCCATGTTCATGAATCCAAAGATTTAATATTATAAGATGTCAATACTATCCAAAGAGATCAACAGATTGAATGCAATTCCTATCACAATCCCAAGGACTTTTTTGCATAAATAAAAAAACTCATATGGAATCTCAAAGGATCCTGGATAACCAAGACAATCCTGAAATGGAAGAACAAAGCTGGAAGACTCACAGTTCCTGATTTCAAAACTGACTACAAAGCTACAGTAATTAAAACAGTGTAGTGGTACTGGCATAAAGATAGATATATGTACAACTATATATGTATATGTACATAAAATATGTACAACTATGATATTTCCATAAATTTTATAATAATTTAGTTTTTTAAAAGATTGATATAGACCAATGGGATAGCATAGCAAATCTAGAAATAAATCCTTGCATATATGTTCAAATAATTGTTTTACAAAGGTGCCAAGACCATTCAATGGGGAAAAGACAGTCTTTTCAACAAATAGTTTTAGGAAAACTAAATATTCACACACAAAAGAATGAAGTTGGATCCTTATTTAACACTATATACAAAAATTAACTCAAAATGGATTTATGACCTAAATGTAATACTTAAATTATAAAATTCTTAGAAGAAAACATAGGACAAAACTTCACAACATTGGATTTGGCAATAATTTCTTGGATATGACACCAAAAACAAAAGCAACCAAATAAAATATAGACAAATTGGATTTCATGAAAATTAAAATATTTTGCACAGCAAATGACACTATTAACAGAGTAAAAAAGGCAACTTACAGAATGGGAGACCTTTTTTGCAAATTATATATCTAGTAAGGGATTAATATTCAGAATATATAGAGAATCTCTAAAACTCAGCAAAAGAAGCAAACAAAGCAATTCAAAAATGGGCAAAGGACTTGAATAGACATTTCTGTAAAGAAGATATACAAATGGCAGATAAGTAGATTAAAAGATGCTCAACATCACTAATCCTTAGGGAAATGCAAATCAAAACCACAATGAGGTACCACCTGACACCCATTAGGATGGTGTTTGAGATAGAAAAAACCAAACTTTTCTTCCTAATCTCACACTCAATGCAGCACAAAATGCTTCTGACACCAGATTGGGTTGCTTTTTTCCTACCCCCCATAAATCAATTCTCCAGTAGACACCAACTGATTGTCCTATAATTCAATTCAATTCTGACACTGGCCAGGTGCGGTGGCTCATGCCTGTAATCCCAGCACTTTGGGAGGCCGAGGTGGGTGGATCACCTGAGGTCAGAAGTTTGAGACCAGCCTGGCCAACATGATGAAACCCTGTCTCTACTAAAAATACAAAAATTAGCCAGATGTGGTGGCAGCTGCCTGCAATCCCAGCTACTCGGGAGGCTGAGGCAGGAGAATCGCTTGAACCCAGGAGGCGGAGGTTGCAGTGAGCTGAGATCACGCCATTGCACTCCAACCTGGGTGACAGAGAGAGACTCCATCTCAAAAAAAAAAAAAATTCTGATACTGTCTCCCTGGAGTTAGAGTCAGATCCCACAGGCTAAGGGCTCAGCCCCACAAGACTGCCCCCAGCTTCAGATGCCAGTCAAAAGTCTAGGCCTCCGGAACTTCTGATGTACTGGCTATAAAAAGGGGATTCCCCTGATCCCCTCCTTGGGTTTGATTATTTGCAAGAGCAGCTCACAGAACTCAAGAAAGTGCTGTACTTACATGTACTAGTTTATTATGAGGAATGTTATGAGGTATACAGATGAACAGCCAGATGGAAGAGATGCAAAGGGCAAGGCTGTGGGAAGGGGCTTGGAGCTTCCATGTCCTCTCTTAATGTGCCACCTTCCAGGCACTTATACATGTTAGCAATCCAGAAGCTCTTGGAACCTCGTAGTTCAGGGATTTTTCATGGAGGCTTCATCACGTAGGCATGATCAACTATTGACTTAATCTCCACACCTCTCCTCTTCTAGAAGTATGCTGATGGGACTGAAAGTTCAAAGCTTCTAATCTTATCTTGATCTTTCTGGTGACCAGTACTCACCCAGAAGTCTATCAAGAGTCACCTCATTAGAACAAAAAATGCTCCTATCCCTAGGGAATTCCAAGTAATTTAGGAACTCTGTGTCAGACACTCCTATCACTCTGAAAATTACAAAAGTCTAAGGAGATTTGTGTTAGGAACTGGGTCAAAGATCGAATACTAGAAGAAAAGATTCTCCTAGCACCCCTATCAGCAAGGGTATTAGGAACTCTGTCTCATGAACTGGGGCAGAGACATATTTCTTATTTCTTAATGGTTTTTATTTATTATTATTTCACAGATGGCTACTATTAAAACAACACAGAAAATAAGTGTTGGTGAGGATGTGGATAAACGGTAACCCTCGTACATTGTTGGTGAGGATGTAAAATGGTATAGCTGCTGGATAAAACAGTATGGTGGTTCCTCAGAAAATTAAAAATAGAATTACTATATGATCCGCATTTCCATTTCTGGATATATACTCAAACAATTGAAAGCAGGGTCTTGAAGAAATGTTTGAACACCCATGTTCACAGCAGTATTATTCACAATAGCCAAAATGTGGAAACAACCTAAGTGTTCATCGAAGAATGAATAGGTTAACAAATGTGGTCTATGCATACAATGAAATATTATTCTGTCTTCTTGCTCTACTTGTTTCTCCTGTTCCTAACCTCTAAAGGTAGAGTGTCACCCCTTAGTCCTGCGGTCTCTTCTCTGTTTATACTTACTCCCTAGATAATGTCCTCTGGCGCCATGACTTTAAAAACAATAGCGGTGGCTCACACCTGTAATTTCAGCACTTTGGGAGGCTGAGGCAGGCAGATCACCTGAGGTCAGGAGTTCGAGACCAGCCTGGCCAACATGGTGAAACTCCATCTATACTAAAAATACAAAAATTAGCCAGGCGTGGAGGCAGGCGCCTGTAATCCCAGCTACTCGAGAGGCTGAGGCAGGAGAATCGCATGAACCCAGGAGGTGGAGGTTGCAGTGAGCCAAGATCATGCCACTGCACTCCAGCCTGGGTGACAGAGTGAGACTCCTTCTAAAAAAAAAGAAGAAGAAAACCAAATATCTTTATGATGATCTCCAAGGCCCTTAAGTCCTTAACTACATCCACACCCCCAGCCTTATGTCTCTGGTTGCATCCCTCACCTGGCCACCCCTCATTCACTGAGCTCTAGCACACTGGCCTCCTGCTTCTATGAGGCCACCAGGTCGACTCCCACCTCAAGACATCTGCTGTTCCTTCTGCCTGAACTGCTCTTCCTCCAAGTATTTGCGTGTTTTTCACCCTCACTTCATTCTGATATCTGTTCGAAGGTCACCTCCTTAGAGCTTTCCCCAAGCAATATATAGTCATCCCTCAGTATCCGTGGGGAATTGGTTCTAGGATCTCCTCTGATACCAAAGTCCAAGGAGCTGAAGTCACTCACATAAAATGGCATAGTATTTGCATGTAACCTATACACATCCTCCCATATGCTTTAAATCATTTCTAGATTTCTTATAATACCTAATATAATGGAAATGCTGTGTAAATAGTTGTTATACTATATTGCTTGGGGAGTAATGACAAGAAAAAAAAGTCCATACATATTCAGTACAGACAAAACCACGCTCTTTTTTTCCCCAAATATTTTCCATACCCGGTTGGTTGAATCTGCTGATAGAGAACCTGCAGATATGGAGGGCCAGTTGTATATGCTCCTATCACTCTTGATCCTCTTTACCATTTCGTTTTCCACCTAACATTATATTATATATCCATTTGTTTATGACCTGCTTTGTAAGTGACATAAAGAACTTGTCTTATTTAATACTATATTCCTGACAACTAAAACAATTCAGAGCAGAAGCACACAACCAAGAGTTGTTGAGAGAATAAATGATCGAATGGATGGGTCTTAGATAAAGGTAGAAGATGGCTCTGCTTTTGAACACTCCAGGATGAGGGGATGTTACTCTCTCATTGCCCACCTATAGTTTCTCCTACGCTTAGTGCTGGCCTAAACCATGCTGTGTCCCTTTAATATTCAAAAGGTTCGTGCTTAGGGTGGGACCAACAAAATGGGTATAACCATGTATTGACTACTCCTTTAGGAGCTAGCACAGAGGAGCTCTCTGTCGCCCTGTGAAAGCACTGACTTGCCTGAGTGAGTCTATTGCCTCATCTGATAGTGGGATTGTGGGTGCTGCTGGCTGATACCCCAATTCTTCCTATTTGTCTTTGGCAAGCCCAACTTTTCTGACACCATCTTCTGCTCAATTCCAAAACCATTGTCAGGCTCTTCAACTCTGCTGTGCCCCAGGGTCTCAGGTGCCTGAATATCTAATTCATGGCCTCAAAAAACCTAACGAAAAGTATAAACTTATCTGCAGACCTCAAGGCAGCATCTGGTTAACCACCCTCTGAAAACAGAAAGAGGATGATTCCAAACCCCACACTGTGGCCTTGGAAGCCCTACAGAGTCTGTTCCTACCTATCTCTCCAAACTCATCTCAGGCCCCTCTCCTCTTTGCTTACAAAATTCTAGCCAAAATGATCTTCTTTCTGTTTCTGAAATACCCCAGGCTTATTCCCATTTCATGGTGATGCAAGGCAGACAAGCCCCAAAATTGGGGCTTAGCCCAGGAGGGTTTTGTCTTTGCCAGGAAATAATTCAAGGGCGAGCTAGTGGTGTTAGCAACTTTTATTGAAGTGGCCGTGTACAGCTGCAGCAGCAGCAGTAGTATTGCTCCTTGAGGAGCAGGGCTACGCCATAGGCAGTGTGCCCACAGTAGCAGCTCAGTGGCAGTTCTGGAGTAGTCGTTATACTGACTTTTAATTATATGTAAATTAAGGGGAATATTATGCAGAATTTTCTAGAAAAAATGTCGTCAGGTCATTGCCATGGAAAGGGTGGTAACTGGCCAGGCATGGTGGCTCACACCTGTAATCCCAGCACTTTGGGAGGCTGAGGCAGGCAGATCACAAGGTCAGGAGTTCAAGACCAGCCTGCCCAATATGGTGAAACCCCGTCTCTACTAAAAATACAAAAATTAGCCAGGCATGGTGGCACATGCCTGTAGTCTCAGCTACTCAGGACGGTGAGGCAGGAGAATCATTTGAACCCGGGAAGAGGAGGTTACAGTGAGCCAAGATTGTGCCACTGCACTCCAGCCGGGGTGACAGAGCGAGACTCCATCTCAAAAAAAAAAAAGGAAAGAAAAAAGAAAGAAAAGAAAGAGCAGTAACTTCGGGCGTTGCCATGGAAATGGTAAACTGACATGGCACACTAGTGGGAGTGTCTTACAGAGAGGTGCTTTGGACTTTTCCCTGTTTTAGCTATTTCTCTATCTGGTCCGAGGTTCAAGCCCTGCCTCTGGAGATGAGTTTCACATCCTACCTCAATGGCATTTACAGTTGCCTCACCTTCTTCCTGAGACATTCTGTACCCAAATCTTTGCATGACTGGCTCATTCTTGTCATTAGTTTTTCAGCTCAAATGGGAGTCCCTCGGAGATGCCTTCCCAAGACCATCAGTCTACAATACAAGGCAGCACTGTTTTTTATTTTCTTCAGAGCAATGTTTACTCTTGTCCATTTTTGTTTACTTGATTATTATCAAACTCTTCTGTCTAAAGGAGGACTAACCAGTAGAATTTTCTGCAATGATGGAAGTATTGTTATATTTGAGCTGTCCAATATAGTAGCCACTAGTTACCATATGACTCCTATGCACTTGACATGTGGCTAGTGTGAATGAGTAAAAGAATTTTTAATTTAATTTAATTTAATTTTAACTGATTTAAATTTAGATAGCCACATGTGGCCAGTGGCTACTGTACTGGACAACACAGTTCTAGTATGTAAGCTTTGAGAGAGCAGGGATTCAATCTTATGCTTTGCCATATCTCCAGAACCTAGAACAATTAAATACTTCTAACCAAGATATTCTTTGGAGGATGGAGTCTTGTCAGTGTCTAACATTTGGGTCAGATGTGGCCAGCAATGAGTCATTCATTGATTTGGCTTTTGTCTTAGGAACATCAAGATGAAGATCAAGGAGATCCCTTTTCTTCAAAACATTGCTGAAAAAGATAGTGTAACAACATTGCAGAAAAAATTTTAAAAGTAAGTAACCTCCTACAATTCTTCCAGCAAACATTGCAACTGTTTTAATTTTTTGCATACTGTCTTCCAGATTTTGTTCACATGCAGGTGTCTTTTCAATATTTTGCAGACACAGAGGACACCATCAAAACTTTGTCCTTGGGGGCTGGGCACGGTGGCTCATGCCTGTAATCCCAGCACTTTGGGAGGCCAAGGCAGGCGGATCATTTGAGGTCAGGAGTTTGAGACCAGCCTGGCCAACATGGTGAAACTCTGTCTCTACTAAAAATACAAAAATTAGCCAGGCGTGGTGGCGCGTGCCTGTAATCTCAGCTACTCTGAGGCAGGAGAATTGCTTGAACTCAGGAGGTTGAGGTTGCAGTGAGCCAAGATTGCGCCATTGCATTCTAGCCTGTGCGACACAGACTCCATCTCAAAAAACAAAAACAAAAACAAAAACAAATACCTTTGTCCTTGGAGAACATCTCCAATGCCCAGCCAGGTCTTAGCTCAGAAGGAACCTGACTATTGGAGTCATTTCCTGTGGCTCACCCAGTGAAGAGATCTTACCACCCCACAGCCACTTGGAGAGCCCCGTGCATTGAAGACACTGGGTTTGGCCCTGGGTATATAGCAATTGAAGATCATTTGTGAAGGACTGATATTGAAGAAGGCAGGGGCTATGCTGGCTTATTCATTCATCCAACAACTACTATACTGTGCTATTGAATATCATAAATATTTTCCTTATTTGTACAGGGTCTACTATTTTCCTTTTTATGGCTGAGTAGCAGACACACCAAAATCTACTAAACCTATTCTTTGTGGATTGTAGACCATTTAACTTATGCCCATTATTGGATCTTACAGAATTCTGTAATTAACTCTTCCTGCATGGAGCTTTTTACTTTTGTTGTATTATTTCCTTATAGTGTAGTAGTTGCTTATGTGTATAGGTTCTGGAAAGAGATGATCTGGTTTTTAACACTATCCATGGTAGTTTGGGCAAATTTCTTAACTTCTCTATATCTCAGTATTTCATTTATCAAGAAGGGTCACTAATAACACCTTCCTCATAGGATTGTTGTGAGAATTGAAATGAATAAATTACATGTAAAGTGCTTGGTTCTGAGTTAGTACTCTATACAGAATAACAACTGCTGTTATTATTAATTCTTGATCCAGGAGTAATTTCAAGGATATTAATATTTTCAAGACTGTTTCTAGATTGTGGTAATGGTTGTACAACTCTGCAAATATATTAAAAGTCATTGAACTATACACTCAATAAAAGCCTTTTGCTAATTATGGCTATTTTGTTTTCCCAAATGGTATTCCTATTTTCATTCCTATCCTCACCTCAATTTTATCACAATCTCATCAGAAATGGGGGCTACTATTTTAAATACAGTTTTCTTTATTTGAGAAAGGTCAAATAGAACCCTTAATGTGCTTTCTCTTGCATTTTTTACCTTATTACTAGCAACGAATGCATGTATTGTTTACTCTTTGCTTCCTATTGAATATTTGCTCCCTCTTGCTCTAACTCTGCCCATTTTACTTCTGTGGCTGAAGTCCTTTTTCTTGAATAATCTATTTCTTAGTATGTCTTAATTTACTAATAATAGTGAGTTGGTCTCTAAAAGGAAAGCTTTGAAAAAGCTAATTGTTTTCTCCTTAAAGGGCTCCTCAATATTCTACCAGACCTATGTTCTCATTAGCCAAGGGCCTTCTCCCAACATAGTCTTTCCATCCTAATGTACCTGCAGCATTTTTCCCAGGGCCTGCACTCTAAAGACTTGATAAGAAAAACTTTGAACACATGCTCCTTTCTTCTTGCTTTTCATATCTACTGATTGGGCTTGGAATTCTGCCAAGATAAACAGTGTCCTCTGCTCTTCAGGAAAATGCAAGGCTTCTCAACCATCTTTGAGGGGCCTGCTTCAGATGACAATTTCACAACATGTTCACAGGGCAAACTTGGATTGAGAAGACCCCCAATTTAGAGACAATAAATCTCCAACTGGAAAGAAAGCATCACTACTTTCCCTAGTACAGTAATGTTAATTGAAATATACAGAATGTTGTAACTCTTGCAGTTCCATTTAAGTGAACTAGGGATGACAGCAAAAGAGGCTGACAAGCTGGCCAAACAGGGACTTCCTAGCCCAGGGTCTGAGCTCTGTCAGTGTGCCCAAAGAGGATTAGGCTCAAAGAGTAGACTCATAATAACCAAACTCACAGGAGTTTGAAGTCTATACCTTCATAAAGGATTTCTGAAAGTTCTGTTTGTGACAGACGTGCCCTGAAGATGAGGCAAGGAGTGCAGGTGTTAGTCTGTTTATGTGGGAAAGGACTGGAAACTCTCTAAGGGGACAGAGTGTTCTTCGCTGGGTGTATATTGCTTGTTCAGATGATACCCTGAGACCACAGATGGGTCCTTGGCTTTTTCCTTCTGAATATACAACTGAAGATGTTAACCCAGGATAGTCTGTGGTTCAGGAGTGGCCACTAGCAGCACTTCCAGGCACCTCCATCCTGAGGGAGAACACTGCTAGGAGAAGGATGGGCAATTAGGGAGAATGAGGCTGTTGGGTCATTGCTTACTCCTTTGTCTATTGGTACCCAATAAATAAGCATACTTCCCCTTCTTAAAATAGCCTCATGTTAGGAGGGCTCCATTCAATTGTTTCTTGTGGGTGGATTTGAAAGAACTGAAATTTCTTCTATCCTTAATTCTCTTGTCTCACTCAGGAACGAAATATGCCAGTGTATTAATAAACATGCTCTTTGATGAGAATGCTCTTCTCTTCTCAGAAGCAAAATAAAATGCTAGCAGTTCAGGCCTGAAAAGCACTAAGATCCTGAAGCTCAGCTTTATTGCATTTTGGCTAACAACACTAGGCCGTTAGAAAAAAAGAGAATCTATTCAAGCAGACACAGTTCATTATTTACTTAGAAAAAATACAAACTCTTATTCTAAGTAAAATAAAAAATGCACACAAGATTATTTCACCATAACAATTATCAAAATGTGTAGACTTTACTCAAAGTAATTGAACTATACAGGCCTCAGCAATTCCTGATTGTTTGCTGGCTGCCCCAGAGTTATTTTTATGCCAGCTACCAGAATGTGATGACTTAGTAATAGTTAAATGGCATTTTGTAATAAACAGACAAGCTAAATTATAATGATCAATGGCCCTTAGTAAAATTATATGATTATAGCCATCAGAGAAAAAAAAATCCACAGGTAAGAAAGAATTGGATAACTGCATTAAATGTTTAATCAGGCTATGCAAAAATAACACAACAGAACACTTCTAGAGAATGTAGCTGGTCTCAAATATGCCTTCTATTTGGGAGTCATAAGTTTCCTTTTTTTTTTTTTCGAGACAGAGTTTTGCTCTTGTCGCCCAGGCTAGAGTGCAATGGTACGATCTTGGCTCATTGCAACCTCCGCCTCCTGGGTTCAAGCAATTCCTTGCCTCAGCCTCCCGAGTAGCTGGGATTACAGGCACCCACCACCACGCCCAGCTAATTATCCTTAAGAACTGCTCGGGGAGACAGATTTGAGTAATAATAAAACTCTGTTCTCCCGCACAGCAGGCTCTGCTTGAATTACTCTTTCTGTATTGCAATTCCCCTGTCTTGATGAATCGGCTCTGTCTAGACAGTGGGCAAGGTGAACTCCTTGGGCGGTTACACAACTGGGATTGGAGACGAACAGGAGAGTATTATAGTCAGAAGGAGGAGGCCCTGTGGGAGGAGTAAGTGTAGAATCTACCTGTCATGTTGGTGCTCTTAACACTGTGGATCAGATCAAAACCACCAGAAAGCTATGTATTTGTTAGTAGCCATACCTACCAGGGAGAAAAGACCAGTAATTATTACCAACATTTATTGAGCACTTACTATGAACCATGAACTTTCTTAGAGGTTATGAAAATTAACTAATTTAGTTAGTTAATTAAATTCAACCACCTTACGAAGTGAGCTCAATCATCCTCAATTTTCAATGTAGAAACCAAGACATGAAGTTAAGGGCAAAGTGAGACAACTAATAAGAAACAGAATTTGAAGCTAGTAATTCTGACTACAGAGCCAAAGAACCTAACCTGACTGCTACATATAGCTTGCAAGGTCTTAGGAGACTTTAGGAGCTCATGAGGCACAATGGCATCTCGGGGTCAGACACAGTTCTGAGGAATCAACTTTTGCAAAGGATTTTAATGGCCTCAGCCTGCACATACTAAACCATTCCATCCCAGTCCAGTGCCCCTTCTCCATCACAATCAAGTGCCATAATCAGTAGTTTATAGGCAGTAGTGGGTGGAGGATATTTTTGACTGAGAGAGCTGGGAAGAGGAAGACATTTTGTCCAAATTAAGAGGTGTTTGCTGCCTTACCTTCTTGTGAGATCTTGATGCTTGGAATGTTTTGGAACAAACATTCCAAGCAAATACATGTTGCTTGGAATGCAACACGTAGCATCTTCCCATAAGCCTTGGTAATGCTCTCAGATGGACACTCAAAAATACCTGATACCAGCTGGGTACAGTGGCTCATGTCTGTAATCCTAGCACTTTAGGAGGCTGAGGTGGGTGGATTACTTGAGCCCAGGAGTTCGAGACCAGCTTGGGCAACATAGCAAGACTCCGTCTCTAATTTTATTTTTATTTTTAAAAAAATATTTCTTAAAAAATAAAATAAAATAAAAAAGACATAAAAAAGAACACCGATACCACATACAACAAGGCTGTTCCTTCCCCAATATTTAGCAATATACCAAGAGAAAATAAATTCTGAGAACGTTTTCCAACAATTCTCCATACTGCAAAGAGGAGATTGTACAATATTACTGAAAGAAAAACAAAGAAACATAGAAACAGAAAGAAGATAAATCAGGTCAAGATGTCCAAGGACTGCAGACTTCTGTACCCAAAGCTGGGTGCCTGGTTTTCTTAATGACCATAATGTCCCATCTTCATTTCTACTTTATTTTTTGTGTTCTTGACGTAAGTGGATTCAAATACCTTTGTTTTTTATGAATTAGAACACAGATAAATCTATTTAATAAGTCATAAATTATTGACATAAAAATCTTTACTTATGAGAAATAAGTGCAGCATAAAGTGCAGACCAACAGTAGGAGCCAGATCATCTTATAAGTTTTTTTTTTAATTGAGACAGTCTCACTCTGTCGCCCAGGCTGGAGTGCAGTGGTGTGATCTTGACTCACTGCAACCTCCATCTCCCAGGTGCAAGCGATTCTCCTGCCTCAGCCTTCCCGGTAGCTGGGATTACAGGAACATGCCACCACACCTGGGTAATTTTTGTATTTTCACTAGAGACGAGGGTTTCACCATGTTGGCCAGGCTGGTCTCAAACCCCTGACCTCAAGTGATCCACCCTCCTCGGCCTCCCAAAGTGCTGAGATTACAGACATGAGCCACCGAGCCCAGCTTTTTTTTTTTTTTTTTTTGAGACAGGGCTTTGCCATGTTGCCCAGGTTGGCCTCGAACTCCTAGACTCACATAATCTGTCTGGCTAGGCCTCCTAAAGTGCTGGGATTACAGCCATACCCCCAGTTTTGTAAATAAAAAAGTCTAGGTCAGGTGAGGTGGCTCACCTATTAAAAATACAAAAATTAGCTGGGCGTGATGGCAGGCACCTGTAATCCCAGCTACTCGGGAGGCTGAGACAGGAGAATCACTTGAACCTGGGAGGCAGAGGTTGCAGTGAGCCAAGATTGCACCACTGCACTCTAGTCTGGGCAACAGAGTAAGACTCAGTCTCAAAAATAAACAACAATGACAACAACAAATGGGGGTAGGGAGTGATGGAATAAATTATTTTTATCAATTCTTTTTTTTTGAGACAGAGTCTGGCTCTGTCACCTAGGCTGGAGTGCAGTGGCATGCTCTCGGCTCTCTGCAACCTCCCCTCCCGGGTTCAGGCAATTCTCCTGCCTCAGCCTCCGGAGCAGCTGAGATTATAAACTTATAAGCTTGCCACCATGCCCAGCTAATTTTTGTATTTTTAGCAGAGATGGGGTTTTACCATGTTGGCCAGGCTGATCTCGAACTCTTGGCCTCAAGTGATCTGCTCGCCTTGGCCTCCCAAAGGGCTGGGATTACAGGTGTGAGCCACCACTCCCTGCTTCTTTTTGGCAATTCTTTCAGCTCCAAGATTTTGTGCTTCTATGGTGTCAGATTTATCAATATAACTTAATAGTTCTCTACTTCTTCTTTTTTTTTTTTTTTTTTTGAGGAATACCGCTAAAAAGGACAGGAAAGAAAATTGTACCATATCTGGGAATTTAAATTAAAAGTTGTAGGCAACATCTCCATATTTAGATACTGAAAAGAAAATACTCAAATTTCAGTTCAAGACAATATAAATGTGCCAAACTAGTTGTATTAACTAGGAGCCATGTATTGAGCAAAACAGTAGAATAGTTGGGCGTGGTGGCGTGCACCTGTAGTCCCAGCTACTCCAGAGGCTGAAGCGGGAGGATCACTTATGCCCAGGAGTTTGAGGCTGTCGCGTATTGTGATTATGCCTGTAAATAGCCACTGAACTCCAGCCTGGGCAACATAGTGAGACCCTGCTCTAAAATAATAACAATAATCTTAAGTTATCTTACTTTTTTTTTGAGCAGAGTCTCACTCTGTTGCCCAGGCAGGAGTGCATTGGTGTGATCTCTGCTCACTGCAACCTCTGCCTCTCAGACTCAAGCGGACAGGTGTGGCAGCTTACACCTATAATCCCAGCACTTTGGAAGGCTGAGGTGGGAGAATTGCTTGAGGCCAGGAGTTGAGAACCAGTCTGGGCAACAAAGCAAGACCCTGTATCTACCCCTGCTCCCCGCCAAGAAAGAAAAAGCTGGGTATAGTGGCGCATGCCTGTAGTCTCAGCTACTCTGGAGGCTGAGATGGGAGGATTGCTTGAGCCAAAGAGTTTGAGGCTGTAATGAGCTACGATCACACCACTGCACTACAGGTTGGGTGACAGAGCAAGACCTGTCTCAACCAAAAACTGAAAACTAAAGTCAGAGATGGAGGATGTCAGGAGTGTAAGAGACTAATCCATGAATTTTCAAAAAGTCTTGTCTAGAGTTAAGAGTGTATTATTGGCCGAGGGCAGTGCCTCACACCTGTAATCCCAGCACTTTGGGAGGCTGAGGTGGGCAGATCATCTGTGGTCAGAAGTTTGAGACCAGTCTGGCCAACGTGGTGAAATCTTGCCTTTACTAAAAATACAAAAATTAGCCAGGTGTGGTGGCTTCATGCCTGTAATCCCAGCTACTCAGGAGGCTGAGGCAGGAGAATCGCTTGAACATGGGGAGCAGGAGTTGCAGTGAGCCGAGATCTCACCATTGCATTCCAGCCTGGGTGACAGAGCGAGACTCCATCTCAAAAAAAAAAAAAAAAGAAAGAAAGAAAGAAAGTGCTATTAGGTATAATTTACAATATATAATTTAGATTTTTAATAAATACTTGGTTTTAAAATGTCTTTTGGAAATTTGGGATAGATATTGAATAGTGAATGCCTATATGTTTTTAAAGGCTTTGGAAATAATCAAGTGTATTCATTCAACTTATTCAATAAATATTTATTGACAGCTACAGTATCCCAAGCACTGGGACAAGTCAGTGAGCAAAACAGATGAGGACCCTTGTGATGCTTGGGGAAGACAGACAACAGCAATAGACATGCTAAATAACCAAAGTAAGCAATAGATTCTAAGGCAATAAGTAACAGGGAATTTAAAAAAAGAAATAGAACAGGACAGGAAGGAGTGCTAGTGACTACAGGAATGTTGTAATTTTTTTTTTTTTTTGAGACAAAGTCTCTCTCTTGTTCCCCAGGCTGGAGTGCAATGGCGTGATCTCGGCTGCGCGATCTCAGCTCACCGCAACCTCTGCCTCCTGGGTTCAAGCAATTCTCCTGCCTCAGCCTCCCGAGTAGCTGGGATTACAGGTGCCTGCCACCACGCCCAGCTAATTTTTGTATGTTTTAGTAGAGACGGGGTTTCACCACGTTGGCCAGGCTGGTCTTGAACTCCTGACCTCAGGTGATCTGCCCACCTCGGCCTCCCAAAGTGCTGGGATTACAGGCGTGAGCCATCGCGCCCGGCCAGGAGTGTCGTAATTTTAAATAGGATGGTCAAGGTAGGTCTCATTGAGAAGGGACACTTGTTCGAAGACTTGAAAAAAGATAGGGGATTTAGCCATGTGGTCATTGGGGGAAGAGGCTCTTAAGCAAGAGGAATAACACATGCAAAGGCTCCAAGGAAAAAGTGAGCCTGGTGTGTTTGAGAAACAGCGACTAGGCCAGTGTGCCTGAAGGAGAGTGAGCAATAAGGGGAGTGGAGGGGGATGACAATAGAGGCAGCCAGAGCCAGAGTAGGTAGAGCTTTATAGGCCATTGTAAGGACCTTGCGTTTTCTCTAGATCAAGATGTCTCAGTCTCAGCACTATTGACGTTTTGATAGATAATCTTTTTTTGTAGAGGATTGCCTAGCTCAAAACATTGTAAAATATTAAGAAGGATTCTTGGGGCTGGGCCTGGTGGCTCATGCCTGTAATCCCAGCACTTTGGGAGGCTGAGGCAGGTGAATCATCTGAAGTGAGGAGTTTGAGACCAGCCTGGCCAACATGGTGAAACCCCGTCTCTACTAAAAATACAAAAATTAGCCAGACATGGTGGCACACACCTGTAATCCCAGCTACTCAGGTAGCTGAGGCACGAGAATTGCTGAAGCCTGGGAGGTGGAGGTTGCAGTGAGCCGAGATCACACCACTGCACTCCAGCCTGGGTGACAAGAGCAAGACTCTGACTCAAGAAAAAAAAAAAAAAAATGAAGCATCCTTGGCCTTTTCCTACTTGACGCTAGTAGTCCCCTGCCAGTGTGACAGCCAAAAATGTCTCCAGACATTGTTAAATTCCCCTAGAGAAAAATCCTCCTCTCCTCTGATCCTTGTCAAGAACAACTAGCCTACATAATATCAAAAGCCTTTGGAGAATTGTAAGTAAAGGAGTGACATCTGACATGCTTTAAAACAACTTTATTGATATATAATTATATACCATAAAATTCACCTACAGGGTAAAATCTGTGGGTTTTAGTATACATAGTTGGGCCGCCACCACCAGAATCTATTTTAGAATGCTGTAATCACTCCCAAAAGAATCTTGTACCCATTATCAGTCAGTCACTCCCCATTTCCATTCTTTTGAATGTAGATATCCAGTCGTACCAGCACCTTTTGTTGAAAAGACTATCTTTCTGATTGAATTGTTTTGGCACCCTTGTCAAAAATGAATTGGTCATAATAGGAGAATTTATTTTTGAACTCTCATTCCTATTCCACTGATCTATATGTCATTCCTACACTACCACCACACTGTTTTGATTATAGTAGCTTTGTAGTAGGTTTTGAAATCAGGAAGTGAGAGTCTCAAAATTTGCTCTTCTTTTTCAGAATTGTTTTGGCTATTCTAGTTCCCTTACATTTGCATATGAATTTTAGAATCAGCTCATCAATTTCTGCAAAAAAAATCCAGCTAGGATTTTTGTAGGGATTGCATTGAATCTGCAGATCAATTTGGGGAATATGTCCATTTTAATAATAAGTCTTCTGATCCATGAACATAGGAGGCCTTTCCATTTATTTAGATCTGCTTTAATTTCTTTCAATGGTATTCTATAGTTTCCATTGTACAAGTCTTGCACTTCTTTTGTTAAATTTATTCCTGAATACATTATTTCTTGATGTTATTGTACATGGAATTGTTTTCTTCATTTGGAGAACAGCCTGTTGCATGGCCAGAGTAATGCCATTTTCAAGCAAAGCCTACATAATGACCCATATTTGACTCCTGCATACCAAAGCAGTCCCACAGAAACAATGCCTGTAGCATAGATAACCCCTCATAAAGATGCTTATCTAACTTCCCCAGTGGTCATGAGTTTTGCAAGAGCGTCTGAGACATGACTAACTGCACGTGTTTTACCAAAAAAAAACTTGCTATATAAAGGATATTTTCTGGAGGGCAGGTGCAGGTGTCCACTGTCTTGTAGCTGCCCAAGACAAGGCTCTGTTCTACCCGTCCTCACCTTCTTCCCCTGACCCATTCCCCAATGGGAAGCTTTTTAAAAATAACTCTATTGAAAGACGTTTTTCCTCTCTTGTGCTTACCTTCATATTTCTAAGTAATATACTATGCCACCATTCCTTGATTTGTCTATTTTTGGATTAAGCTAATACAATCCTCCTCTTCTCTCAATACAGTTACAGGACTGACTGTTTTAGATCCTCTCTCTCTCTCTTTTTTTTTTTTTGAGAAGGCGTCTCGCCTTGTCGCCCAGGCTGGAGTGCAGTGGCGCGATCTCTGCTCACTACAAGCTCCGCCTCCCGGGAGTTCAAGCGATTTCCCTGCCTCAGCCTCCCAGCCTGTAGCTGGGATTACAGGCGCCCGCCACCACGCCCGGCTAATTTTTTGCATTTTTAGTAGAGACGGGGTTTCACCGTGTTAGCCAGGATGGTCTCGATCTCCTGACCTCGTGATCCGCCTGCCTCGGCCTCCCAAAGTGCTGAGATCCCAGGCGTGAGCTACCGCGCGCCGACCTTTTTTTTTTTTTTTACATGGAGTCTCGCTCTGACCCCCTCCCTGGCTGGAGTGCGGTGGCCCGATCTCCGCTCACCTCAACCTCGCCTCCCAGGATCAAGCGATTCTCTTGCCTCGGCCTCCTGAGTAGCTGGGATTACAGGCATGTGCCACCACGCCAGGCTAATTTTGTATTTTTAGTGGAGATGGGGTTTCACCACGTTGGTCAGGCTGATCTCTAACTTCTGACCTCAGATGATCCGCCCGCTTGGCCTCCCAAAGTGCTGGGATTACAGGCGTGAGCCACCGCGCCCAGCCGGACACCTAGTTTTTTTAAAATGCAGATATCAGAGACTTTCCCTTTCCTTTCAGCATTCTTCCCCACGTTCATCCTCCAATTTCTATCATGTGTAGTTTCACTTTTACAAGATCAAGATGGAAAACATTTACATTCAGTCTTTCGTGCTTTGTCTATAAGCTGATGCCAAGTTGAAATCAGCAGGGACTACTTCCATTGACTATGTAATTATGCAGAGCAAAGCCAAACCATTAATTATAATTTATATAAATTAATTTATTTCCTTTCTTGCTTAGGGTTTTATTTTTTTAATTATTGTCAAAGCTGTTTATGACAAAATATGAGCAAAGGAAGCCATTTTTCCCCTACTGACAGGAAATAAACTAGACTTTTTTTTACAAGATCACTTAACCAGTGTCAATGGATGTAAAAATTCAAAGAGGGATGAATAAATTCAAATCTTATTTTTGTATTTATTTATAAAAATAAATAACAATAAATATAAATTTTATATTTATTATAAAAATAAATATAAATTTTATATTTATTATAAAAATAAATATAAATTTAAGGTATTCGATAACTTATGGGACGTCTCAATTTGTGCTTTAAGGGCGCACGGCGCAGAGAGGCGCAGCAGAGGTTTTCCAGGTTCCGGATGCCAGGGGCCGGATGGTGAACTCCTCCCTGCAGCGAATCCTCAAAAGCCACTGCTTTGCCAGAGAGAAGAAAGGGGATCAAAGCCAGCGCCACCGTCCACGCCAGCCGCACCAGGCCGCTCCTCAGCCTGCACAGCCGCAGCGGCCGCAGCAGCAAGAGTTCCAGGGTCTCCCTCCGCTGCTGTAGTAACCCGGTCCGGGATCTCGGTGGTGCTCCTGATGCCCCTCGCGCACCCCTGATGCCGGTCGCCCACCCCTGAAGATTCCGGGTGGGCGAGGGAATCGTCAGAGGGATCACGATCTTTCAGCTACTCTACTCCTATGATCGACTGCATGTAACAGAGATTCTAACGTTCAACGACAAGAGGATTCTCAACGTCCACTCCAGGCTCACAGATGCCAAACTGGCATTAACTGGCGAGCCGTGCTGAGCGGCGGCAGCCTCTGCATCGGAGATTCCTGGTGGTGCGCTGCCCCAGGGGAGCGAGGATAGCTTTGCAGTTCTCCAGCAGTTCGCCGAGGAGCAGCTGAGCGCCGACCATGTCTTCATTTGCTTCCACAAGAACCACGAGGACAGAGCCGCCTTGCTCCGGACCTTCAGCTTTTGGGGCTTTGAGATTGTGAGACCCCTTGTCCCCAAGAGACCCGACACTTGCTTCATGGCCTACACGTCGGGGAGAGAGTCTTTGGGCGAGGAGTAGTAGCGGCCGCAGCGGGACTGGGCATCAAGCTCCTGGGGCCGCCCCGGCGTCTGCCGGGTGGGTGCGAACGGTAGGCTCGCTCATCTCGCCTGGGTTTATCCACATGTTGTAACTGCAAATGAACGCTAAAAAAAAAAAAAAAAAAAAAAAATTAGCTGGGCGTGGTGGCGCCTGCCTGTAATTTCAGCTACTTGGGAGGCTGAGGCAGGAGAATTGCTTGAACCCAGGAGGCGGAGGTTGTGGTGAACCAAGATCGTGCCGTTGCACTCCAGAATGGGCAACAAGAGTGAAACTCCGTCTCAAAAAAAAAAAAAAAAGAAATGAAAATTGAGACATGATATGCTGGAAGATATAAGTGCCATTAACGAAATAGAGCGGAATAAGAGGGATCAGGAACGTTGGAGAGGGAGGATTGTAATGTTAAATAATTAGGATTTTGATGTAGAATTTTAATTTTATTTAGAATTATTATTTGTATTAGAGTAAGATAAAAATAATGAGATTAGAGTTAAATTGAATCCATGACTCTGAAAAGTCTCATTCAGCCAATGAAATGGTTAAATGTTTGCTTTGTTTTTGGCCCTGCTGACACCCTGCGGTCACTGAAGATGATACATTGCAGCCCTGGTGCCTAAATCCTCCATGTTAACCTTCATAAAAATAGTGGCCAGTGCCAAATCTCCAGGCAGAGAAATGCCTGATATATTTTGTTACTGATGGGAAGGAGGAATTTTTGGGGGGTTTCAAGTATAATGTTGCAGGAGTCAAACAGGAAGGTTTGAGAAGAAAGTTTTCACGCCCAGGGACAGTCAAACCATGACAGGTTGAATATGGAAATCAATGCCTATAATCAACTGGAACAAGTTAAATCTATATATACGCCCTGAATCCAGGATAATATAAAATAAAGAGATGTTAACATGAGATATGGTTAAAATATAGTTACA
Organism: Homo sapiens; assembly: GCF_000001405.40. Classification (NCBI taxonomy): domain Eukaryota; kingdom Metazoa; phylum Chordata; class Mammalia; order Primates; family Hominidae; genus Homo; species Homo sapiens. The sequence goes on from NC_000001.11 coordinate 40,134,397, forward strand.
ATGTAGAAGTAAATTATCAATATATGTTTATAAACATTTGAGAATATTATTTATTAAGTCAAATTATGAAAGTTCCACCTTAGAGCTATGGTCATGACTTGAGTAAACAATCACAATTATTACCATATAAGGAAGCACTGTCCAATAGAAATAAAAATGTGAGGCAGTGGTTCACGCCTGTAATCCCAGCACTTTGGGAGGCTGAGGCAGGCGGATCACGAGGTCAGGAGATTGAGACCATCCTGGCTAACACGGTGAAACCCCATCTCTACTAAAAATACAAAAATTAGCTGGGTGTGGTGGCAGGCGCCTGTAATCCCAGCTAGTTGGGAGGCTGAGGGAGAAGAATCGTTTGAATCTCATACTAGGTCTCCTCCTCCTCCTCCTCCTCCTCTTCTTCTTCCTCATACTAAGAATCACTTGAATCTCATAGTAGGTCTCCTCATCCTCCTCTTCCTCCTCCTCCTCTTTCCCCTTCTCCTTCTCTGTCTCCTTCTCCTCCTTCTTTTCTTCTTCAACAGGGTCTTGTTCTGTCACCCAGGCTGAAGTATACTGGCATAATCATAGCTTACTGCAGTCTTGAACTCCTGGGCTCAAACAATCCTCCCACCTCAGCCTCCTGAGTACCTGAGACTGCAGGAGCACAACAACATGCCCGGCTAATTTTTACATTTTTTGTAGAGACAAAGTCTCCCTATGTTGCCTAGGCTAGTCGTGAACTCCTGGCCTCAAGCAATCCTCCTGCCTTGGACTTCCAAAGCACTGGGATTATAGGTATAGGCCACCATGCCCGGCTTTGTACTAAGTCTTTGAAATCTGGTGTGTATTTTACTTTTTTTATTTTTTGAGACAGAGTTTCACTCTGCCACCCAGGCTGCAGTGCAGTGGTGTGGTCTCGGCTCACTGCAGCCTCCACCTTCTGGGTTCAAGTGATTCTCCTGCCTCAGCCTCCTGAGTAGCTGGGATTACAGGCGTGCACCACCATGCCCAGCTAATTTTTGTATTTTTAGTGGAGACGGGGTTTCACCATGTTGGCCAGGCTGGTCTCGAACTCCCCTCAGGTGATCCACCCGCCTCGGCCTCCCAAAGTGCGGGGATTACAGGCGTGAGCCACCATGCCCGGCCAGCTCTTCTCAGTTTGTATTAGCCATATTTCAATTTGTATTACTCATATTTCACTAAAACCGTGATACTGGCATAAAGACAGACATATTGCTATATGTGGCCACAGGTTACCATATTGGACAACGCAACCACAGGGCCTGAAAAATGAGTTGCTTGCCAGGCACGGTGGTGTGCACCTGTAGTCCCAGCCACCCAGGAGGCTGAGGTGGGAGAATCATTTGAGCCCAAGAGTTCGATGCTGCAATGAACTATGATGACACCACTGCACTCCAGCCTGGATGACAGAGGAAGACTCAATCCATGCTTATTGTGATAACAAATTCCCCATGTATCCAAGTTGTAAAGAAAGGTAAGATGTACCTAATGAAGGTGTGGGCTTCATAATAAATCACAGAAATATCTGTTTATAATGATAGCCAATATTTATTTAGCACTTTCTATGTACCAGGCACTGTACCACAAGCTTCACAAGGGTAATCTCATTTACGTTAATCCTCACAACACCTAATAAGAGAATAATAATGGCTGATATTTACATAACATTGTTCTAGACATTTTGCATATATTAACACATTTGATCCTCAGGGAACCCCATGATGTAGTTTCTACTAGTTTTCAATTTTAAAGATCTGAGACACAAAGAGTTTAACAGCCTTACCTAGTAAGTACAGAGCCAGCATCTGTGTACATGTATTTTAAAAATATACATTATTATTTTTCTAATCTTAGAAAGAGAAGAGTCATATTGAATGATTTGATTTCAAGTACATTGAGCAAATGAATCAAAGATCATTTTATTCTGTTGAATGATACATGGCCATAAAAGATGTTGTGACTATGCAGTACTTGTTAAATTTTATCTTTATCTTTGAATAAGATAAAGCAATCCTATCAAAACTCACTAAACTCTTTATGACCCCCAAAAGGCCTGTGGAACAAATAAACCCATGAGAGATGAGCCCTCTTTTCCGACGTAATAGCCTTGGGGGAGGTGGACCAGAAAGCTGCTGAGCCTGCTCTAATTGGCACAAACAGGGAAGGAAAAAATCTCATAAAACGTTGTCTTGGGCTTTTCAACTTTCTCTGGACAGGATTCCAGTACTATTAAGGCATATCTCAAAAGTGCCCCTAATTTCATGTCTGTGGCCAGTCATGACTATTTTAAGAACACCCTGAATTATAAGAATAGGTAATGGTGCCATCTCCTTCTATAGAAAAGCATTTTTAAAAGTTTTTGTTTTATAGAAATATCCATCCTAAAATTTATGTGAAATTTCAAGAGACCCTGAATGGTCAAAACAATCTTTAAAAAGAAAAACAAAGTTGTAGGTTTTACATTTTCTGATTTTGAAACTTTTAATGAAGCCAGAGTCACTAAAACAGTGTGCTCTTGGCATAAAGACAGACATATAGACCAATGGAGTAGAAATAGAGCCCAGAAATAAACCCTCCTATATATGATCAAATGACTTTTGGCAAGGGTGCCAGGTATATTCAACTGGGAAAGGACAGTCTTTTCAAGAAATAGTTTTGGGAAAACTGGATATCCACATATAAATGAATAAAGTTAAAACCCTACCTTATACCATATACAGTAATTAATTCGAAGACCTAAAATAATTAGATCAAAGACCTCAAATAAGAGCTAAAACTATAAAACTTTTAAAAGAAAACATAACGTTGTTTATAACGATTGTTCATAACGTTGGATTTAGCAGTGATTTCTTGAATATGACACCAAAAGCACAGGCAACAAAAGTGAAAATAGATAAAACTATGCTCTAGGCTGGGCGCTGTGGCTCACGCCTGTAATCCCAGCAATTTGGGAGGCCGAGGCGGGCGGATCACCTGAGGTTGGGAGTTCAAGACCAGCCTGACCAACATAGAGAAACCCTGTCTCTGCTAAAAATACAAAATTTAGCCAGGTGTGGTGGTGGGCGCCTGTAATCCCAGTTACTCAGGAGGCTGAGATGGGAGAATCGCTTGAGCCTGGGAGGCGGAGGTTGCAGTGAGCTGAGATCGTGCCATTGCACTCCAGCCCGGGCAACAAGAGTGAAACTGTCTCAAAAAACAAACAAACAATGCTCTAAAGGACACAATCAGGGTAAAAAGGCAACCCACAGAATGAGAGAAAATAATTGCACTCCTATATCTGATAAGGGGTTAATATCCAGAATATACAGAGAGTTCTCACAGCAAAACAAACAACCCAATTAAAAATTGGGCAAATAAGCTGGGCACAGTGGCTCACGCCTGTAATTCCAGCACTTTGGGAGGTTGAGGCAGGAGGATCATGAGGTCAGGAGATCGAGACCATCCTGGCTAGCACAGTGAAACTTTGTCTCTACTAAAAATGCAAAAAAATTAACCAGGCATGGTGACGTGCACCTGTAATCCCAGCTACATGGGAGGCTGAGGCAGGAGAATTGCTTGAACTGGGAGGTGGAGGTTGCAGTGAGCTGAGATCACACCACTGCACTCCAGCCTGGGCAACAGAGCAAGACTCCGTCGCAAAAAAAAAAAACAAAAAAAACAAAAAGGGCAAAGAGCTTGAATAGTTATTTCTCCAAAGAAGATATGCACATGGCCAAAAAGCACATGCAAAGATGTTTGACATCACTAATCATTAGGGAAACGCAAATCAAAACAACGAGCTACAATCTCATACGCATTAGGATGGCCACTATCAAAAATATGAAGAAAATAACAAGTTTTGGTGAGGATGTGGAGAAATCAGAATCCTTGTGTACTGTTGATGGGAATGAAAAATGGTGCAGCTGTTGGCTGGGCGCGGTGGCTCACACCTGTAATTCCGGCACTTTGGGAGGCCAAGGCGGGTGGATCACCTGAGGTCAGGAGTTTGAAACCAGCCTGGTCAACATGGTGAAACCCCATCTCTACTAAAAATACAAAAATTAGCTGGTCGTGGTGGCGGGTGCCTGTAATCCCAGCTACTCGGGAGGCTGAGGCAGGAGAATCACTTGAACCCGGGAGGCGGAGGTTGCAGTGAGCCAGCATCACGCCATTGTACTCCAGCCTGGGCAACAAGAGCAAAACTCTGTCTCAAAAAAAAAAAAAAAAAAAAAGAAAGAAAAGAAAAGAAAAGAGAGAAAAATGGTGCAGCTGCTATGGAAAACAGTATGGCAGTTCCTCAAAAAATTAAACATAAAATTTTCATATGATCCAGCACTGATACTTCTGGGTATATATCCAAAAGAATTGAAGGCAAGGTCTTGAAGAGTTATTTGTACACCCATGTTCAGAGCAGCATTATTCACAATAGCTGAAACATGGAAGCAACCCAAATGTCCATCAACAGATGAATGGATAAGCAAAATAGGATATATCCATACAATGGAATATTATTCCACCTTAAAAAGGAAGGAAATCCTGACATATGCTATACCATGGATGTAGCACCTTGACAACATTACGCTAAGCCAGTCACAAAAAGACAAATACTGTATGATTCCACCTATATCAGGTACTTAGTAGTCAAATTTATAGACAGAAAGTTGAATAGTGGTTGTTAGGGGCTGGGGAGAAGGGAAATGGGGAGTTGTTTAATGGGTATAGAGTTTTAGATTGCAAGATAAGAGTTTTGGAGATTGGTTGCACAACAATGCAGATGTACTTAACACTATTGAACTATATGCTTAAAAACGGACAGGTTGGTAAATTTTATTTTATGTATATTTTGCCACAATTAAAAAATGGTTTTGAATAATTTCACACTTAGAAAAGATTTGCAAGATTAGTACAGAGAATCCTGAAGAATCTCCACCAGAGGCATTTTATCATATTTGCCTCCTTATCTCTTTATTTCTCTCTCTCTCTTTCCATATATATATACACACACACACACACACACACACACACACACACACACACATAAATATACACGAATTTACACCTAGTAGTTTTAGCATCCATTAATGATTCTTGCCTGGATTATTACTATAATGGCCACCAAATAGAGATTTTCCTATGTCCATTGTTTCTTCTACATTTATTACTTGAATTCTATAGTAAAGTATCATTTCCTTTCCCGTATCCTCTTTTTTTTTTTTTTTTTTTTTTGAGACCAAGTCTTGCTCTGTTGCCCAGGCTGCAGTGTAGTGGCGAGATCTTGGCTCACTACAACCTCCGCCATCCAGATTCAAAAGATTCTCATGCCTCAGTCTCCTGAGTAGCTGCGACTACAGGTGCACGCTGCCACACCCAGCTAATTTTTGTAATTTTAGTAGAAATGGGATTTCACCATGCTGGCCAGGCTGGTCTCAAACTCCTGACCTTAAGTGATCTGCCTGCCTCAGCCTCCCAAAGTGCTGTGATTACAGGCATGAGCCACTGGACCTGGTCTCCTGTATCCTTTTTAATTAATTTTTTATTTATATTAGTGTGGGCTTAAGGATTCCCAATTTATTCAATAAGTTATAATTCCTTACAATCATAATTTACTTTGATGACTAGATTGTCCCTGATTTGGCCAGTGGGAGCCTCTTTACACTGGCTCCTGTGTTCTTTTGACATTTCTCATCTGTATTAGTTTGCTATGCCTGCTGTAACAGTGTACCACAAACTCGGTGGCTTAAAACAGCTGCAGTTCTCATGGTTCTGAAGTCCAGACATTCAAAATCAACTTCACTGGGCCCAAATCAGGAATATTAACACGGCCATGCTTCCTCTGGGCTCTAGGGGAGAATTCGTTCCTTGCCTCTCCCAGCTTCCAGCTGGCACTTGGCTTGTGGCTGCACCACTCCAGTCTCTGCCTCCTGCCTTCTCCTTTTGCGTAATCTCTCTCTGCCTCTCTCTTACAAGGATACTTGTGTTTGCATTTAAAGTCCACTTGAATAATCCAAGACAATCTCCCCATCTCAAGTTCCTTGATCATATCTCTAAAGATCCTTTTTCTGTATATGATAATATTTACAGATTCCAGAGATTAGAGCTTCAGGGGCCATTACTTAGCTTACTACATCCTCATTCTTTGAATACTTCCTTTCTTCCTGAACCAGTAAGATTTTTCACTGCCCTAGTCATGAAATCAGCCATTTCTCTAAGAACTTTTGGTTTCTTTTTAGTGAAGAATGATACTTGGAAGTCAAGATGTAGATGCTAGGTGCACTCATTGCTATGGGTGTGTCGGTCTTGCAAGTCCTTTCAGTAGGACAAGGAAACAAGATATCAACTAGGAAAAATATGTCTGGACACACACACACACAATCATACGTATGATGTACATTCCGAAGTACTGTAGTGGAGTTGGCTCATATGGACTTGCAAAAGCTGCTTGTTAAATATTCAGGAACTTTGCGGGTGGCTGTGAAACTAGTATTATTTCATGCTGGGAGTATTTACACCGTGGAAATCAGCAAATGCTACAAATTAGTGTGTTTTGAAAAACCAAAAAGCCACTATACATATCATAAACACACACATCTACTCTTCTGTCTCTCTTTGTATATCATATATAATATTCACACACACACACACCCTATAGGCTCACACCTCTGACTCTAATTACAGGGTTTGTTCTAGTCTTTCCCCTTTTCATACTTATTGTCTCCAAGAGTAAGAAACCTGGCTCTCACTATTCTCAATATATTTTCTTATTTGCTCAATCTCCTGACCACATGGGCCATCTCCTTGGCCCCATTCTTACTGACCCTGACCTTGAGCTGCAGGCTTTGCCATGACCCTGCCATTCCTGACCATGAGAACCATTTATTTGGCTCTGAACCTAGTTGTCCTGACCTTGTAAGCTACTACCTCAGCCCCAGACCTGCCAGCCCAGATCACCAGAGTCTCCTTGGCCCAGGCTCCACCAGCCCTAAACTCACTTAAACAACTCTTGGCCCCAGCCCTACACATTTTCTTGTTTGTCTATTCTTCCAATTAAAAACGCCCACTTCGTCATTGTTTTTAACTGCCTGATGTTGAGTGGTCAATTTGATTTTTTCACATGGTTGGGTTAAAGACAGGGTTGCCAGATAAAATACAGGATGACCAGTTAAGTTGAATATGGGACATACATACTTATATTTAAAAATTATTTATTGTTTATGTAACTCCAAACTTAACTGGATGCCTTGTGGTTTTATTTGCTAAATCTGGCAATGCTAGTTAGAACTACAAATAAGTGGCCAGGCGCAGTGGCTCACGCCTGTAATCCCAACACTTTAGGAGGCTGAGGTGGGCAGATCACCTGAGGTCAGGAGTTCGAGGCCAGCCTGGCCAACAAGGTGAAATCCTGTCTCCACTAAAAATACAAAAATTAGCTGGGCGTGGTGGCAGGTGCCTGTAACCCCAGCTACTCGGGAGGCTGAGGCAGGAAGAACTGCTTGAACCCGGGAGGTAGAGGTTGCAGTGAGCTGAGATTGTGCCACTGCATTCCAGCCTGGGCAACAGAGCGAGATTCTGTCTCAAAAAAAAAAAAAAAAAAAAAAGAACTACAAGTAAGCATCCTTTAATCCTTCTAATCAGTCCCTGGGTCATCTGAAATACTATACTCAAGTCTGTAACCAAAGACCTCCCTGCACACAATGGGCTCCCAGTGCTTCCTGTACCAAGACCTATTACCTCATACCTCGACAGTCCCACTTTCTGTGCAATAACTTTTCCCCACCCCTGGCCTGCTCAAACTGTTTTTGCTCCCCTCCAAACAACAATCAGAGTTGTAGACAACACAGTTTAGTATACAACTAGAGCATTTGGTTTACTAATTAGCTCTTGTATTTTTATCTTGGAATACTCATAAAAGAGATAAGGCAGCCTCATCAATCCTCCAGGAAGCTTTCCCTTGCTAGATGCCAGTAGTCTCCACACCACAGCATTCTTTTCATTTCTTTCCCATTGTTCTTACCATCTTATATTGCAAACCATCTGTTTAATAGGTTTTGTTATGGACTCATCTACAGGGTAGAATGTTAAGTGTTTGTTTGTTTGTTTGTTTGTTTAAAGGAGGAAAACTCAGAGACAGTAAAGCTACCATACACAAAGCTAACAATACACATACCATATAAAAATTCTGCTTGTATGTAAGTAGAATGCCTCTGAATGGCTGTAGAATAAACTGTTTTCAGTGGTTGCTTTCAACCAAGAGACAGGGGTGGGAGGGAGACTGATTTTTACTATTATTTGTACAGATTTTTTCAAAACCAAATACATATTTTAATTATTCAAGAATATTTAATTTTTTAAGGAGAAATTATATGTTTATGTGTGTGTCTTCCTCATAAGACAGTTAGCTGCTGTTTGAGGTCAGGAACCAGTTCTATTTCAGTTTGTATTCCAAGAGCCCAGCTCTGTGTCCAGGTCAGAGTTATAATATGGGTTCTTACGCTCTTTCTCTGTCTCTCTTATCTTTCCCCACTGATTCATTTCCATTGCTATTGCAGATAGTAGTCAAGTTAAATTAAAATGTATTAAATGGGCCGGGCGCGGTGGCTCACACCTGTAATCCCAGCACTTTGGGAGGCCGAGGTGGGTGGATCACGAGGTCAGGTGATTGAGACCATCTTGGCCAACATGGTGAAACCCCGTCTCTACTAAAAATACAAAAATTAGCCGGGCATGGTGGTGTGCCAGCTACTCAAGTGACTAACGCAGGAGAATCACTTGAACCTGGGAGGTGGAGGTTGCAGTGAGCCGAGATCATGCCACTGCACTCCAGCCTGGGCGACAGAGCGAGACTCTGCCTCAAAAAAAAAAAAAAAAGATATAGAACATTTCTTTCACCCCCAAAAGATTCCATTTGCCCCTTATCCATCAATTTCTACCTCACTTCTACCTCTGGCCACTGGCAACCACATAATAATTACTTTACCATTTATGAATGGATTTTAAATAGATTTAACTATACACATTTAATTTATTAATAGGATAATTTTATTACAAAACGAAAAAAGCAAAAGACTGCCTACAAGAAAGTGCATATTTGATCACATTTTTGCTCCATTTTTTTCCTGACTCTTTATTATTAGAGAATAAATTTAGCATGTAGTGTAAGAAAGGAAAGTGGAGAGGCTGCCTTACCTTCAACAATAATAGCAGTTGTCATTTATTGAGCAATTGTTATGTATCAGGTACCATATTAGCATGTTACATGACTCTTTTCTCATTTGATCCTCACAACAACCCTGAAAGGCAGGTACTTATTATTAAGGATGCTCCATTTTACATGTGACTCTGAAATACCCCTGACCTCAGCTATGGTTAACACAAATGGACTTCACCTTTAGCAATATTCTAAATCTCCGAGCTCTGGATAACCCACCACATGCTTAAGTAGCAACAAAGGCAGGCTTTGCAAACCAAGTCCCCTCCTTGATTCTCAGAAATCATTAAAACTCCCACTGCCACTGCTGCTCGAGGACTGCTGACCTTGTCAATGTCTGAGCTGCCTTCTCCAAGACCTCTTAACTTTTTGTCTGTGTCCCAACTCCTGCAGGGCTGATCTGGAGTCAACTCCTGCAGGGCTGATCTGGGGCCAACCCCTGCAGGGCTGATTTGGGGCCAACTCCCACAGGGCTGATCTGGAGCCAACTCCCACAGGGCTGATCTGGAGCCCTCCTCTCCCTCAGGTGCGTCTGAGTAGCTCACAAAGATCCTCAAACATTCCTAGGGTTTGGAGTCTGTTGTCCCAGAAACAGAAGTCCTCTAGGGGGCAGTGTGAATCAACTCATTGGGCCAACCTAATAAAGTACCTCCGCGCGAGTTAAAATTCTATTACACTTAAAGATGAACCCTGTGGCTCAGAGAGGTTAACGAACTTGGTCAAATCACCAGCTAGTCAGCAGCAGGACTAGGATTCAATCTCAGCCTGTCTGCCTCCAGAATGACTTCTTTTCATTCTGTTGAGCTATCTTCCTAACCATTCATTAGCTTAGAGGGAAAAGGACACAGCCAGTAAACAGCAATTAAATAATTGCAGAGCAACTATTCTGTGCCAGGCACTAATCTATGAAGTGAACAAAAGAGAAAAGATGTCACTTGGGAGAAATGGTGTTCTTTGGGGAAAGCCAGGTCTAAGTTAAAGCAGAGAAGAGATCGAGAATATAGGATTTTGTTGATGACAGACCATGAGTTCTATGCACTATAACCCATTCAATCACTTATGCATTCAGCAAATATTCATGTTTTTTACATCCTTGCACTGTGCTAGGCACTGAAAAATAGAGTGGGGAGCAAATAGACATGAATACTGCAAGTTTACAGTCTAGTGGAGGATTAAACAAATAAATTAATATTTAAATGTATAATTACATATTTTGGTAAGTGCTATGAAGGAAAAAAAGAACAGGATGCTAGAAGAGAGAAAATTAAGGGCCTTACTTTAAGAGATCAACCCTGAAGATTGAGAAGAAGCTGGACAAGTGAAGAATGTTCCAGATAGAGGGAAGAACAAGTACAGAGGCCCTGAAGTGAGAAAAAGTTTAGGGTTTGCTGAAGGTTAATGTAACTGGGGGCCTCTGCCATGACTGGATGATATGCCCCGTTAATTGTATTTAGTACACATAGAAGGGAGTTTCCAAGAAAAGGTGACAAATTGAGCAGACACAAAGGCAGGAAAATTATATGTTGGGGGGTGGGGTAGCAACATGTATGGGGTGCTAACAAGAAATTCTGGTGCTTTTAGGAATAGCAGGTGATAAGGCCAGGTGGTAGAACCTAATAGGCAGGCTGAAGATTTCGATTCTATTTGAAGCAAGAAGGGACTGAACAATCTTAAACAATGGAGTCAAATTTAGGAAGATGAATCTCGGGGAGCAAGGGGATGAACTAGAAGCAGGAATGCCTGTTGGGAAGCCCTTGCAATCATTCAAGCAAGAGCAAAGTAGGGCATGTCTAACGGTAGTGGTACGATGAAGGAACTGCCCCTCCCTTAAATCCAACAAATATAAAATCTCCCAAAGGGCAGAGGAAAGAAGGATTCTCCAGGGAGACTTTGGCAGGAGGGGAAAGTCTGAAATAGCATCTGTGAGATTTTTGGATTCCCATCTCCTTTGGGGGTTCTCTACCTTTGGGCCCCTAACCCTTCATCAAAATGGGAGCAACAAAGCCTCCCAGAAGGGAATGCTGAGCCCCTGGGAAAGGAACAAAATGTTCCCAGGGTCCCAGGGAGGTGATGGCAGCAAGTCCAGCCATGGGAAATGATAATCAAAATCAGCTTCTGAAGCACATCCTCTCCCTCACCTGGAAGCCACTCTCACTCTTCAAATGCTTCTCATTTGAAGACCTTTAGAGGACATTATTTTGTGTTATCTATATACTCTCATTCCCCAGGCATGGAGAAGTAGAAATGGGTAAGAGAAAATATGGGAGAAAGTTTCCTGAGCACAAATTAATAGGACTTAGAATCTAACCTGATTAGATTTGGGGGGTAGAGAAAGAAAGGATAAAAAATAACCGTGGGAGAAGCTAGGGTGTTGGAACAATGGTGGTTTAAGATCTTCTCATTCCCTTTACACCAATTGTACCCTCCCTAAGCAAACTTCCGGTGTTAATTTTGCTTCCCAAGCTGACTTTTCTGTAGAGATACCATTATATTTCTTAAGGTAAATTAGTAATTTGGGCTCTTGTGCCTTAATCACAACCTAGGTGAAATGATAGAATCAAGTTATTGAATTTGCAAATCAGAAATCCTAGCCTAATCAATCAGCTCCTTTGATGATCCACAGTATGGGTCTGTCCTCTTGATCATTTTGTCACTCACAGGACAAAGTCGTGAAAATAGATGGCATCCATGGTCAGTAGGTGTGGAGGGACTACAGTAAAGGAAACTAAAGTTATCCTCTGAAGCTGAACCTTATAGGAGTAATACTAGTGACACTGAGTGCTTACTGTGCATCTGGCCTCATTCTCCGCTCTTTGGATAAATCTCATTAGGACCCACAACTATGAGAATTATGAGACACATGCTGTTACAATGTCCACCTTAAGATGAGGAACCCAAGGCTCAATGAAATTAAATGATCTAAAGGCACACAACGAATAAGCAGTCGGAGCTGGGATCCAAACCTGACAAACCTGACCCTAGAGCCCTCTGGGTTTTACCCATAATGAGAAAAATTTACCTTGACCATAGTAGTTGTCCACAATGTTCCATGAATCTAAACAGATGGATCTTAAAAATGTAACCACTCTAACTCATCGTTTGTGTCTTACTCATGATGTATTGAGAGATATCTAGGTTCACTCAAGCCGGTGGTTGGGTTGGGGGGTATGGGGGGGACCTGGGAGTATCCATAGAACTGGAATATGATAAAGAAAGTTGCAATTAAATTAACTGTATTATAACTTCTGAGGGAGAAAAGAATATAAAACCCAGGACTTGTTTTTTTTCATGATGTATTTTTAGCCTCTAGGACAGTACCTGAAACATGGTAGACTTTCAGTGAATATTTGTTGAGTAAATGAATGATGCCACTCAACACTGTCCTGCAATCTTCCTGCACATATCTAGAATGCATTCTTTTTTTCTCACTCTAAAACAACTCTAACAAAGTTTTTACTGTCTCCTCAAAGGCTCAACATTGCCTTTCTCTACCACCTCAGCTTTCTCTCACAAGTCATGGAGCAAAAAGAAGCACTCAGGCAATGACTCCCAAATCTCCCACTGCCAAATCTATACACCTACTTGCATCTGTACCCATACTCTCCAGATTCCCTCCTTTTGAAATAAAAATACATATCTAATTTCTATTGCAGATCAAACTTCTTGTATTCTGGATGCCATGCCCTCTTGCCTTCTCAAGGACTTTTCTCCTGCAATCCCCCCACCCTGTTTTCTACATTAAATTTTCTCCTATTTTCCTGTATCATTTCCATACACATGCAACCATGCTCTAGAATCTCCTGTTGACATGGTTTGGCTGTGTCCCCACCCAAATCTCATCTTGAATTGTAATTCCCACGCGTTGTGGGAGGTACCTGTGGGAGGTAACTGAATCATGGGGGCAGATCTTTCCTGTGCTGCTCTCATGATAGTGAGTAAGTCTCACAGGATCTGATGGTTTTATAAAGGGGTGCTCCCCTACACAAACTCTCTGCCTGCCACCATGTAAGACACGACTTTGTTTCTTTTTGGCCTTCTGCTGTGATTGTGAGGCTTCTCCAGCCGTGTGGAAGTATGAGTCAATTAAACCTCTTTCCTTTATGAATTACCCAGTCTCGGTTATGTCTTTATTACAGGCATGAGAACATACTAATAAACTTATCTTTAAGAATTCCTTCCAAAACCTCATATCCCCTTAATAGCACAGCCCCGGTTTTATTCTCCTCTTTCTCAGAAAAACTTCTGAAGAGGGTAATTGCCCTGCTCTTTTTACTTTCATATCTCACATTAATTCTTCAATCTTCTTCAGACAGGATTCCATACCAGAGATCTACAGAAACTTCTCTAGTTGAGGTTACCAACCAATACTCATGATGTCACATCAAATGGACATTTGTGTGTCCTCACCTTACCCAAACTCTTGTCAGCAGCCTACAAAGCTGACCATTCAGCTTCTTCCTGCCGCTTTCTTCTTTTGTCTTGAGGAATATCACACTCTTGGTTTTCCCTCTGTCTGTTCAGTGGGTTCTGAACATTCTTTGATGGCTGGATCCTACTCCTCTGACATCTTAGTGTTGGCAAGATCTTGGACCCTCCTCCTTCTTTCTGTTTTGAGGTTGCAGACCGTTGGCTCATCAGTCACACTGGACTCACAGGTGGGTATTATTTGGCCTGCAGTTTTCAAAATAGGAAATCGTGTTAAAAAACAAAATCAAATAAAAGAAAAACGACAACAACAAAACCAAAACTGAACTTCCAATTTATCTTGGAGAATTAGCAGACCTAGTAAAATGAGTTCTGTATTCTCATATGGCAATAATTTTCTGGAGCTGAGTACCTGCTTCTTGGGTCATTTCTTAATCAACTCATTCTTTCCAAACATCTTATACCCAGCCTGTGTCATTCATTTAGGTGAGCTGACAAAGGCTAGTAGGAATATAAATTTATGACCCTTAGTTTATACTCTCCCCAGTGGATCTTATTTAAATACCCATTTAAATACCATATGCTTTAAAAAGTCTTCTTTCATAACATTGAGTGCACACAATATGCCCGGAACTACTGTACCAGACACTGGGGATACAGCGGTGAATGACGCAAGTCACTCTACTTCCAAAGAACTTACCTTCTATAGAGGGGAGACACACACAACAGTGATAACATAAAGCCAAATAATATTTGGGCTGGGCGCAGTGGCTCATGCCTGTAATCCCAGCACTTCGAGAGGCTGAGGCGAGCGGATCACGAGGTCAAGAGATTGAGACCAACCTGGCCAACATGGTGAAATCCTGTCTCTACTAAAAATACAAAAATTAGCTGGGTGTGGTGGCAGGTGCCTGTAATCCCAGCTACTTGGGAGGCTGAGGCAGGAGAATTGCTTGAACCTGGGAGGCGAAGGTTGCATTGAGCCGAGATTGTGCCACTGCACTCCAGCCTGGTGACAGAGCGAGACTCCATCTCAAAAAAAAAAAAAAGAAAAATATTCAAAAAAAAGCCAAATAATATTTTAAAAGTGGAAGGAGAGCAAGGGGATAGAAAAGGCTCTTTTAGATAGAGTTGTCAGTGAATGCCTCTATGAGGTGATACTTGAACCTCAATGAAATGAAAAAAAGAAGAGTTCCACAGGCAGAGGGAACGGTAAGTGCAAAATTCATGGAGTTTGTTCATCTTGTTTAAGAATGGCAAGACCAATGTGGCTGGAGCCCAATGAGTGAGATAAAGTAGTGCCTGAGTTTAGAGAGGGAGCAGGGGCCAATATAGGTAGGGCTTTGCAGACTCTGGTAAAGATTTTTTCATGTTTTTCAAGGAGTGATGGGAAGTCACTATAATGTTTTGAGCAAGGGAAGCAAAACAATCTGAATTATGTTTTAAAAGGATTAATGTAGGCCAGGCATGGTGGCTCACACCTCTAATCCGAGCACTTTGGGAGGCTGAGGCAGATGGATCAGTTGAGGACAAGAGTTTGAAACCAGCCTGCCCAACATGGTGAAACCCTGTATCTCCTAAAAATACAAAAATTACCTGGGCGTGGTGGCACAGACCTGTAATCCCAGCTACTCGGGAGGCTGAGGCAGAAGAATCGCTTGAACCCGAGAGGCAGAGGTTGCAGTGAGCTGAGATGGTGCCACTGCCCTCCAGCCTGGGCGACAGAGCAAGACTCTGTCTCAAAAAAAAAAAAAAAAAAATCTTTTCTTCTTCCCACAAAAAATAAAAAAGAAGAATCTTTTCTTCTTCCCATAAAATGATTAATGTAGCTATTGTGTGGACAATTGACTCCAGGAGGGCCAGAATAGAAATAGCTAGTCCCCTAAAAAGGTTACTCCTTAAGTTTAGATGGGAGATATTAATGAATAAAACTAGGGTGATATAGCTGGAGGAAGTGAAAAAAAAAAAAGGTCAGCTTGGGAATATATTTTCAGTCAAGGGCCTGAATTGGATATGGTGAAACCCTGTCTCTACTAAAAATACAAAAATTAGCCGGGTGTGGTGGCACATGCCTGTAATTCCAGCTACTTGGGAGGCTGAGGCAGAGGAAGGAGAATATATATATATATATGGACCCCCCCTTTCTCTATTACAGAGATAAGAAGACTATGTTAGCAGAGTATTTTTGTTTTTTTTTTTTTTGACATGGAGTTTCACTCTTGTTGCCCAGGCTGGAGTGCAATGGCGCGATCTCGGCTCACAGCAACCTCCGCCTCCCGGGTTCAAGCCATTCTCCTGCCTCAGCCTCCGGAGTAGCTGGGATTACAGGAATGCACCACCACACCAGGCTAATTTTTTGTACTTTTAGTAGAGATGGGGTTTCTCCATGTTGGTCAGGCTGGTCTTGAACTCCGGACCTCAGGTGATCCGCCCGCCTCGGCCTCCCAAAGTGCTGGGATTACAGGCATGAGCCACTGCGCCCAGCCGTTAGCAGAGTATTGAAATAATTTAGGTCACAGCATTTTGGGAACACTAATCCTGAGTGCTGGGAGTTCATATTAATAGAGATGAATAAAAACCTATCAGCTCGTATTGGTCAGATAGCTGGAGACAATGCAAGAAGCATTGCAGCTCACCAAAAATGTTTGACCTCCTTAGCCCAGGTAATACTAGATAACAGAATTGCCTTTGACTATGTATTGGCTGAAAAAGGAGGAGTCTGTGCAGTAGCACACATCACTTGTTGTATCTATGTTAATACCTCTAGAGAAGTGCAGACTCAATTTAAAAGAATAACTTGGTTGGGCGTGGTGGCTCACACCTGTAATCCTAGCACTTTGGGAGGCCAAGGTGAGCACATCACTTGAGGTCAGGAGTTTGAGACCAGCCTGGCCAACATGGTGAAACCCTATCTCTACTAAAACTACACAAATTAGCTGGGCATGGTGGTGGGCGCCGGTAATCCCAGCTGCTCAACAGGCTGAGGCAGGAGAATCACTTGAGCCTGGGAGGCGGAGGTTGTAGTGAGCCGAGATTGTACCACTGCACTCCAGCTTGGGCAACAGAGCAAGACTCCATCGAAAAAAAAAAAAAAAGCCAGGCACGGTGGTTGAAACCATGGGGCAGATGTTGCAGTGAGCCAAGATTGCGCTACTGCACTCCAGCCTGGGGGACAGAGTGAGACTCCATCTCAAAAATAAATAAATAAATAAAACTCAAAAGACTAATGGTTATAAGATGTTAGAAAATGGATTCTCTAGGCTGGCACAGTGGTTCACGCCGGTAATCCCAGCACTTTGGGAGGCCAAGGTAGGTGGATCACCTGAGGCCAGGAGTTCAAGACCAGTCTGGCCAAAGTGGCAAGACCCCATCTCTACTAAAAACGCAGAAATTAGCTGGTCGTGATGGCACACCCCTGTAGTCCCAGCTACTCAGGAGGCTGAGGCAGGAGAATCACTTGAACCCAGGAGGCGAAGGTTGCAGTGAGCCAAGATCATGCCACTGCACTCCCGCCTGGGTGACAGAGTAAGACTCTGTCTCAAAAAAAAAAAAAAAAAAAGAAAGAAAAGAAAAGAAAGAAAGAAAGAAAAGAAAATGGATTCTCTAAATGACTTGTTTAGTTGGTTACCCTCAGGGCTAAGTTCATTTTTTCGTTCTGGTCTTCAAGTAATTGTTATTATAATCATAAGTACAGTTTCCATTTTCCTAGTTATCAAATTACTCATGATTCGTGTTTCAGCTTGCTTGTGATCAATGACTAAAACTAGAATAATAATTGCTTAAAAAGTTGCCTTAATTGAAAATAAGTCACACAACCAGAATCAGACCACTAAGTTATACTTTCCTTCTGTTGTTCATAATTAGGCTTTGGCTTCTTTCGGCTTATGAATTAAACATTTCCCCTCTCTGTGGGGCATGACTCTCTAGGAATGAGACTTCCTAGTGATGTGAGATATAACTACTCTCTAACAAATGCTTCTTCCGTAATGCTTTCTTCAAAGATCTTGAAGAAAAGGGGAAAATGTGAAAGAAAAGGAATAGTCTGTCTATTTGGGGCTTCTAAAAGCTTAGGTTTTGTGGAAGATTGACTTTGGAGACCAAGTCACAGAGCATGACCTCTTAATCTTGACTTTTTATTATAGATTAATTTCCTTTCTTATTTTCTTGTACCTGACTCAGATGGTACCTGAGATACAAGACTCCTTGACTGAGTCTATATAAGTCTCCTTGACTGATTCTTGACTGAGATATAAGACTCCTTAGGCCGGGCGCGTGGCTCATGCCTGTAATGTTGGTCAGGCTGGTCTCGAGCTCCTGACCTCAAGTGATCCACCCACCTTGGCCTTGCAAAGGTCTGGGATTATAGGCATGAGCCACCAAGCTCCGCCTTTAGCTTTACTTTTTGATGTTAACATGTGAACTAGTTAGTATAAATTAGAAAAAAAACAACAGGATCATAAGCTTGAATATTCCATTCAAATTGTCTGGTAAAATGAGTAGGGTCCAGGTGAGAGTCAGGGAATTCTTTAACTATGCCTTTAGATTTCACCTTGGTTCATAAACCAAGGTAGGTTCTCCCCTACCAGACACCAGCTACTCACAAAATGGAGCCAGAACAATGGGAGTAGAAGTGGGAGGAGGAAGAAAAAGTAGTTGAGATAATGAAGGATAAAGAGAAGGAGGAGTTGAGGAGGAGAAATTTCAGCAGCTTTTTTATTTCAGAAATTGTTTCAGAGAATCTTTTGTTTTCTTTCTGTAAAGAAAGAACTTTATCAAAACCTCTTTTGGAAGCCTCTAAATGCCATTGAAAATAACTTTTCCAATTGCTCTGTTTTATTTTAGAGCCAGCTTATTCTAATTGAGCATATAAGTAAACTAGATTAGGCATTTCAAAGGCACACCATTTTGGCCATTATAATTTGGAGTCATTGTGAGTTATTCACGAGCAGTTTTCTAAATACTTACCTGAAAAGGCATCATGTCATATGTGTTAACTATAAATCCAGCTGGAGTTTCTAATAGTGGGTCTCTCTTAAGGAGGAAGGTTCAGTTTTAGATGCACAGTTGCCCATAGTGCATCAAAAGACTTAGGGAAAGTTGTTTTGAGATCAAGAAAGTTGTTTTGAGATCCCTAAGACCAAAAGACTTAGTGAAAGTTGTTTTGAGATCGAGTGTGCTGCTTGCGAAAATAGCTCCTCAAGGTGTCACTCTTGAGTCAGTTCTTCTCACATACAAATCTCAATGATACCAACAAACTTGGATGCTTAAGATACAGGGTAATCAATCCTTTATGTGTGCTCACCAGATTAAGCAAGGTTTCCTTTAAATTCTACTTAAGGGATTTCCTGTGAGACTGTTACTTATCAGGAGTGATTAACTCAGATACTCACACTAGACCTTAGTTGCTTAAGGTGACTTTTAGCTGGGAGAAACAGTGTCTATTATCTTCAGGACTTATTTCATCCTTATACAGAGTATTTCATAATTTTGGTCACTCAAGAAGCAAGCTTGAATTTGTCAATTGAACCAAGCCTCAGAACCTGGCTAGCTTTAAATATTATAACATTTTTGCTTAAACCACAAAGATTTACTTCCTCTTTTTAAAAATAAACTGTTTTTCACCTTATCAACATTTTGAATGAGAGAAAAAGTTGTAAAAACTCTAAGGAGTAATTCAAAACAAAAACCTTAACCTCACAGAAAAGTGAAAGTCACAATTTTTTTTTTTTTTGAGACATAGTCTTGCTCTGTCACCCAGGCTGGAATACAGTAGTGTGATCTCGGCTCACTGCAACCTCTGCCTCTTGGGTTTAAGTGATTCTCCTGCTTCAGCCTCCTGAGTAGCTGGCACTACAGGCATGTGCCACCACGCCCAGTTAATTTTTGTGTTTTTAGTAGAAACGGGGTTTCACCATGTTGGCCAGGCTGGTCTCGAACTCCCAACCTCAAGTGATCCACCCACCTCGGCCTCCCAAAGTGCTGAGATTACAGGTGTGAGCCACTGCACCCGACTGAAAGTCACAAATCTATGATCAGCAGAATCTCTACAGAATAACAAATGAAACTCCTATCTTGCAGCAGAGCTTTAATTCTTACTTCCTCCAGTTAGAAGTGTATAGCTGGAATAAAGTCTGAATCCTCATCAAAGCCAAGAGGACTACAACCTGAGAGGAGCCTTACCAGGGATCCCCATTAGTTCTTTTGAGGGTGGATGAACAAAAGTTGTTCATGCTGGTACCAAGATTTTGGCTGTTAGTGAAATGACAGGAATCACTGGAATGAAGGTTTGCCTTAGGTCCCTTCATGGTCGCCAAAATGTCAACCTTAATAATGAAATTCAGGCAACAGTATTAAATATTGAGTTTATTCGAGTGTAAATTTGAGGGTGGCCATCTGAGAGGATATAGACTCCAAAAAGATGGGGTCAGTGCTCTGAAATGGAGAGGTTTGAGGGTGCTTAAATAGGTAAAGTCTGGGGAAGCTTACCAGGATTTCAACATTTTGCATACAAGATTAATGCATAGATACAGCAATTTGATTGATTATATGCAGTGTTTCTTTTGGGGGAAGGGTATATTTCACATTTCACATTAAGGATGTAATAGTCAAGGGGTCTTTTTTTCTTGTTTGAGCCAAGTAAAAGAAAATAGGAAGGAAGTTAATCTATAACAAAAGGCCGCCACGCACAGTGGCTCACGCTTGTAATCCCAGGGCTTTGAAAGGCTGAGATGGACAGATCATTTGAGTCCAGGAGTTTGAGACCAGCAACCCCATCTCTATAAAAAATGCAAAAATTAGCTTGGTGTGGTGGCATGTGCCTGTAGTTCCAGCTACTTGAGGGGCTGAGGCAGAAGGATCTCTTGAACCAAGAAGTTGAGGTTGCAGTGAGCTGAGATCACTGCACTCCAGACTGGGTGACAAAGTAAGACCTTGTGTCAAAAAAAACAAAAACAAAAAAACAAAAATGCCAGTAAACAAGAGGTCATGCTTTGTGACTCAGTCTCCAAAGTCAACCTTGCTTAGGGCCTAACAACTTTTAGAAGCTCAAAATAGACTATTTTCTTTCACAATTTTAAATTAAAATTAAGTAAATAATGCTAGAATTGTAAATTTCATTTAAAAAACAATTCAGTCTTATTAAATATTTTTGTACAAATAGTTATTCCCAATGCTAATATTCATTGTCTATTTATGATTATGTAAATGTTCAGTCTTACTCTCTACTCATGTTACATCTAGACAGATACATGTATATATCAGTGTATACGCATATGTGTGTATGGAGACAATTAAAAAAAGGAACATCTGCCACTACCAAGAAACAATACATGGTTATGCAAGAAAATGCATTTATGCTATCTAAGAGGAAGAGTATGACAAGCTAATTTGTGTTTTCTCTTACCCAAGTGCTTCTGTAGCTCGAACACACTCTACGTAGCATTTCAAAAACAGTGTGCCTATTTCTCTTAAGTAGCACAACCCAAAACCTTCAAGACATTAGGATGCAGTTGTCTTTCATTTTTTTAATGGTGGTAAAATATGCATAAGGTAAAGCTTATCATTTTATCCATTTTTAAGTGTATAGTTCAGTGGCATTAAGTACATTCACATTGTTGTGCAAGCATCACCACCCTCCATCACCGTAACTTTTTCATCTTCCCAAACTGAAATTCTACATCCATTAAACAATAACTCTGCTGGCCTCTCTCTCCCCCAGCCCCTGGCAACCACCATTATTCTTTCTTACTCTATGAATTTGACTACTCTATATACCTCATATAAGTGGACTCATACAACATTTGTCTTTTTATGATGCTTGTTTCACTTAGCATAATCAACATTTATCCATGTTGTAGCACGTGTCAGAATTTCCTCCCTCCCCCTGTTTTTTCAGGAATGAATTTCTTTCCTTTTTAAGGTTGAATAACATTCCATTGCATGTCTATACCACATTCATTTATTTATTCATTCATTCATGGACATTTGGGTCATTTTTATCGTTTGGTTATTATGAATAACAGTGTTGTGAACACAAATGTACAAATATTTGTTCATGTCTCTGGTTTCAATTCT
This sequence comes from Homo sapiens, assembly GCF_000001405.40. Lineage (NCBI taxonomy): Eukaryota > Metazoa > Chordata > Mammalia > Primates > Hominidae > Homo > Homo sapiens. The sequence continues at coordinate 40,156,079 of NC_000001.11, forward strand.
TTTGGTGCCTTTCAGCTTTGAGTATATGGAGCAAGAGACGTGATAAAGAGGTTCCCTAAAGCCTGAATAGTAGTGGTAAAGAAAGCAAATATTTATCCGGGTGTGGTGATGCACACCTGCAATCCCAGATACTCAGGAGACTGAGGCAGAAGAATCTCTTGAACCCAGGAGGCAGAAATTCTAGTGAGTTGAGATCACCCCACTGCACTCCAGTCTAGTGACAAAGGGGAAACTCCGTCAAAAAAAAAAAAAAAGAAGAAGAAGAAGAAAGAAGGAAAGAAAGAAAGAAACAAAGAAACAAAGGAAGAAAGAAAAGAATAGAAATGGAAAAAAGCTAGGCTTGTTGTTGCATTTCTGTAGTCTCAGCTACTCAAGAGACTGACGTGAGAGGCTTGCTTGAGTCCAGGAAGGCCAAGGCTGCAGTGAGCTGTGATCATACCACTGCATTTCAGCATGGGTGACAGAGTGAGACCCTGCCTCAAGAAAGCAAATATTTAAGATTGTACTTGTGCTGAGTGCTGGATTTCAAATGATAGGGGTGCCCATGTGTTCTTTAATATAGTTACTGTGTGTGTGTGTGTGTGTGTGCATGTGTGTGTGTGTAAGAAAGAGAGAGAGAGGTTTGTGTAGTCCTCTAAAGTGTGGGACCCAGGGCAGGGCCCTTGTTGCCTGGACTTAGGGTGGTATTGTCATAAGCACATACATGTATTAGAACTGGGTGAGTGTAGCAGTGAGTGTAGATAGAAAAGAAGTTGACAGACTATGCCTGGGACACTTAGAAATCACAAAGAAAAGAGAGAATAAAAGAAAAGAAATCAAGAAAAAAAACACCAGGAGAATGTGCAGACTTGGAATCCAAGTGAAATTAAATGTTGGGGAATTATCGACAATGCCAAATACTGCTAAGAGATTGACTAAACAAGGACTGATAATTCACCTTTGGACACACACAAAAGTAGAACTCACTGGTGGTGTTAAAATGAGCTGTTTCATTGACTGGTGGGGATAAAACCTGACTGAGAAGAGTTCAAGTAAGAATGAGAAGAGGGTAAGTAGAAACAGAAGGTCTGGCCAGCTCTTTAGAGAAGTTTTTCTATAAAAGGAAGCAAAGAAGTGGGATGGAAGCTAGATGAAGATGTGGTGGAGTCACTAGAGATTTATTTTTCTTTTTGCCTAACAGAGGTGGAACAGCTGATGGCCCCACATCTTCAGCTGAAGCTCCACAGTCACACATACAAGTGCCTATCTGGCATCTCCATTTAAATGTCTCATAGGAACTCACAGGAAAATCAAACTTAACCTGTTCCAAATAGAACTCTTGATTCTCCCTCACTCTATCCCCAGTCTGTTCTTTCCTAAGCCTTCCTTTTCTCAATAAACATCATTGCCCACCATTCAAACCAAAAGCCATGTAGCCATTCCAGATTATTTCAATTTCCTCAAAAACAGTGCATCAGCCTGTTAGTTCTACTTCCAAAATACATCTCTAACTTGATCATCTGGAGTACTACAATAGGTTCCCTGCTTTCATTCTCGCCTCTCACCACCTATTCTCACATGGCAGCAAGAGTGTAAACCAGACAAAGTTACACCTCCACTTAAAGCTTTGATTACTCAGTAAAACAATGATTACTCAGTACACTTCAAATCCCCACTGCTTACCTTGAGCTATACTGTCCTACATGACCTGGCTCTTTGCTCCTTCTCCAATCTCATCTTCACTTCTTTCTCTCTCTTGCACCATACTCCAGACATGCTGGCCTAAACCTAATTATTTGTATTACAAAGATATAAAAAAATAGAGAATAATATTTATATATATATACATATATATACTTTTTTTGAGACAGAGTCTTGCTCTGTCGCCCAGGCTGGAGTGCAGTGGCGCAATCTCGGCTCACTGCAACCTCTGCCTCCCTTCACGCCATTCTCCTTCCTCAGCCTCCTGAGTAGCTGGGACTACAGGCGCCCGCCACCACGCCCGACTAATTTTTTGTATTTTTTTAGTAGAGACGGGGTTTCACCGTGTTAGTCAGGATGGTCTCGATCTCCTGACCTCGTGATCTGCCTGCCTCGGCCTCCCAAAGTGCTGGGATTACAGGAGTGAGCTACCGAGCCCAGCCAATAGGGAATAATATTATAGATATTATATAATAATATATAATAATATTATAGATTATAGAGCCAGATCTAATACTTTAATTAATACTTAGCTACATGTACCATTAAAATGTAAACTACATGTCTTTTCTGAATCTCTATTACCTGAAAAAGTGCCTAACACATAATATATGCTCAATGCATCTGGTATAATTGAATATTTGCTTCACATTAAAAAATAAGTAAAACATTACAGATACAGTGAATGCTCCTTATACCTCCTTCCCTTCCTCTTTCCCCAGAAGAACTACCTACCATTCTAAAGGTGATATATGCCATGCCTATAATATCCCTAGTTTTAATATTTTGTTACTTGAGCATTTGTTTTCTATGTTTTCAAAATTTACAGTATAGAATAATACGTTAAATATCCCTTGCGATTTGTTTTTTTATCATGCTTTATGCCTATTATGTTGATATATGCAGTTTTCATATGTTTTTTGGCTGTATATTTCAGTGTGTGAACATACCATAATTTGTTTATCTATTTCTTACTGTTGAACATTTAGGTTGTTTCAAATATTTTGTTATTCCCAATAGTGCTGCAATGAATATGAGCAACATGACAGTTAAGAGGGTGGATTCTAGAGCCAGACTACCCAGGATTGAATTTCAGGCACCATCACTAGTTGTGTCACTTTGGGCACGTTACTTCTTTGTGCTCTAGTTTATTTAATTGTAAAATGATGGCAATAAATTTTCATGATATTGTTAGTAGAATTAAATGAGTTAATACATATAAAGAACTTCGAAAAGTGCCTGGAACATATTAAATCTCAATGAATATTGACCGTTATTATTATTACCCTTATTATTAGGAATTGCTTAATTACAGGACATGTACATCTTCTATTTCATTAAATATTACACATTATTCTCCTAAGTGATATGTCAATTTATGCTTCCAGCAGGGGTATATAAGTTCCATTTTCCTATTTCCTATACTAATTAAAAATTCCTGTCAATCTAATGGATATGAAATTGTTGTTTTACTTGTACTTTGATAGTTACAGCAAAATTATATATTTTTTCTTGGGTTTATTGGCCATTCAGTTTTCTTTTTTGGTGAACTGCCTTTTTACCTACTTTTCTTTCTCTCTCTCTTTTTTTTTTTTTTTTTAGTGTCCCTCAGGCTAGAATGCAGTGATGCCACCTTGGGTCACTGCACCACAGCTTTGATTTCCAGAGCTCAAGCGATCCTCCCACCTCAGCCTCCTAAGTAGCTGGGACTAGAGGCGCATGCCACCACGCCTGGCTAATTTTGTTTTCATTTTTTGTAGACACAAGATCTCATTATGTTGCCCAGGCTGGTCTCGAACTCCTGAACTCAAGCAATCCTCCGGCCTTGGGCTCCCAAGTACTGAGATTACAGGCATGAGCCAAAACGTCCAGCTTTTTAATTTACTTTTCTATTGGGTTGTTTGCCTTTTTCGATTTTGGGAACTATTTGTTTGTTTGTTTGTTTGTTTTTTGAGACGGAGTCTTGCTCTGTCACCCAGGCTGGAATGCAGTGGCGCGATCTCGGCTCACTGCAACCCCTGCCTCTCAGGTTCACGCCATTCTCCTGCCTCAGCCTCCCGAGTAGCTGGGACTACAGGCGCCCGCCACCACGCCCGGCTAATTTTTTGTATTTTTAGTAGAGACAGGGTTTCACCGT